>NC_000023.11:17895063-18198094 GCF_000001405.40 Homo sapiens
TTAACCCTTCTCCACTTAATTGATTCACCTAATCAATCAATATTATCCACTGGAAGCAATACTGATGCCTGGGGCCTGCAGCTGCTCAGAGGTAGAGGGCTACTCTCTAAGATGCCAGGATACTTCTGTTCCTGCTGGTTGAGTTGTATATTTAGCCAAGAGTGAATTGAGTTTGTTTCCAATTCTGCTTATGCTTGTAGTTGTCACTAGAATTCTGTAATTTGAAGTGACCCAAATTAATGAAAATGACCATAAAAGCCTGAGAGTTACTGGATAGACGTCATTAAGGCAAGTTGCTGGAGGGAAAAAAAAAAGGTGGAGGAACGGCTATTGGTTTGGGTGTAGTAGATTCAAAAAGATTAGGTGGACATTAGAAAACTCTAGAAAGAGTCTGTACTCAGATTTCCTCACAAATATGAGAAAATTTGTGATTGTGATTGTAGGAAAGTTGTGACTACTCAACAACTTTTGAAGATCCTTTCTAGGTTTTAAGAATTTTCCTCCCCAATGTAAAAGTCAGAACTTATTCTCCCAGCATCCCTTGCACCTGGAGAGCAGGCACATGACCTAGGCTCTGCCCAATCAAGATTTAAGTTAGAAGTGAACAAATATGTATTGAACACTTACTTGGTGCCAAGCATCGATATAGACACTATGATGATAAAGAAGCTTACATTCCAGTTGGAGTAGACAATAACCAAATATAAATTATTATATATTAGGTGATGATAAGAACTATAAAGAAAAATGAAGTAGGTTAAAGTGATAGAGAATGATGAGGGATGGTCAGTAAACGCCTCTCTGATAAAGTAACATTTGAGCAGAGACCTGGATAAGGTGATGGAGTAAGTCATATTGGATATCTAGGCAAGCATGTTCTAAACAGAGGAAAAGGCAAGAGCAAAGGCCCCAGGGCAGGAGCATACCTGAAGTGTTCGAAGAACAGCAAAAAGGATAGTGGGTCAAGTGGAATAAGCAATAAGGACAGTGGTAGGAGATGAGTGAAGGGAGGAAGGAGATGGGTAGGTCATTCATTCACATAGGGCCTGATAGAAGAATAGGAATTACTTCAAATTACTGTATCAAGTTATCTGGGAAGCCACTCTCTAGTTTTGAACAGGATAACATGTTCTGTTCTACATTTAAAAAGTTCACCCTGGCTGTTGTGTAAGAATAATCTATGGGGGACAAGAGTAGCAAAGTTGAGGGCTCATTTAGGTGAATGCTACAATCCCAGCCAGAGATTATGGTGGCTTGGACTACTGTGGCAGCAACAGATATGACAGAGGTTGGACTGGGGATGTATTTTGAAAGTAGAGCCAATAGCATCTGTTACTGGATAGGATGCAGAGTATGCAAGAAAAAAAAAGAGTCAACCAATGCCACCATGATTTTTTGTCTGAACAACTGGAAGGGTGCAGTTGCCATTTAACGGAGAGGGAGAAGTCTGCAGGGGAGAAGGTTTGTGGGAGATATCAGTAGCTCTAGTTTATACATTAAGTTTGAGATGCATATCAGACCTCCAAGAGAAGATGTTTGGTGGGCAGGTGGATATACAAGAATGGAGTTTAGAAGAGCTTTGAACTAGAAATACGTATTTGGGAAGCATTGCTGTATAGGTGGTGTTTTTAGCCATGAGCCTGGAAAAAATTACTTAGGGAGTG
Organism: Homo sapiens; assembly: GCF_000001405.40. Taxonomy (NCBI): domain Eukaryota; kingdom Metazoa; phylum Chordata; class Mammalia; order Primates; family Hominidae; genus Homo; species Homo sapiens. Next base: position 17,896,728 of record NC_000023.11, read on the forward strand.
ACAGGGAGTGAGATATGTGAAGACTAAGTCTGGGGGCACTCCAAAGCTTACAGACTGGGAAGATAAGAAAGTGCAGTAAAGGATAGTAAGGAGGCGAAGCCAGTAAATAAAAAGACAAACTAAGGGGATAATGCCTCAGAGACCGAATAGTTTTAAATAAGAAACACTATTGCTGGTGAACCAAGTAAGATGAGGACTAAGAATGACCATAGGCTTTGGCAACATGGACGCCATTAACATTGTTGATAAGAGCAGTTTCAGTGGTTTACTTTTGACGGAAGCGTGTTCCCATTTGGGGACTTGTGAGGGCTATCAGGCCAGTTCAACCGTCCCACATCCCAGTTAGGTGGGTCTATTTGTTGAAGCTTTTACCCCAAGCTGAACAACAGTTGTCAAGTTTGGCTCCAGCAGCCTGGTTGTCAACTGGCCAGGAAGGACTTCCAACCCAGTTGACCCTCTGAGACTGAGTAAGCTGAGTAAACTCAGTGCTCCCTGAGGAGCCCATGAATTATCCCAGATATTGGGAAACACCCCATTAGCTCACCCTCATCAACCATTTCACACTTTCCCCCGTTTCTTCAAACCACAAACACTTCTCCCCCTTCCTCACTCTCACAGGAAGACCTTGTTTCTTATTCCACTAGAAAACTAGAAGCAGTCAGAGAGAAATCCCTCAGCTTCCCACCACCACATCCACCAACCTACCTGCAACTGTGCCTTCCCCTCTTCTACTATGGATGGACCGTCCATTCCTAGCTTAGGCCAACCCCTCACTTGTGCCCTGGATCCCATCCTTCCTTGCAAACCTGGCTACCCAGTACAAAAGAAAAATCTAGACACCTTACTCAAAATGTATCAAGAATTTTGAGACATCAACATCAGAGCACTAAAGCAAGCACGGGACCCTTCTGAACACGAGTCACATATCCATAAAACTAGTCCTGTCTATGGCTGGGTTTCTTGCTCTCCTGTTTCTTGAAGACAGGTCCCAGCCTGGACCCAACAAAGGATGCCTGGTTTTTGGGGTAGCCTCTCCCTCAGAGGGCAACCTAGCCTTACTCAGGCCTCTGTGGCTACTAGCAGTGTAAGTGGGTTTCTCCCTAAGGTAACTTAAGGAAGAATCTTAAGGAAGTCATTGTCCTCTAGCGAGAAAAGAACCCCAGGAAGTCAAGGCTAAGTGGCCGCCTGGGAGCTGCTTCCACCTGGAGACTTGAGACACTGCCTAGTAACCACAGACACAGAATGAAATGGAGGTTCGTTTTCCCCCCTTGAAGGCCTCAGAACAATCCAAGAAGTAGCTAAGGAGACACCAAAGGACCCCAAGAACGTGTCTGTTGGTCCACCTCTCTTACCCTCCATGCAGACAGTACTTTAGTGCATCTCCCTGTCTTCTCCCTGGGGTCACTGTCCCGGTTCTGAGACAGTGGGGTGGTGTCCTCTGCTGAGCTATCTGGGTTCTTCTCTCTTGCCTCCCGCTCCCAGAGGTTCTAGTTTCTATTGGCTGCTCAGCTGCCCTATCTTCAATTTCTTCCTCTCCGAGGGGAGCTTGTACTCGTGGGCTAGAATTTGCTGCAGTTACAGCTGGGCAGTCTCAGAATAGCCTGGGCCCCCTGATCAACTCCCTGCTTCCCATCACCATGGAAGCCTCCTTCCTGCTTGGGGTCTGGCAAAACCAGCCTGGGGGTCTCTGGGTCACCTCTTTGAGGACCAGGTGCTGGTGGCAGGTGACACCCTGGCTCCAACCTCCCATTTAAAGGAAGCAGAGGACTCTTACTGCCCAAATTGGGGATGGGGGGAATCTTTGCAGCTTAGGGTGAGGGGTATATGTGGCTGTGTTCACCCTGGACTGGTAGATACTTAATATTCTGGCCATCCCCTCCCTCTGCTTGGGAGACACCATGACCAAGGAGACTTCCTGAGCCAACCAACTATCCTCAAACCCCATCTTCACTCCAACAGAAGTGGCCCCAGGAGGGAAGATGGCGTGCCCACAAACAGAGGTATCTCTCATCCCCTGACTGGCCTGCACCCTGCCCTTCCTGCCTCTGCGTGTGATGGTGAGTCTGCTTCTCTCCTGTTGCCCAGTCTCACCTCCCTCGCCTTCTTGACTCTGTGGTGATTGATTTTCATTTTCCGGTGGTTTATTTTGAATGTCTTATCCCTACACATTTGCTGCTTCTCCTGGGAAAACATCTTTAGCTCCCTCTGGCTGTGGCATTTCTCTTCCCACTGGGGTCCTCCGTGGTGGTCAGGATATTTTCAGTGGGGTAAAAGGCAGGCCCTTCATGGCAGCTTGACTGACCAGGGCCCGAGGGTGACTACTGGGGACACCCATCAAGGTCAGCCCCAAGCTGTAGCCCAACTGAGCCAGGTAGAGTCTGGGGCTCAGAGGCTTCCTCCTAAGGCAGGCTTCCACAGGGTCTGGCCCTCTATCCTGCCGTGTCCTGGCACTTTTGATGAAGGATAGTGAGTTGCTCCTGGTGACAGGCATGCATTCCATGGTGGTGGAGAGCTATGTGGGGACAGAGTGAAAGAAGAGGGGCCAAGATGTATTCACTGAAGTGAAGACAGAGTGGACCAAGTGGAAGGTGCTGTGTTTCCTCTCACTGGGCCCCAGCACTCAGACATCAAAATGGAAGGAGTCCTTATAGGTGTAGGGAACGGGGAGGTCAATACTACTCTGCTCGGACAAGATGGTTTTGCAGGGCCATATGCTGTCTAGATGTGGGTTGCCAACTGAGCCTGGAGGTGCAATCCTCCGGCTATTTCTTCTCTAGCTCCAGGCTAGCCACATGCTCACCCTCCTCAACTCTGGCACCTTCAGGTCTCAGCCCTGAGCTCACTCTCCCTCAGACTCAGTGCTGTGCTCAGGCAACTGTGCAGGGCCTGGAGGGGACCAGAAGCTGGTCCCAGAGTGGGACAAGTAGCCTGAGTCCATGGTCTCACACTTCCTTAGCCTGCCCTCAGAGGCCTTGGTGTCCCAGGACTCCTTCAAGGAAGCCGCCTACTGCCACTGCAGCAGCCAAGGCTTGCTGGCAGCTGGACTTCTACTCTGACACCTTACACCAGGAGGAACTGAGGGGAAGCCATATTTAGAGTTCAAAGGGGCTTCCCCTTTGGCAGTTTCTAAATGTGGACTTAGGGAACAACTTCTGACTTCATGTCTAGGCTCTTGGCAGCAAGGGACAAATGTGGAAAGACTTTGGACACTGCCCTGCACCCTCGGTGCCTGGAGAAGGAGGTCTCTCTGATGTCCCATCACCTTCCCTCTGGCTCTGGCTTTCCCCTGCCCTCTGTTCTGAGGGTCTCTCCAACCTTGTCTCCTCCCCAAAAGGCTGCCTCTCTTCCACCAGATTTGGAGGATAGCCATCTGTTGTTGAGGTGTGTCTGGGTCTGTCTATGCTTCTGTAAGTGACTCTGGGGCCTGAAGACGATGCCATGGGTGGCAGACAGGCAGGGCATCTTCTTGTGAGGGACTGCATGTGCTTCTCCAAAATGCTGAGCTTCAGAAAGTCCTGACCACAGTGTGGGTTCAGTTAGTTCCTGGAAATGCTCATCTTCCTGGGATTTCCCAGGCATTACACCAAGTACAAGGAGCCTGGGGCCCTGGAAGCCTGCACAGGATGCAGGCCCGTGAAGCTGGTCCCACTCACTCATCTGCTCAAGGAATTACCCCAGCAATTCTCTCCTATGTCAGTAATTTCCCCCTCTGTGCCGGAGAAAGCTGGGCCAGCTTACAAACGTGCTATACTATCTTCATGACTTAAACACACACACATGCCTCCTTCAACTCTGCATCCAATGCCAGTCATTGCTATAATTTTCCACTTCCTTTCACACCCGAAGTGCTGGAATGAGTTGTCTCTACTTGCCATCTTCACTTGCTCTCCTGTTTCTTGAACCCACTCCAATAGGGTTGTGTTCATCATGCCATTGAAGCTGCAGTCAGCATCACCTCTGGATTCTCTGCTCACCTTTTTCTTCTCTTCCTTGCAGACAGGGCTAGCTTGAGCAGCCTGCTGAGTGTCTCTGTGGGGTCATTTCATGTGGCTGCCTCCACTGGTGTTGCCATCTCTTTCCAAGGTTGAGAATGGAACTTGACACAATCTCTACAGGAGATTGTTATTGCAGGTCACCTCAGCCCCAGCAAAGATTCAAGGGAAGAATCAAGCTGCCTTTGCTTAGAGTGGCTGATTTGTTTTCCTGTTGCCCTTTTACTCCCCGTCAAAGAGAATACCAGTGCAGATTCTGCATAATAACATTACTGAGGATGCTCTATCTAACTCTAAGTTCAGAACATTCCCAAGTTATCATTGCTGCAAGATGTTTATTTAGACACAGTAGTTCGAGCTCCATATCTTTCTATTGCTTTTTTTCTACTTTAAACATGCCTCCAAAATTCAAATGAGGGCCAAGAGAATGTTATTGTTCATTGTGAAACACCTGGCTTTTGGGATACTTAATAGCTGTCCTCTAATCATGCCTCTAGTTAATGCATTTAAGAACTAGATATATGTTTTCTTCTTTAGGATTTTTCATTTTGAGATCACATTATCATCTTTTTCTTAAGAAAGAAGCTGGTTGGCAAACTTGCTACATCTCAGCAGCAGATCTCACTTTCAGGAAGCCCAGAGTGAAAGCCCATTGGATTTGAAATTTTCTGGCGCCTCAGCCATATGTAGTGAGTCACAGCTCTGCTCACACTATACTTTCATGTGAAAAAAAGAAGAAAACAAGAAACTATTCAATTTATATGCCTGTATTTGACCTAATCGTCATATTCCCTCCTGCTAAGTAACAGAAAAGTTCAGCTTTTTAGTTGATTATGTGTTTAACTCTCCCAGTTTTAAAACTTCCCTTTCAGTTTACAAAAGAAGCTCCTTTTTGCACTAATTTCTCTCACATATATAAAGAACTTTTAAAGATCAAGAAGAAAAAGACCAAGCCTGAGCAACATGGTGAAATCCCATTTCTACAAAAAGTATAACTATTAGCTGGGTGTGGTGGCACACACCTGTAGTCCCAGTTACTCTCAAGAGGCTGAAGTGGGAATATCGCTTGGACCCAGGAGGTCGAGGCTGCAGTGAGCTGTGATTGCACCACTGCACTCCAGCCTGGGTGACAGAGTGGGAGGCTGTCTCAAAAAGAAGAAGAAGAAAAGAAGAGGGAGAAGAAGAAGAGGAAGAGGAAGAGGAAGAAGAAGAAGAAGAGGAAGAGGAAGAAGAAGAAGAAGAGGAAGAGGAAGAGGAAGAAGAAGAAGAAGAAGAAGAGGAGGAAGCAAAAACACAATAGAAAAGTGGACAAAAGATATAAACAGACAGCCCACAGAAAAAGACATATAAGAAAAAGACATCTTACGTATAAGATGACTCTTATACGTAAGAAAATATGCTCAACGTCATTGTAATAAATTAAAACTACACTGAGACTACATACTTCTATCCATACTTAAGGCAAAATCCAAAAGTTTAACAAAATACCTTCCTGGCAATGCTGTGGGCAAACAGGCATGCTTCTGCATTGCAATGAAAGTGAAAAATAGTGGAGCCACCATTGATGAGAATTTGGCGATAGGTAACAGAATTACATTTGCACTTATCTTTTGACCCATCAGTCTTACTTCCACAAATGCACTCTGAAGAAGCCCCTCCATGAATATAAAATAATGCATCTCTAATTTTATTCACTGTGGCATTATTTGTATTAACAAAAGGCTGGAAAAGCCCTAATGTACATTGGTTCACAGTTGAATAAACTATGGTACATCTGCATCGTGGAGTACTATGTGGCTGTAAGAAAGCATGAGGAAAAGCATGCATTTTAAAAGATAAGGCATAAAACAGGGTAAATTGTTTGTTACAAGGGAAAATTATAATGCACACGTGTTTGTTTTTTATTTTTGAAAAAAATGAAGCAGAGAAAGGATAAACCAGAAATGATTCGGTAAGTACTTATAATCTGCCTGTGTCATATTACCTAGAGTAGCTAGGAGAGAACAGGTCTCCCTGGGGGCTCAGGCAAGCCTTGTTGCATCGGAAAAGGGCCAAAGGCAGGCAGTTTGACAGATGTGGGGAAGGGATGGGGTGCAAGCCCTAGGTCTTCCAAAAACTCAGGGCATGACACTGCTTACGGCTCCCAGCAGGTCAGTCTGGTTGAAAGCCGTGGGGCTTGACGGACACAAAATCTCCTAATTCCCTTAAAATATAATTTGATTTAGTAAAATGAGATTGACATAGAGTATTTCAGGGACATCTAATGTCTAGATCAGATTTTCTCAACGTTGGCACTATTGATATCTTGGGATGGATTAGTGTTTGTTGTGGGGACTGTCTTATGCACTGCAGGATGTTTTACAGCATCCTTGGCCTCTACCTGCTGAATGCCAGTAACACCCCATCCTGCCCCAGTTGTGACAACCAAAACTGCCTCCAGACATTGCCAAATGTTCTGTGGGGGCCACAATCACCCTGAATTTGAGAATAGGTGCTCTCAAATTACGGTGGACATCAGAGTCCCATGGGGAGCCTTTTCAAGATGTGTTTCCCAGGCTTCACTTGCAGGAGAAAGGGGCTGACTTGGAAGGGCCAGGGTGAGTCTGCCCTATAAGTGAGACACAAAGTGAGGGGCCTTGCCTTTGAGTCCAATTCCAATTTGATCTCAATCTGATATAATGGGATTTACAAAGAATATCTCAGGGCCACCTGCTGTTAGCAGTGGTTCCCAATGGAGGCAGTATTTCTCCCCCTCAACAAGCCCAGGTTAAATTTGAAAATGTTTGAGAGTGATTCTGATTGCCACAGACTGGAGCCTGTTACTGGCATCTAGTGCACAGAGGCCAAGGATACCAGATGTTCTTAAGTTCAAGGAACATACTGGAACAACGAAGTTTTGTCCCACCCAAGATGTCATTAGAACTGCTGTTGAGAAACCACTACAAGAAGTACAAGCAATTTTTGAGCTAGTTTATGTTATCTCGTGAAAATCCTGTTTGTGCAGGATAGCTGTAAATCCAGAGATTACTTGGTTCACTTATGATATAAGCTTCCAGAGGGCTTAACTTGCCTGTAGATTTCTGAAAAGCATACTGTGAGACCTGAAGCTTATAGAATTTGGTGGTGGCGAAGGAACTCTTTCAAAAAGCATACAAAATAACAAATAAAAAATTAGGTAACACATGTGAATATTTATTTAGGATGAGACTAAAACTTGCAACAAATTGTAAATTTCAAAAAAAGATGGCAGATATCCCAAACAAAAATCAAGAAAAATAACATAATATTTTGTATTAATTATCTTCCTGAAATATCTTTATACTACCTTTCCCCCTCCTTTTTTGATGGCTAGATACTCTTTGATCACATCTTAATGTGACAACAATTCTGTAATGTCATTTTCTGTAGAAATAATTCAGTCTTACCTCCGTCATGGTTGATTGAAATTCTTTGTTTAATTATTGAAAGCTGGGATGCATATAATATGCAACTTCACACACACATTCCTACTGCTTATAGTATTGCTACAAGTTTGTGCTTATAAATAAAGGAATCCAAATCAATTTTATTTCTTCCAGTTAATAAAAGAAAGGAGACGTATTATGCACTTGTAATTGTAAATGCTGTATTTATGTGCATTAGTTTCCCAGTGTTGCCATATAAATTAGCATGAACTGGTGGCTTAAAACAAAAGAAATGAATTCTCTCACAGTTTTGGAGGCCAGAAGTCCAAAATCACGCTGCTAGCAGGGCCATTCTTTCTCCAAACTCTCTGTGGGAGAATCCTTCCTTACCTCTTCCTGGTGGTTCCTGGCATTGCTTGGCTTGTGGCAACATCACTCAATCACTGCCTCTGACTTCACATGACCTTCTTCTCTTGGTGTGATTATGCCCTTTATTAGTCTGTTCTCATGCTGCTAATAAAGACATACCCAAGACTGAGCAATTTATAAAGGAAAGAGGCTTTATGGACTCACAGTTCCACATGGCTGGGGAGGCCTCACAACCATGGCAGAAGCGAAGGAGGAGCAAAGTCACATCTTACATGGCTGTAGGCAAGAAAGCTTGTGCAGGGGAACTCCCATTTATAAAACCATCAGATATTGTGAGATTTATTCACTACCAACAGAACAGCACAAGAAAGAACCACCCCCATGATTCAATTATTTCCACCTCACCCAGCCCTTGACACGTGGGGATTATTACAATTCAAGGTGAGATTTGGGTGGGGACACAGCCAAACCATATCATGCCCTTTCCTCTTCTTATAAGGATACCAGTCATTGGATTTAGGGCCCACTTTAAACCAGCATGACCTAATCTTAATTACATCTGCAAACATCCTATTTCCAAATAAGGCTGACATTCTGAGGTTCCAGGTGGACATGAATTTTAGGGAGACAATATTCAACCAAGTACATCCCTTGTACTTTTGTTTGGAAGAATTGTTCACAGCATCTACCTATGTACTTTTCATACTTCATTCCTTCTCCACTACTCACGTACATCTTGTACTAGGTGCCAGAGGTCCAGCTGATACCTCAAAGTGGATATGCTATGGTTTGAATGTTTGTCCCCTCCAAAACTCATGTTGAAATTTAACCCCCAATGTGGCAGTATTGAGATATGGGGCCTTTCACAGGTTGTTAGATCATGAGGGCTCTGCCTTCATGAGTGGATTAATCTATTCACAGATTAATGGGTTAATGGATTCTCATGGAAGTGGGTATGGTAGCTTTATAAGAGGAAAAAAACCTTAAAGAGCACATGGCTCTTGCCATGTGATGCCGTGTGCCAACTTGGGACTCTGCAGACAGTCCCCACCAGCAAGAAGGCCTTCACCAGATGTGGCCCCTTGACCTTGGATTTCTTAGCCCCCATAACTGCAAGCAATAAATTCCTTTTGTTTATAAGTTGCCCAATTTCAGGTATTTTGTTATAAGCAACAGAAAATGGACTAAGAGAGGCTAGGAGTCATATTGTGTGCTGAGTCTTTGTGTCACAATGCTGGATATGTTGGCACAGCAGGCAGGATTCTAGAGCCAATTCTATACCAAGATGGCTAGCAGTAAGTTAACTATATGCATAAGTCACTGTGAACCACATAAACATCTCCCACTAAGAGTAAACTAAATGTATTCCCCAACTCAAATTCCCCTCAGCCTGAGCTAAAAAATGTCCTTGGCCACTTCAACACCGGCAGACTTGAAGGGAAGTGTGATGGAGAGGGAGTAAAACTAAAAAGAAACAGAGAACTTAACAGATTATAATGAGAACATCCTATTTTTGAAAAATTTATGAAAACATATGACATGTGAACACAGTGCTAGGGCTCTTTCCAGGGCTTTGGAAGGGAGCTGTATAGGTGAGGAGCCTAGACATTTAAGCTCTGTTGGTCTCACTGTACATGCATCGCTATCCATGCCAGTTAACTTTTTTGATAGGGCTAGCAAACTGTTAAACCAGGGAAAGGCCATAGGCTATCTATCTACATTTCATCAAAGGAGTTAGCTGAGATTGTCGTCATTTCTTTATGACCAAATTATGGCCAGTTTGATGGAAATGAACAACCACATCTCAGGGGGGCTGTTAGTAGATCAGTGGGAACCTGAAAAGATGCTCTGGAATGTTCTACCTCACCTGCTCCATTCCAGCTGTCCTTGTCCCCTGTTTTTTCTACCTCAAAGCCAGGAACACCCCTGTCTCAGGGCCTTTCCACTTACTATTCCCTCTGGCTGCAGTTGCTCTTCTTTCCTCTCCCCATATCTGCATGCTGGGTTTCTCATTTCTCTGAGGAAAATGTTACTATGGCAGACAGCTAGCTGTCTGCATTAGTAACAATGCAGACAGTAACAATGCAAAGATGCATTCTCCCTTTCCATAGATAGACTAGAATTATTGCTAGAAAGTGGCATCCAGTTGAAGACATGTGCTGAGGTGACCAACTCATCCTCCTGTGCCTGGAACGTTCTTGATTTGGGCACTAAAAGTCCTATATCTCAGGAAATCCCTCAGTCTTGGCAAACTGGTAAAGTTGATTGTTCTCCATGTGACTGAGCTCTGGCCAAGTGAATGCTAGTGTAAGTGATTATACCACCTCCGGGCCTGACCCATAGACCATAGAAGCCTCTTGAACCATCCTCCATTCCTTACTTTCTCTCATTTCCTGGCTTGATGTTAACATCCAGGACAACTTTCGAAGCTCTGTGTTAAGGATGGGAGAGCCTCCATTAACTTGTGCCCCTGAATGACCAAATGGAACAGATTCCACCTCATAATTCCACAGTACCTCCCCACAACTCAGTGAGTGGAGGAAGAAATAAACTATTATTCTATTCAGCCACTGAGATTTGAGGCCTTATCTGTTACATCAGTTAGCATTACATTAACTAATACAGTCATCTTCTCAGTACTTCCCAAACTATCTTATTTTAAATTGTAGCTATTTCCCTCACCCCTCCACTCCCACTTCCTATTTTCCATTCCTGCTTTTTCTCCATAGACTTGCCACCATGTGACATGTCATATACTTTACTAACTCATTTGTTCATTGTCTGCATCGTCCTGTGAAATGTAGGCTTTATGAAGACAGGAAATTTGTCTGTTGTGTTCACAGCTGCATCTTCAGCATCTAGAACAGCACTATCCAATAGAACTTACTGTGATTATGAAAATATTCTATATCTGTGCTGTGTAATATGGTCGCCACTAGCCACATGTGTCTATTGAGCACTTGAAGTGTGGCTATGGTGACTGAGAAACTGAATTTCTAATTTTATTTAATTTTAGTTAGTTTAAATTTAAATAGCCACATGTGAGTAATGGCTACCATATTGAACAGTGCAGACCTAGACCAAGAGCTCAGTGTGCCCATCCAATAAATGCTTGTTGAATTAATCAATGAATGCATTCAATGGGTTTTTGCTGAGTGTTTACTATGTGATGTACACAGATGACACACTCTTTATTTTTGTTGCACTGACCAAGGCTAACCTAGGTAACTGACTGAGATCTCCTTACGGTGTTATAAGTTTATTATTCTGTGAGTGGTCAGCTCTATGTCTGAAAAACCCAAATTTTCAACTTGCTCCATTTAAAAAATTTTTAGTTTATTTTACTTTTTCTTCGACTTTTATTTAAGTTCAGGGGTATATGTGCAGGATGTGCAGGTTTGTTACATAGGTAAATGTGTGCCACAGTGGTTTACTTCACAGATCAACCCATCACCCAGAAGTTAAGCCCAGCATCCATTATTCTTCCTGATGCTCTCCCTCCCTACTCTGCAACCTTCCACAACAGGCCCCAGTGTGTGTTTTTCTCACCCATGTGTCCATGTGTTCTCATCATTCAGCTCCCACTTGTGAGAACATGTGATGTTTGGTTTTCAATTCCTATGTTAGTCTGCTAAGGATAATGGGTTCCAATTTCATCCACGTCCCTGCAAAGGACATGATCACGTTCCTTTTTATGGCTGCATAGTATTCCATGGTGTATATGTACCACATTTTCTTTATCCAGCCTATGACTGATAAGCATTTAGATTGATTCCGTGTCTTTGTTATTGGGTAGTGCTGCAATGAGCATACACGTGCATGTATCCTTATGATAGAATGATTTGTATTCCTTTGGGCATATATCCAGTAATGGGATTGCTGGGGCAAATGGCATTTCTGCCTCTGGGTCTTTGAGGAATTGCTACACTGTCTTCCACAATGGTTGAACTAATTTACACTCCCTTCAACAGTGTAAAAGCATTCCTTTTTCTCCATAACTTCACCAGCATCTGTTGTTTTTTGACTTTTTAGTAACAGCCATTCTGACTGATGTGAGATGGTATCTCATTGTGGTTTTGATTTGCATTTCTCTAATGATCAGTGATATTGAGCTTTTCTTCATATGTTTGTTGGCCTCATGTATGTCTTCCTTTGAGAAGTATCTGGTTCATGTGCTTTGCACACTTTTTAATGGGGTTGTTTATTTGTTTCTTGTAAATTTGTTTAAGTTCCTTATAGGCTCTGGATATTAGACCTTTGTCAGATGCATAGTTTGCAAAAATCTTCTCCCATTCTGTAGATTTTCTGTTCACTGTGATGATAGTTTCTTTTGCTGTGCAGAAGCTCTTTAGTTTAATTAGATCCCATTTGTCAATTTTTGCTTTTGTTGCAATTGCTTTTGGCATTTTTGTCATGAAATCTTTGCCTGTGCCTGTGTCCTCAATGGTATATTGCCTAGATTTTTTTTGTAGGGTTTTGATAGTTTTGGGATTTACATTTAAGTCTGTAATCCATCTTGAGTTAGTTTTTGTACATGGTGTAAGGAAAGGATCTAGTTTCAGTTTTCTACATATGGCTAGCCAGTTCTCCAAGCACCATTTATTAAATAGGGAATCTTTTCTCCATTGCTTCTTTTTGTCAGATTTGTCAAAGATCAGATGGTTGTAGGTGTGCAGTCTTATTCTGAGTTCTCTGTTCTGTTCCATTGGTCTATGTGTCAGGTAGCGTGATGCCTCCAGCTTTGTTCTTTTTGCTTAGGATTGTCTTGGCTATTTGGGCTCTGTTTTGGTTCCATATGAATTTTAAAATAGTTGTTTCTAATTCTGTGAGGAATGTCAATGGTAGTTTAATGGGAATAGCATTGAATCTATAAATTGCTTTTGGGCAGTATGGCTATTTTCACCATACTGATTCTTCTTATTCATGAGCATGGAATGTTTTGTCATTTGTTTGTGTCCTCTCTGATTTCTTTGAGCAATGGTTTGTAGTTCTCCTTGAAGAGGTCCTTCACTTCCCTTGTTAACTAGGTATTTTATTCTTTTTGTAGCAATTGCAAATGGGAGTTCATTCATTATTTAGCTCTCTGCTTGCCTGTTGTTGGTGTATAGGAATGCTAGTTATTTTTGCACATTGATTTTGTATCCCAAGACTTTGCTGAAGTTACTTATCAGTTTAAGAAGCTTTTGGGCTGAGACAATGGGGTTTTCTAGATATAGGATCATGTCATCTGCAAACAAAGATAGTTTGACTTCCTCTCTTCCTATTTGAACACCTTTCTTTTTTTCTCTTGCATAATTGCCCTGGCCAGAACTTACAATACCAGGTTGAATAGGAGTGGTGAGAGAGGGCATCCTTGTTTTATGCCAGTTTTCAAGGGGAATGCTTCCAGCTTTTGCCCATTCAGTATGATATTGGCTGTGGGTTTGTCATATATGGCTCTTATTATTTTGAGGTATGTTTCTCAATATCTAGTTTATTGAGAGTTTTAAACATGAAGGGATGTTGAATTTTATTGAAGGCCTCTTCTGCATCTATTGAGATAATCATGTGGTTTTTGTCTTTAGTTCTGTTTATGTGATGAATCACATTTATTGATTTGCATATGTTGAACCAACCTCGCATCCCAGAAATGAAGCCAACTTTATCATGGTGGACAAGCTTTTTGGTGTACTGCTGGATTTGGTTTGCCAGTATTTTATTGAAGATGTTTGCATCGATGTTCATCAAGGATATTGGCCTGAAGTTTTCTATTCTTGTTGTATCTTTGCCAAGTTTTGGTATCAGGTTGATGCTGGCCTCATAGAATGAGTTAAGGAGAATTCTCTCCTTTTCAAATTTTTGGAATAGTTTCAGTAGAAATGGTACCAGCTCTTCTTTGTACCTCTGGTAGAATTCAGCTGTGAATCTGTCTGGTCCTAGGTTTTTTTTGGTTGGTAGGCTATTTATTACTGCCTCAATTTCAGAACTAGTTATTGATCTGTTCAGGGATTCAATTACTTCCTGGTTCAGTCTTGGGAGGGTGTATGTGTCCAGGAATGTATTCATTTCTTCTAGATTTTCTAGTTTATGTGCATAGAGGTGTTAATAGTATTCTCTGATGGTTGTTTGTATTTCTGTGGGGTCAGTGGTGATATCCCCCTTATCATTTCTGATTGTGCTTATTTGATTCTTTTCTCTTTTACATTAGCCTAGCTAGCAGTCTATTTTATTAATGTTTTTCAAAACACCCTGATTTATTGGTTTTTGGAAGGGTTTTTCCTGTCTCTATCTCCTTCAGTTCAGCTCTGATCTTGGTTATTTCTTGTCTTCTGCTAGCTTTGAGGTTTGTTTGCTCTTGGTTCTCTAGTTCTTTTAGTTGTCATGTTAGGTTGGTTGTTAACTTGAGATCTTTCTAGCTTTTTGATGTGGGCATTTAGTGCTATAAATTTCCCTCTTAACATTGCTTTAGCTGTGTCCCAGGGATTCTGGTATGCTGTTTCTTTGTTCTTATTAGTTTTAAAGAACTTCTTGATTTCTGCCTTAATTTCATTATTTACCCAAGAGTCATTCAGAAACAGGTTGTTCAATTTCCACATCTCCATTAATTTAAGTTAGACAAGGTCCATTTCCAAACCATGTTATATTTAATCTGGGTGGGAGAATTCCCTTATCACCATTTATAACAGCAAAGCCAAAATAATTTCAAAGAAGGAAATTTTAGTGCTTTAAGTGGTATGGTTTGAGGATTGTTAGAAAGATTTTGTCTCCCAAGAGCATCTTTCTTCTTCTCTTCTTCCATAGCTCTGAGCTCAGTACTCAAAAGGTGATAACTACACTATGGTCAAAGATGGTATCTGGTCTTCAAAAGACACATTCTTGTCTTCTCAGCCACACAACTGGACCATATTTCCCAGCTTCTTTTGCAGTTAGCTGTGTTCATGTGACTGCATTATAACCTGTATACTTCCTTTGTAGGTTATTTGATTTTTTTTCTTTCTGGTTTCTTTTGAGATTTTCTCCTCTTCTTAGATATTCTGTAGTTTCACATTTACCTCTTCTTAGATATTCTGCAGTTTTACATTTATCTAGGTGTGGATTTGTTTTAATTTATCTTGCTTAGGACATGACATGTTTTATTTAATCTAGAAACTCATGTCTCTTTTCAGTCCTGGAAAATTTTCAGCCATTATCTTTTGGAATATTGCTTCTGGCCATTTCCCTTTAATTTTTTATTCTGCAACTTTGATTAGACATATGTTGGAACTTCCTCCAAATCACTTTCATGGTTCATTTCTCTCTCTCTCTCTCTCTCTCTCTCTCTCTCTCTCTCTCTCTCTCTCTCCCCCCCCCCCCCCGCCCTCACCCTTTCTCTGTGCCACATTTTGGGTAATATCCTCACATATACCATCTAGTTCACCAATTTTCTTTTCACCTTTGTCTAGACTACTGTTTAACCTGTTCACCAATTTCCATGACTCTATTTTTCACTACTAGTAACTGATTCTCTTTCAAATCTTTCTGATTCTTTTTTCATATTGTTTTGTGCTTTTATTTTGGCTTCTCTTCTCTCATTTATGTCTTTAATCATTTAAAATATACTTATTTTATAGTCTAAGAGCAATCTATTATATTCAAATTGGGGTGCTAATTCTCTTGTTTGATGAGTTTTCTAACTCTCCCTCACAATAGGTGCATTTTTCTATACATTTATAAATTTTTATTGTGAATTTATCTTTAGGGGATTTCTTTTTCGTAAAGGAGTCCTGAGAGTCGCTGAAGCTTTACTGAGAGTTGTGAAAATGGACCTACAGAGTGGTTTGGCATTTGTTTCAATTTGGGAATTCTGAAGGTTTCAAAGGTTCCAGATCTGTTTTTATGTTAGTTATTTGGCTTGGATTTCCTGTGCCATCCAGGCAGTGTCAATTCAAATTCTACATTCAGTAGAGTGTAATCTTAGGTTTTAATTCCTGCAGATGACTTGTTTCCGCCCAAGAGCCTAGATACAAGCTTCCTCATAAGTTCCCTGGGTCAGGGTTGCTTCCCTGGCAACCTTTCTAATTCCCTGTTCAAAACCTAGATAGGACAGCTGTCTAAGATGCCAGCTCCCCTGCCCCATCAAAGTCTGAAGCCTCATTTCCCATACCACATTGGCATTAGAACCAGTCTGAGGTGCCTATATCTCAGTGTGAAATCTTCATGGTGTGCAATGGTACCTG
Organism: Homo sapiens; assembly: GCF_000001405.40. Lineage (NCBI taxonomy): Eukaryota > Metazoa > Chordata > Mammalia > Primates > Hominidae > Homo > Homo sapiens. Next base: position 17,912,688 of record NC_000023.11, read on the forward strand.
TTTGGCCTTACTGCTCTGACTTTGGTTCCTTTCTTCCTGTCTGGCACTTGGGGATTTCCCCTGCATCCTTTTCTGAGCTCATATATTTATTTAAATTCTGGAGGATATGTTTTGTCTGCATTTCTATGTGTTAGTGGGAGGAGGGGCCTTACTCTTGAGCTCAGTCTGTCTTATTGTTAAAAGTCTGCTGTTGATTCTCTTAGAATCTCTCAGGACTCTCCAGTCTCTCTTTTCTCTGATTTACTTCCAGCATTCTTGTGATAGGCAGGGAGTGAGGAGGGGTTGTCTATGTGACATTCCTAATACAGACTCAATGCCCCATCATCCAAACAAACCATAGAGACACATAATTTATGTAAAATTAGTCCCCAAAAGACATGATATGCTTGTGTGTGCTCTTAATGATATACAATGTAAATGTCAGACAGTAGCTTGAAAATTAGGGTCAGAAAACCGTGACCTTTGCATTCTGCCAAATATGTCCTTGGGATAAATGCATTTTTATTGCATTATATTATATTACATCACTGCAATTATATGAGACTCTCTTTGGAATCTTGAATGCTTCTTTTTATCATTTTAAATATGCATGCATATTATATATGGCAAGCTGAGTGTTCTATAGACAAAATTCATTGTATAAAAATGAAATGTAAAAATCTGATAACTCAGTAATGCATAGAAATGTGTTGCAAATAATAGAATATAAAAGAAACTGTATGACTTCTATGAATAATTATCTAAAGCGAATCAGACCAGTATATTGGGCCTAGAATAAAGGACCACTTTTATTTACTGTATTAGTATTCCAAGAGAAAAACAAAAAGAAGAAATTTGCAAAAGCAAAAATGATTTTTGGTAGCTTTCAAATTTCTACCAAGCAATTTCAGTAGTATATAGAAATTATGGTGTAAAACTACTTACAGCTTTTGCAAACAATAATTAAGATGTAACGGAAGCCTGCATTTTTCATGTTGGATGATTCTGAAAAAGTGGTGAAAAGGATCTTTTTGGTTTTTCTCAACTCCTTTGAAAAAAACTGCTGATAAGAAAGAAAAACAGGGAGAAAAAAATGCTAGAATTCTGTAACACAAACAAGACACACAAGCCATTTTCCTAACTTCACACTGTTCAGGAGAGTGACAAAACACCAATTTCCACAAGATGGTCTGTCTTACAAATATGGAACACTTCCCATTCAAATAGGTATCTGGGGCATTCTGGGTAAGCCAGCCAAAATGGGTAGCAATAGCGTGTAAATTAAAATAGCAACCTCCTCCATCCTGAGTATTCATCCGTGCCACTAACACATTGCAGAAAGGATGCCAGACCTTTTTACTGGCATAAATCTCACGTCTGTAGCCTGCTGCGAGATCTCCGAAAAGCCCCACTTCCAGCATGTAGGGTTCCTTTGTTGGTGACATGCAGTTGAGAGGAGGAAATAACATACCATTTGGTATCCTCCGGGCAGGTCTGTGAACAGACTTGTTCTGGGTCCCTGTACTGCTTTTTCAAGATGTTCAAGATCTGCATGTGCTATGTGCTGCAACATACAAGTGGCATATAAACAAACCTGCGTTGATTTCCAGGAAAACACAATTACCACTTTAAGGGAACCATCACATTTATCTCAACCCAAGTGATTTGGAAAATGAAGAATGGCTGCTTGTCAGTATGGCTTGTAAGACAACACCTGATCCCTAGAAATCCAAACCTAGCCACAACTTCAAAGGAGGCCTGGGCTATCCTATCAGACACTGTCAGTGTTCTGCCTGTATCCCCCAACCCCTACCACTGTGATGCATTCCAGCCTGACTTCCACTTGTCAGAACCTGCATTTCCTTGCCTTTTCTGGTCCCAGAGGTCTGTGTTACCCTCCCATGTGGCAGGCCAGAAGTACTGGGAAATTAACGCCAGTTGGCCACAGCAATCATTGGCTTGATACCACGCCATTTATTTGCTGCCTTCCCTTCCTTGTTTCATGTTCCTACTCCTCTACAGTGTTTCGTTGGACCAGCTCTCAAATCAGCTACGTGCGCTTGAGCCCTTGTGTCCAGGTCGGCTTCTGTAGGAATCCTGTCTAAGACAATTATCTTTTTCTGGAGGTCCTGGCAGCTTAGCATTTTGACAGGCTTCACGATGTCAGGGTTTCAGTTGAGGAAGATACATATTAGAATACTGTGTCAATGCAGCACACATTTGCCAGTCTATTGTTCACTTTAGAAGTCATTTTTTCATACTAAGTGCACATCCGTATACCTAGTGTGTCTCCCTTCTCCTCATCCCTATGATTCCAGCTCGCCACAAGTGCTCTAACACCTAAAACATCCATATGATGGTGAAGCCACCAAGATCCAAGAAACTAAACAATCGACCATTTTAGGGGATTGCCCCAAGTGAGGAAGCTGGGCTGTGTTTGGAAGCTATGAGTGGAGGTAAAGCAAGAATAGCTTTGAGCCACGTATCTTAGAGTTTAAAATACCAGTTAAAATTTTATTTTCTTTTGTTTCAAAGTAACAGAGACTCTGGTTGCCTTGGTTCTTGTGGGTTTAAGAACATGTGTGAAAATCATCATCTTCTTCACCCTCAATACAGCAATTGTTTTTGAGCACTTAATATATGGAAGGCGCTAAGTGCCTTACATGTATTGGCTTATTTAATCTCCACAAAACATTAAGTGGGCATTATTATTAACCCTTTTTGATGGATAGGGGAAAGGAGAAGTTAAATAAAAGTGTTAGGAATCTTGATCTTGTGCTTATGCCTAAAAGGAAAAGGAGGAATGGCAGTACAGGTGGCCTCATGGGAACTGGACTGGAGTTGCGGAGCCTCTTCATTGGCAGCATGTGGCTTCATGGCTGCTGCCTGTGGGCTCTCCATTGCTGTGACTCAGTGCCCTCATCCTAGAGACTTCTGTGCCTGCTCCTGCCAAGTAGCTGCTTCACCTTCTAGCCTGCTAATCTTTCTGTTTCTGTGGATTCAAAGCTCATTCATGGTCACAGCCACTCATGCCTCTTCCTCCTCAAAGGCTTTGCTGCCTGCCTGCTCTCAGACATCTTTCCTCTTCTGTCCTCACCCACCTGCCTGACTGTATCTTTACCACATCCCCAGGATGATTGGGTTGTTCCAATCAACCTTGGTCATCTCTATTTCTGTGAAACTTTCACTGCAGTCCACCTCTTGGCTTCTGATCACCTGTAGATCTGCTTCCCTTGGGTCATGTGTTCATCTCTGCCCAATCTAGTTGGCCTGCAGATGAGGTCACATGGTAGCAGCAGCATGAACTCTCAGTAAGGAGCTACCTGAAGGCAGGGACCATTCAGAGGGGCCTACAGGTGTGGCTGGTGGTAAGAGGTGTGAGATGCCCAGCACCAAAAGAGATCTGCTGAGGATTCTGCCAAGAGTTACAGAAAACATCAGTGGCCTTAAAGATTATGGTCATATTTGGCCCTGCTTCCTTCTTCTGTTGGCTTGCTATGGGAATCAGAGATTCTAGAAAAATCTGAGCTTATCTGAAGCAGGCAGTTGCCTTCACCCTATTTCAGGGGCAACAAGTAGAGGGGATGGAAGTCTTGGGGACATGCCTAGCAAAGGATGACTAAATACCACGCATGTTTTGTGGCCTGAATTGGATCTTGAAAACTATATTGGGCTCCATGTTTGAAAAGGGGTGGAAATAGTGACAGGCTTCCTTTTTCCTTCATATACTTTTGAAATTGAAGAATAACATACATAAAGACAAGTGCACAAATCATAAGCATATGGTTCATTGAATTTTTACAAAGTAAACACATCTGTGTAACTACCAGCCAGGTCAAGATATATAACAGGAGGCTTTTTTCATGGCTCTGAAAGTGCTCATTACCATTAGATAGTTCATAAGTCCTAGGATCACCAAATACACTTTTGAAACAATTGAGTCAACATACAATTTTTGCATAAACTAAGCCCCAGAGTGGTCAAGTGTCCTGCTTAAAGCAATGTGGCTAGACAGCGTCTAGTTTGGGGGTTTGTTGTGTTTTTTCCAAAATATCAGACAGTTTTTCTGTTGCTTAATCAAAACAGTGCCTGTGAATAAACCAACCCACCTCCCCACTTCTCCCATTTATCTGCTCTACATGCTATATTAATTTTTCTTTTCTTATTTTGTGCTCACTTCATGGTCAAGTCATCCAGGATCCTGATTTTCCCCAGGATCTCCATGCCTGGTGCACGGAAAGATAACTCTTCTCTCATGTCACTAGCAAGTGACAGTCTGTGGACATGTGATGCACATCAGCAGAGAGCATGGGGTCAGTGCCCACCCTTCCACAGAGTGCCCTCCACCCCTTTGCTGTCTCATTAGCCTCTTGAGAAATTGAAACTTGTTCCAGCTCAGGTCCTCATGGCAGAGATGACTAGCTAGCCACCAGGATTGGCCTTCACCTCCATGATGTAGAGCTGTGGCTGAAAAGCAGCTGCCCAGCCAGGGAGTCCATTTCTCACACTTCAGGGGTCCCCATTAGAAGACTGCCTGTTACCAGTGGAATGTGAGTAGAAATACACTTTGCTTTTCCAGGCTAAGGTGTTTAAGCAGCAAGTGTGCCTTCTGTAGAGTCTCTTTCCCCATCCACTGACTCTGAGGCCATTAAGCAAGCTGAAAGAAGTTTGGGGCTCTGAGGGAGGCAGTGGAAGTCGACCTTCTGAGCAAGAGCCCTGACATTGGACTTGACATTAGTGAGAAATCAACAACTAGTGGATTAATCCACTGAGATTCTAGTGTTACTATAACTAATGCAGTTATAACAGGGATGGAGGAGGGGACTGTAACATTTTTAAAGGCTATATATTTTTTAGAGACAAGATCTCACTTTGTCTCCCAGGCTGGAGGGCAGTGTTACAATCCCAGCTCACTGCAGCCTCAAACTCTTGGGCCCAGGCAATCCTCCTGCCTCAGCCTTCCTAGTAGCTGGGACTACAAGTGTGCACCACCATACCCGGCTAATTTTTAAAAATATTTTGTAGAGATATGGTCTCGCTGTGTTGTTCAGGCTGGTCTGGAACCCCTCTGCTCAAGCAATCCTCCTGCCTTGGCCTCCCAAAATGCCAGGATTACAGGCATGAGCTGCTGTGCAGGGCAAGCTATTTTTTTTTTTAACCATCTCTTTTGCTTTTTCCAGCTATTGAAGACAACCAGAGCCCCCTTACTTGTACAGGAAGGACAATTCCTAGACATTATATACAGAAAGATAAGGAATTGGCCTTTTTTTATAAAAAAGAAAATACTTCCTGAGGTCATGTGCCCTTTTCAAGATTGTTTTCAGGAATCCCTGGGGTGGTGAGGAAAGACTGGTCCTCATGGAGCAAGGGAAGCCCTAGTTTCAGTTCCGCTGAGCTCAGCTTGGCACCCTTCGCTTCCTTATTTGCTAAAACATTGGACCATCACCTGTATCTGTGATACGGTTTTTATCAACAGAAATGCAAATTTCTCTTTGGGAAAGCTTGTCAATAAAGAAAGTGACCTTTATTCATAGTGTCCTCTGACCCATTTAAACAAGACAAGCTTTTCGATAATGGAAACTTGAAAAAAAAAAGATGAGAATATGACAAAGGAGCAACCTTTAAAATGCTGGTATTGGGAAAGAGTAATAGTAAACAAGAATGAGGGCACTGGTTCATAAGAGTTTTCATATTATGTAGTCACAGTGGGGGTGCCAAGAGAGTAGCTTCCTGCATTAGACTTCCTGAGTTCAGATTCTGTCCCTACCATGTACAAGCCAAGTGACCTTAGTCAATTTAGTTAACTTTTCTGTGCCTCAGGATCTCCATCCATAAAATGGAGACCACCAGATATCCCTCTTAGCATTGTGAGAATTAACTTATTTAATACAGATAAAGCTGTTGGAAAAGTGCCTGGCACATAGGAGGCCCTCAATAAATGTCAACTAGTATGATTACAAGTCTTTGGGGCCCAGATTTGTCTGTGGTATATCTGGATTCATGTCGGAATATAATCAGAAAACCAAACAATTGCTTCACTGGGTCAGATTTGGGTCCTTTCTGTTTCTCCAAAGAATACTAAAAGGGAGCCTCATGGGATTGGGGAATGGGGAGAGCTTGGGGGCTTCTCTTTCGACACCAGGCCTACATTGAATTAGCAGCACACCTGTTTAAGAAATGTATTAATGTACATCAAAAATTTTCAACACTCTTTGACTTAATAATTCAACTTTGGAGAGTGACTCTAAATACATTCTGTTTAATTTGTTTTGAATTTACAAAAGTCTGTAAGGCACAAAGGTGCCCTTGAAAAGCAAAATATATAAGGTAGTATTAGATTATAACCCAAAGTATAAAATAAATATCCTTAGTCCATACTGACATAAATAAATGATTGAGTATATCAACAAATGGGGAATGAGAGGCCAGTCTTCTATGCAGAAGAATTTCAGGTAAATCATGCAGTTTCTGCCCTAAAAGAGGTGAAGCGTAACTCCCCACTCCTTAAGTGTGGGCTTCACATAGTGACTTCTTTCCAAAGAGCACAGTATGGAAAGGAGGGGACGGAAGAGTCACTTTACAGTGGAGAAACCTGACAAACACTACCTCAGCCAAGTGACCAAGGCCAATATCAACAGTCATAAATCATCTTGATGGTATGCATCCTTGATATAATATGATCAAAAATGGCACGTTACCTCTGTGATCTTTCTCCTGGAAACCCATAACCCCCATCTAGCCATGAAAAAAACAGACAAATTCCAGTGGGGGGACATCCTACAATAGACTTGACCAGGACTCCTTAAAGCTATCAAGATCATCAGAAACAAGGAAAGCCTGAGAAACTGTCATGGCAAAGAAGAGGCTAAGAAGACATTATAACTAAATATGATGTGGCATCCTCATATTCAGAAAAAAAGGGCATTAAGTACAAACTAAGGAAATCTGAATAAGCTATGGACTTTAGTTAATAATAACAATGGATGGATATTTGTTCATTAACTGTAACAACTGGTCCATACTAATGTAAGGTGTTAATAAGAGGAGAAACCACTCAATTTTTCTGTGAATCTAAAACTATTATTTAAAAAAGTATATACTATTCTCATTATTTGCTTTAGTTATGTTCTATAAAGTCACCAAGAACACTGACTTGGTGAATACTGAATTATTACCCCTAGTTGTGAGCCTCTGGTCACAACATTTTTGGATCAGTAAATAACCTTGTTTTATGTGTGTTTCTGTTTAAAGACACCTTCTTTAACATATATTGTTGACTCATTAGCATTAAATTCATAGCTAACAGCTATCACTCCTGTCCGGACAAAGCTTATCTAACGCACGTGTTTCCACCATAAGGCATATCACAGCCTTCTTGGCTTAGGGATACTAGACAGCACTTCAGACACTAGATAACACTTTAGCACTAGGCGTGGGGGGCCATTTTAAACAGTGAATCATCAACAAAAGAGCCCATAAAAATGCAAAAAATGTGGCACTAAATAGACTGTGAGAAGGACACTTGTTTACAGTTTGAGAGCTGAAACAAGAAGACAGAGTGTCATCTCGTTTGACCTCAGCTGAGAATGTGCACATTGGGCAATTCAACTTTTTAACTGCTCTGTGCATGTGCATGCTCACTAACGGTATTGATTTTGGGGTTCCAGATAAATTTTAGCAAGTAGGCAAATTCACAACTAAAGAATCTGTGAATAGTAAGGATCAACTGTATATTACTTGTTAAAAGCCTATGAATATGTTCCATGATAGCCTATGAATATGTTCCATGATAGCCTAAGTTCTCTCCATAACCCTTTATAGATCTCTCATTCTTAAATTTGCCTAATTCTTTAAAGTTTCTTTATCTATTTATCTGCTTATTTATTTTATTCTTTTTTTTTTTTGAGACAGAGTCTCGCTCTGTCCCCCAGGCTGGAGTGAAGTGGTACAATCTTGGCTCACTGCAAGCTCTGCCTCCCAGGTTCATGCCATTCTCCTGCCTCAGCCTCCCAAGTAGCTGGGACTACAGGCACCTGCCACCACACCTGGCTATTTTTTTTTTTTGTATTTTTAGTGGAGAAAGGTTTCACCATGTTAGCCAGGATGGTCTCAATCTCCTGACCTCATGATCCGCCCGTCTCGGCCTCCCAAAGTGCTGGGATTACAGGCGTGAGCCACCGCGCCCGGCCAAGGACTTTTTAAGTTACATACCTATTCTGAGAGGGTTTCTATTTATTTATTTATTTATTTATTTATTTATTTATTTATTTATTTATTTTATTTTTGAGACGGAGTCTTGCTCTGTCACCCAGGCTGGAGTGCAGTGGCGTGATCTCAGCTCACTACAACCTCCGCCTCCCAGGTTCAAGTGATTCTCTTGCCTCAGCCTCCCGAGTAGCTGGAACTACTGGCACGCACCACCATGCCCAGCTAATTTTTGTATTTTTTGTATTTTTGTATTTTTTTTAGTAGAGACAGGGTTTCACCATGTTGGTCAGGCTGGTCTCGAACTCCTGATCTCATGATCTGCCCACCTCGGCCTCCAAAAGTGTTGGGATTACAGGTGTGAGCCACCCCGCCTAGCCTGTTTATCTATTTATTTAGCCTATACCTGTGCTGTCCAATATGGTAGACACTGAGCCATATGTGGCAATTGATACTTTAAATGTGTCTAGTCAAATTGAGATATACTATAAGGATAAACACCAGGCTTTGAAGACTTAGTACAAAAGAGGAATGTAAACTATCTCATTAATAATTTTTATATTGATTGTATATTGAAATGATACTATTTTAGTATAATTGGTTGAATAAAATGTATTATTAAAATTAATTTCACCTATTTCTTTTTACTTTTATAAAGTGGCTACTGGAAAATCTAAAATTACAATATGTGGCTTGCATTTTATTTCTATCAGATAGCACCGACTTATATCAACTCAAGGGAAAATGAATTCCATCAAGATATCAGTAGCATAGGAAGGACATAGGACTATAGAGTCCTTCGAGAGACCATTTAATCCCTTCCTTTTAGAAAGATAAGGCTTAGACAGGTGAAGGGCCTTGTCCAGGTTTATGCAGCCAGTTACTGGCAGAGCAGTTCTAGACTTCAGTCTCCTGTCTTCTGGTCCAATCTCTTTCCTTAATCCTCTCCCTCGTGTACTCCCACAAACCAATAAATAAAATCCAACAGCTTACAGAATCCTTTAAGAGAAAAAGAAGATTGGCTGTTCCTGAATTGAAAGAAACCATTTTTTAAAGACCTTGCTAGATTTCTGTAAGTAAGGCTGCCAGATTTAGCAAATAAAAATACAGGATTCCCTGTTAAAATTTGCATTTCAGATAAACAGTAAATAATGTTTAAGTATGACCCAAATATTTCATGGGACATACTTATACCAAAAAAATTATTCCTTGTTTATGTGAAATGCAAATATAACTGAGCATCTGTGTTTTCAGTATGAGTATATCCCATACACTATTTGGGGACATGCTTATCCTAAAAAACGTATTTGTCATTTACCTGAAATGCAAATTTAACTTATGTCCTGTATTTAACCTGGCAACCCTACTATAAAGCCTTTGAGGAAAGAACCTTTTGGCTGATTTCTCCCAGGCACTTATCTTTCTGTGTTCCTCCAAGGAAGAGCCCAAACTAGTGAGTCATTCATCGGCTCCATAATGAAAAACGGAATCTCCAGATTTGCCTTCCCATCTGCAGGCTATCTCGGCTGTCAATGCTATCTTTCTAAACAACTAACTTATCCAGGAATCAAGCCGCAGGTCTCAACTGTCCTTCCCAACCTTTATAATCAATTTGAGTTGGGCAAGGTGCCAGCTACAAAAAATTACACAGAACCAACTCTTGTAACTATGGAGATAAGAGGGCAGGACAAACCCAAGGAAACAAACAAGCTTTCCTCTTCTTTACAGAAGCTCTTCTAAATGGAACAGGCAGCGATTGGCACAAACATGCCAGCCATTTCCTGGATGTGTATACATATCAGAGAGCAAGGCAGAAGTTAACTGGGTTTTACACTTTATTATTTTCTTTTCTTCATAACTATTATTTTGTGGTATTCTAAAGGGGGCGGTAATGGAAGTGGGCCATCCAGTGTGCAGGCAAAAGGGGGGTGCAGGCAATAAGGGGTTTATTGCCTGTAGAGAATTTAAAAACAATAATAAAACTGACTGAAAGTTGCTCTGCTTTTTATTACCCCAATGTTCTGGCAATTCTAAACAATGTCATTGATAAAATACTCCTCCCCCTGCACTCCTCCAACCACCGCTGACCCCAGACTGTTCTCATTTTAAGCAATGCCATCAACGATTTTTTAAAAACCTTCCTTATGGAGCTTTTCTTTACTGTTGTTTTGGGGATGGTCTGGAGGAGGTGGAAGGGAGGGGAGAGCAGCTAGATGAGGCTGGGACACTTAAGTGATCAAAACAGCAAGAGCTAAGCATTTCAGTGAATGGAGAGTGCCCTCTCATGCACGACTATCGCTGGAGGTTTCCAAGGAAGGACGGGCAATATGATAGTAAAAGGAACGCTAGATTCAGAGTCACAAGATCCAGTTGCAAGATGTGGCTCCGTATATGTGTAGGTGTGACTGAGGACAAAACCCACGTCCTCTCTGAGCCTCCATTTCCTCCTGTCAAATAGAATCTCTAACGGCTTCTCTCCCTGTCTACTTCACCTGGTTGTTTTGAGGAGCTAAGACATAAAACATATAAAAGAACATGTTTTTCAAATTGGAAAGTGCTTTACTGATGTAAATCACTGTATTCATTTTAACAGAGACCAAAATAACAGTGGCTTCAACAGGATAGAAGATCTGGTCAAGTGAAAGCCCAAGCTTGCAGGCAGTTGATGAACGTAGAATGACCTTACTCCTCAAGGTCAACTAAGGACCCAGGTTTCTTTTCTCTTATTACCCCATCCTCCCATAGGGTGTCTTCCTTATCTTCAAGAATGAAACTGAATCACCACTTACCACAACCTCATTCTTACCCACAAGATGAGAAAAGAATAAATGGAGGATGAGCAGTTTCCTTTCAGAGCATGATCCAGACATTATATATGTCACTCTGCTCCTTTCTTATTGGTTAAAACCTAGTCACATGGCCCCACATTGCTGCTGTGGAGGCTGGGAAATGTAGTCTCTAGCTAGATAGCCATGTGTCTGGCTAAAATCTGAAAGTTCTATTGCCAAAAGTTGAGAATGGATATGGTGTGATGATATGCAGCTCTGCAACAGTTATTGTCATTATTTTTCAAGCTAGTGGATAAAAGGTCGTTTGTTTGTTTGTTTGTTGTTTCATTGCTCTGGGGAGTGAGACAAAATGGAAAGTCCTATATTTTCAAAGCAGCTAATGAATTTTGGACATATATCAATGTAAGTCATTCTGGTTTAAATGGGGAATTGATTTCCAGAGCAGTGGATTTTAAAGCACTTTCACCTGGGGCCTGTGTGTCACTGTTGCCAGGAGAAACATAAACTTTAGAGCACCTTGCTGTTGTACCGACTCTCTATCCAGTCACTCAGCAAACTCAGAACTGAGAAAGTGGTACATCATCTGGTTAGGGCCTTATCCTTGAGGCCTTGTGTCACTGCCTCCATAATTAAACACAGACCATTAGCTATAACCCACTGCACCCACATCAATTATGCCAGTTTGAATAACAGCCGCAGAAACCCTTCTTTCCCATCTTCTGCCTCTCTGGAAACAATTCTGGTCACACCACACAGGTGTAGTTAGAATTGCCTTGGCTTTTATAAGATGTCAAATTAGCAAGGCTGTTATGCCACGATGGAACAGAAGCTTTATTCTTCCATACGCTGATTAAAAGGTAATTTAACCTCTTCCAAAGGTGGTCTAGCCAATCCCCAGCAGTATTGACATTGTGTTAATGAGAAATTGCTCTCCAGAGTGATAAATTAGCCCTCCGAGACTAGTATGCAAACCCATTTTCGCTAGATGGCCCAGCCTTAAAGAGCAAATTTGGTGGTTTCATCACCCTCTGACCCCGCCCTCATTAAATCTGTACGGACTGATGCACTGTATCTGAAATCCTGGATCTGTGCAGATTAAAATGCATACATGTAGCCTCCCCAGTGATGCTAACTGTCCCGGCTTGCTGTTTTCTGGCATGTGCTAGGCTGGGTTGACTGTAGCTCAGCCGCAATGGGGCTGCTTAATACACCTCATTTCTTAGAGATAAGAAACTCAATTTACCATGAGAAAGACGAGAACAAAGCCAAAGGGTCTCATGATGTGGGAGGAGCCTTAGCACTCACTTAATCCAACACTTTCCCTTTACATATGAGGAAGCTGAGGCCTAGGGAGATGAAATACCTTGGCCAAAGATGTGGGAAGCTTAAGCAGCAGAGATGAGCTAGAATCCATTTTCTCAGAAAATGAGGTCACTGTTTTTTACCATCCTCTACCCGTCCTACCAAACTGACTACTAGCTACATGCCAGTTGTCACATCATCTAGAGACACCCATTCTACCCCATTGGTTTTCCTCCCAGATGAAGAAAGCACTCATCTTGCTTGAGAATATAAACTTGACTTCCTCTATTGCAGCAGACATAAATCTCAATCCACAAACTCAGGTGAGCAAAAAACACTGCATGTCGTTATTTTTAATAAAGCAACCAGCCCCATCCTGCTAAGCTGGTGGGAAATTCAACCTCAGACATTCTTGGGCCCTTTCCTTCACTCTTCAGAATGTGCTAAGGTTCTGTGTCTCAAGGCATGCTAAGACATCAGAGTGACCCTCATGATCTCAGGCAAATCCAAAGCTATCACTGAGATGGAACAGAGCCAGGCCACAGGGTTCCTTTAGCTCCTCAGATTCTGCAGGTTCTTGGCCATGCTGGGAGCTGGAGAAGCCTTGGCCAGCCAGGAGCCTAAGCCTTGGTCCAGCCTCCCTCTCTCGGCTCAGTTGTCGGAAATCTTCCTCCTCTCCTGTAACTGTCAGGATGAAGAATGTAGATACCTGTGGCTCTCCAAGCTCTCAAATTTGTCTCTCTTGTCCCCAGCCAAGTAAATTTCTCTTTAGTCCTAGGGAAATCCTTCTTGATTGCCTAAAAAGTATTCTCTCTCTTGCCTTACACTCTCTAGGACACCGTAACAGTTCTCTGGAGAGGCTGAGGATTTGGGAAACAAAGCCCAGAAGGGAAATGCTTTGTAGGAAACTTCTGCTCTTTGTTCAACCTCAAACCTTTGCCATGGCAAGAACGCAGAGTGGGGAAAGAACAAAAATGCAGGGAGGGGAAACAGAAATTATCTCTCAAAAAATTATACTGCATAGGGTGATTCAAAGTTCCATGAAAGGGGGAACAACTGAAATTCCAATTTAGTTTCTCTGGGGAAAGAATGCTGGGAGAAAATTGTCCCAGCTCCATCTTGAAAGGAGCATGAAAACCATGGAGTAACTTCTTTGCAGTGAGAGAGGTCACTAAGCAACCTCAAAATGCAGCAATGGCTGCACTGGCTCTTTGGTCTTCCTTATTATTTGATTGTTCCTTAACTCCTTGCTACCTGGCTACAGATGCCACCATTTTTCAAAATCAACTCTGTTCAAGGTCCCTACTGTCCTATTTGTCCAATCTAGCAGCTAACTCTTGGTCTTCATCCTCTTTGACCTTCTTCTCCTCCTGAAAATTATTTAAGGGGAATGGTTGGTGGCACTGGATCTTACTGGTTCTTCCCTCTATATTTCTGACTGTACTCTCCTTTTTTCCTTTTCTGGCTTTTCTCTGATTCATTTCCACTAATCAAAGAGAGCTGATCTTGGCCACCTTCTCTTTCATCTCCTTTCTGTCTTTCTCCTGGATTTAACCTACTCCTCAACTTCTATTGTCTTTAAATCTCATCTCTAGCCCCACTCAATTTCTTGAATTCTAGACCCAGAATCCAAACTGCCTTTTGGTTGTTTCATGCTGGATGTACTACCAGTACCTCAAACTTGCCATGTTCAAAGCCAACTCATCTTTCTTCCCTAAACCAGATTCTCTTTCTCACTTCCTTGCTCAATGAATGCATCACCATTTTTCCAAATTTTGAATCCTTCTTTGACTCCTCCTCTCCATTGTCCTTATATCCAATACTGTTTGAATCTAAATAGATTTTGCCTCCTCAGTAGAATAATAAAAGTATGATATGAGAAATATAGAATAAAGTGGGAACATCCCTTTTCTCCTGGATGCCATCCTTTCGTTAATGTCATATAGCATTATATTAACCATGGTTTTCATTCTGGCCTTTTTCCTTCCATAACTTCTTCTACACAAATATGTATTTTTACATAAAAAGGATCATCCTGTCTTGGAACTTGCTCGTCACTTATTATGTCATGACCATTTTCCTATGCCATTAAATGTTCTTTATTACAGTAATTCTCAAATTTTCCATGTGTATCAGAATTATCTGTGAATGCTTGTTAAAAATGTATTTCCCTTGGCCCTCTCCCACAGACTCTGACTCAGTATTTTGGAGAGGGCCTAAGAACCTGTATATTTAACTAGCACCCTAGAAGATTCTAATCCATGATGTTTTCAGATCCCAGTTTGAAAAACACTGTAGGAACAGCACAACTTTTAAGGATTGTCTGGTTTTCTTTTGTTTATGTTTACCATAATTTAGTTACCAATGCCCATTGACATATATTTAGACTGCTTTTCAATTTTTAATATTATTATTAGTTCTGGGCTGACTTTACTTCTATGCTCTCTCTTTACCCCTCCTCCCCGCTCACCTATACATACAATTTTTCTTTAGCGTAAATTCCTAGAAGTGGAATTTCTGGGTCTAAAGGAAATGCAAAATTATAAGATATAGATAGTATTATATCATATACTCTTATATTATTCATTATAAAATTACATAGAATAGGCTGGGCATGGTGGCTCATGCCTGTAATCCCAGCACCTTGGGAGGCCGAGGCAGACAGATTGCTTGATGCCAGGAGTTCGAGATCAGCCTAGGCAACATGGCCAAACCCTGTTTCCACAAAAAAAAAAAATACACAAATTAGCCAAATGTGGTGGTCCACACCTGTAGTCCCAGCTACTGGGGAGGCTGAGGCAGGAGGATCGCTTGAGCTCAGGAGGTTGAGACTGTAGTGAGCCATGATTATGCTACTGTGCTCCAGCCTGGGCAACAAGCAAGACCATGTCTCAAAAAATTAATTAATTAATTAATTTAATTAAATAAATAAAATAAAATAGAATATACTATTATATATTACATGTTATAATACTATCATATATTACATGTTATAATACTATATTACATGTTATAATATTATATATTAGTTAATGTATCGCTATTTTAATTATATCATTATATAATAAATAACTTAATATATAATATATTAATTTATATATGTTTAGGTAGGGTTTTATTTGGACCCTTGCACAAGATTAACATTTATCTATGTTAATTTCATCTGGTTATATTTCACCTATTGCTTCAAGGGTAGTGATATTTTTATATCCCTCCTTTACATGAAAAGCATTTGCTATTTTTCCAGTCTCCTGCATATCTGATATGTGGTTTCTATACTTTCATCCAAATCATGGATGAGAAATAGTGAATAGAATAAGACTGAAAAAACACCTTGCTGCTCCCCCAGAAACCTATATTACTTAGCACTCTTGCTTATTCTCCAAACATTAATACCTTAATTTTAATAGTGACTGGCTTTTGATTTTCATCTTGTTTCATCTTTAAGGTTGTAGGAATGTATCTTACCACATATGTGCTGAAGTTCACATCCAGTGCCACCTATCTCATGACTCTGGTCTACCAATCAAAGAAGAAATATAGGTGTATGGATTTTCTATATTAACATGAGTGCTGCTTAGCACAGATTCTTAACACCGCAGTGGCACATGACATAAAGCACGGATTCAATTTGTGTCTCTGAGGGTGGACGAGGGTCTCTGCCCATCTCCTCTGGGCTTGCTTTGCATCTGTGGGTCGGCTCAACTAGGTTGGGCCTAGCTAGGTGGCTCCACTTCAGGGTACAGTGGCTGTGGAGGCTCTGCTCTATGTGCCCCTGGTTTTCCTCTTAGGATCAGCCGACTAGCCGGCACGGGTTCTTCTCATCACAGTGGCAGAGGCACAGAACATGAAGGAGAAGTACCGAAGGCCTCTTAAGGCCTAGGCTCAGAATGGACACATTGGCAATTCTGCCCTCATTCTATTGGACAACACAGATCACATAGCCAAACCCAAAGTCAAAAGTAGAGGAATACATTTCACTCCTTTGGTAAGAGACACACACATGCCAAAAGATACGGAGGGGTGAATTGCATGTTTCCCACACTAGCAAAGTCTTGCCCTCCTTATGTTTAGCAAAACCAGGGCTGAATAGCATTCAGCACTCTCTTTTCTAGTTTCTGACAAGCAACTGGCTTGTCCCAGAATCTGGCAAGGTTTGATTAATCTCTCAATCCTGCGTTTGCCAAATCTACTTTCTTCACCCTTTCAAAATTCAGAATAATGATTCTCCATTTTAAAACTTCAGAAGATAGTCAATAGGTCTGTGATTTAGTTTGCAAATTCTCTTGTTTCTCTAAGATCCCATTTTATTAGCCCCAAAGGGTCTATCTTTCAAATTTTTATTTATTTAATCAAAGTTTCCTTTACCCTATTCATTACAAGGACGACTGTACTCGACACAAAGGCAGTGGAATATGCAACAGATATTTACTTCTCATAACAGTCTTCATAGTAGGAATTGCTCACCTGGCCTACATTGAACTTGCAGGCATCTCAGAGAAAGGCAGAGGAGCATGTTCTGGTAGGAACAAAACCTTAGTTATCTACCCAGTCAGCAAAGAAACATCATTATTTTCCAGTATCAAATATTTTATCTATAAGTAAAAAATAGTGCAAATTTTTCAAATTTGGAATTCAAAGTTAAGATAAAGTCAATTTCATGTTTGATGGTGATCTATAACAGGCATTCTATAGCTGTTGGCTATGTACATATTATGCAATATTTTGAAATAGTCTTCCATCATCCTTTAAAACGAAGTCATTATAGGCACTGTTCATATTATTATTATCATGGGTGTTGAAAAAATGTTTAATTCTTAAAAGCTGTGCATGCTGTTCCTAGGTCAGGTAGTTTCAATTTCATATTGAAAATGGCATTAATAAACAAGAACAAATCTTATTCACTGATCTCCTTGGAATGATGCCTCCATCTTTTATCTGTACAGAGGTCTTCAGGGAAATGAATAATGTTTGAGGTTAGCATGACCTGGGCAGCTAGGAGATCCAAAAGACTCAAGATATGAAATACAGTTACTAACTCTTGTTCTTCTGTAGACCATTCACGAGTTTCCATCACAGCTTGCCCAGTCTTTGTGTGAATGAGGAAAAGGCACCTTTTGGGGGTATCTGCTCTGACTTAGGAAGAAGCGCTTGGATTTCAGCGTCCCCTAACCTCCTCACTGGGTGACCCTGTGAGGGGCTCAGCCTGAACAACCCTGAAAAGAAGGGTGAAACTGTTGGTGGCCCCTCTGGCAGGAGAGGGAGAAAGCAGGGAGAAGAAACAGTAGGCAGGGCGCAGAAGGCTCGTGGCAAAGGAAAGAGGCTGGGAGGGGAGAAAGGGAGAGAAGCAGAGGAGATATGTAGGTCACTGGTAGTGTTAATGATGATAGCAATAATAATCATCTCGAACATCAGTCAGATCTTTATTAAGCATCCAGCATTCTGATGCTTCACATGTATGAACCCATCAATCCTCTTAAAAACTCAGAAAGATGAGTACTGTTATTATCTCATTTTACAGATGGAGAAACTGGAGCACAGAGAGGTGGAGAAACATGCCCAATGTCACAAAGCTATTAAGTGGCATAACCAGGATGTGAGTCAGGCCATCTGATGCTCCCTCTTAAGCATGTGAAGTGATCACTGCAGAACACATAATGTGCCACCCACACTGTCACGACATTCCAGCTATTATTATTGGTGTACGTGCAGCACACACACACATAAATACACAAACACACAAACACACACACACCATGGACAGGAAGCAAATTACCATTGCCATTGCCATTACTATGTGCACATAAATGAATTGGCCTCGGGTGCCTCTCTTTATGCTTATTTGAAAACAGTATTTTGATGAAATGGACATGTCACCAATGCCCATACTTAGGGTGACCAACTCGTCCTAGTTTGCCTAGTATTTCAGCAGTTTTGGCACCAAAAGTCACCCGTGTCCAGGGAAACCCCTCATTCCTGGGCAATCAGAACAGTTGGTCACACTACCCATACTAATATCAAGAACCAAATGTATGTTTTGTTATTTCTTCCCACTGAATACACAAGGGGGCATTGTAACCATTCAGTCATGCATTCCTCAAACATTTATTGAGCGCCTAATCAGAGGTGTGATTGCTGCCCAAGAACCTAGCTCTGAGGATGGTGCAGGGTGACAGGAGAGTGAGAAACCTTCTGTGATTCTCGCATCAGGAAGAATAAGCCATGTATTCAAGGGAACAAACACACTCAGAGCCCTTACTATGTGCCAAGCACTGTCATGAGCACCCTTACACTTTACCTTATTTGTTCCTCAGAAACACCCTATGCAATAGTTAGTTACAATTAGCATCCTTGTTTGAAAAAAACAGAGGCAAAGAGCGGTTAAGTACCTCACCTGACATCATGCAGCTGGCAAGTGGCACAAAGCAGTGTTTGAACCCAGGCAAGCCCTCATTGCTCCACCACTCATGCCTCTAACTGCTATGCCATGCTACACTGGGACAAAAAAGGACCCAAACCCCATCAAGGACCTAAGCCGCATCTGGATGGCCTCAGTTTCTTTAGCCCTGCTCAGGGGTTCTTCCCCAGCCCAGTGGTTCTCAACCCTGGATGCACATTAAAATCCCCTGGAGAGGTTAAAAAATAATACTGATTTCTCAAGGCCCCAGTTGCAGACATTTTGATTTGATTCAGCTGCTTTGGCTGGGCATCAGGATTTTTAAAAGCTCCTTGTGAGAATCTAATGTGCAGGTGGGCCTAAGAACCTAGATGGCTAGACCCTACTGTTAGCGAACTGGGCTACCCAGAAACCTCTAATCCATTGCTTCCCAAATGTTAATGTGCAGCTCCATCAGCTGAGGACTGAATTAAAATGCAGATTCTGATTCGGTAGGTTCGGGACAGGGAGGACCTAGAAGGCAGTGCTTCTAACAAGCTCCCGGGGGATGTTGATGCTGCTGGTCAGCACGCTTCAAGTGGCAAAGATTTTAAACCAAAGTGTGGTCCTTACACCAGAAGCCTCAGTATTTCCTGCTTGTTAGAAATGCAGGCTCTCAGGCGCCACCCCAGAATCTGCATTTTAATGCGTATTTGACTTGGGGAAGCACTGCTCAAATCCTGAGCTCCCCTGCAGGTGCTGGGGTTGAATTACAAATATGCCAAAGTATTGCCTCCCCTCTTAGGAACTTGCACAGTGAACCCCGGGGCCCAGCTGTAAGCAGCCTCATTGACTCCATGTGTGTACAAATATAAGTTTCAGTGTCGGTAGCCATGGAGAAAAGGTTGGGAAGTCCTGCTCTAATAGTCTTACTGCCACCTTCTCTCATGGCCCCAGCAAGCCTTTGCTCACCCTGTTTCTCCCACCCGGGCAGCCTTTGACGGGCCTCACCCGATTCCTGAAGGTCCAGCTCATGTCCTAATTCCTCCTCCATGGAACCATTCCCATTTTCACATGGCCATTTCAACCCCATGGACTTTTCCTTCACATAAACACATAATGGCACCTCCTATGTGCTAGGCACTGTTTTAAGCCCATAAAATTATTAATTCATTTAATGCCCACTTTACAGCTCAGGAAAACTGAGGCACTGAGCAGTGGGGTAAGTTGCTCAAGGTCACACAGCTAATAAGTGGCAGTGTCAAGATTCAAACAAATCCAGGTAATCTGGCTTCAGAATCACTACACAGACCCCTTCTCACTTAGAGAAGAATTTGCAAATAATACAGAGTGTGGACAGTGAAAGAAGATATATCAGTTTCCCATGGCTGCCATAAGGAAGGACTACAGACTGGGTGGCTTAAAACACAGAAATTTATTGTCTCACAGTTCCAGAGGCCAGAAGTCTGAAATCAAAGTGACAGCAGGGCCATGTGCCTTCTGAAGGCTCTAGGGAAGAATCCTTCTTTGCCTCTTCCTGGTGTCTGATGCTTGCCAGCGATTGTTGGAGTTCCTTAGCTTGTAGATGCATCACCCCAATCTCTGCCTCCATCATCACATGACCTTCTTCTCTGTGTGTCTCTGCATCTTCTCCTCTCCTTATAGGGGCAGCAATCATTGGATTATGGCCTGTTCTAATCCAGTATGGCCTTATCTTAACTAATTATATCTGCAAAGACTCAATTTCCAAATAAGGTCACATTTCGAGGCTCGAGGTGGACATGAATTTCTTTTGAAAGGGACACTGTTTAACTCAGTACCGAAGAGCCCAAAGATTGTTTCAGGGCAGAAAATGTCTCTTTTAAATGCTGAGCTCCTCTCTGTCTCAAAATAATGCTAAGGCCTTAGGACCTGTGACTGATACCCTCCAGTTTCGGCTGAAGAGCAACCCATAGAGCAGCCGTAAGCTTTGAACAACAGACCCAAATGTCTTCAGTGCCCAAATGACCATTTTCTACTTCTTCCCAGTGTTCAACATCTGATAGTGCTTGCGGGTTCTCCCCAGAATAAGTCAATCACATTGATTTTACGTGTACAACACATACGATCAAAACAGCCACTTTTTTTTTTTTTTTTTAAGACACAGGGTCTCTCTCTGTTGTTCAGGCTGGAGTGCAATGGTACGATCATAGCTCGCTGTAGCCTCAAACTCCTGGGCTCAAAGTGATTGTCCCACCTCAGCCTCCCAAATCACTGGGATTACAGGCATATGCCACCACACCTGGCCAAAATGGCCACTTTTGAAGGTTTTGCAGGCGGCAGGTGCAAGATGAAATGATGGTTGTTGGAGTGGTCAAGCAGTATCCAGGCCACTGTCTAGTGGGGAAGCAACTTATGATCCATAGGAGCAGCCTGTGGCAATACTGTGGTGTGATGGAGGTCTTTTGGGAGGACTACTTGGATGTCAGCAATTCTCAATGAAAGATCCAAGTCCTGCCTTTGATAAGCTAAGAAAGAATCTTGTCACCAGCAGTCTAGAGTCGTGACATGGATATTCCCAGCCAAGACCAATGGAAGCAATGTGCAGAGGAAAGTTCCAACTCCAGGAAAATAACGAAAGAAGGCAGTTTTCCCACGCTGTCTACCTCACCACAGAAATGCAGAAATCAGAGAGAGGCAAATAGGTCCTGCCATTGTTTTAGTCACTCCCAGGTGACTTGTGGGTTTGGAATGAGTCAATACTGGAGCAGATAGGTGTTGGAATAAAAGTAGGAGCTACTGCTACTGATAAAACCAGCAAAAAAGTAGGGAATGTGAGGTGATTGATGTGGGAAAAAATGACCTTGAGGACTCTCCACCCTTAAAAGATTACACAGATATTGAAGTTACTTCTGAGGATGTGTGGTAGTGTTACTGAGTATAAGAAATTTAACCTTCCAAACAGGAGGTGTTTCTGTTGCAGGGCCTTGAGGAAAGATTGGTATTCAGACTCTTCTAAGTTAACCCATTCTCTGTTATCTTCTAAGTTAACCCATGCCTGTTATCACTGCTGTACCTCACAAAACAAGGAAAATGAAGGAAAAAGAAAATAATGTCTCAGATCACCAAAGAACCATTACAGTTCCAGTTGTTAGAGCCAAAGATCTATATGCTAAGGAAGAAAAACGCCAACTTCTTCCCTGCAGCTCAGCAGATTTCTTGGATTTGGCTCACAGTTCTGAAAGCCTAGAAGCCATCTCAAGCTCAGGACAACAATCAGATAGCCTTTCAGAACAGAGAGCAGATACAGAATGCATGCAGGACTGGCAAAACCTCTGGAAGTCATTTGGCATATGTGAGAAAAGACCAGAAGACAGAAATATTATTCATGGAAGGATAGGCCATCTTGTCATTTGTTTTCACTGTGCCAGAAGATTAAAGAAGTCTGGTTTTCATGCCTCCTTTGCAAGAAGATTCAGCTGGCTATTAAGGTTTTTATGGCATAGCTGAATTGGCAAGTTGCAGAGAAATGATAACCAGGACCAGGTCAGGGATCAAACCACCAGTATTGAGCATCTCTACTCAGTGTAGTCCACTGTGTCTGCTCCTTTGTTCATGGAAACATTTGTGTGCCAGGATATTTTCCCCATCTAAATTCATATAAATTTGAGAGCAATTCTTCAGAATTAGATTAATTTTGAAACTCCATTTACATAAAAATTACTTTAATCACTATATTCTTCCTCCAAGAAAGAGTTTCTAGGAGGAAGCAATTAACAAACAGAAAAATACATTCATTCACCACATTATCTGAAGAATAACCTTTTCTCTAGTTAATTTTATTATTCACCCTTCTTTTTATTTTTTTTAGAGAATGTTCTGAAGCATAAAACCCAAAGTGGAGATTTTTGTTTGGGCTATGAGAAAAACACTCAACATAACAACAATAAAACATAAATAATTTGATGTGTTGTGGATCACTTTACCTTGCAGTCAAGTTGCATGATACAAAGAAATCAAAAGAATAAGTAAGAACCTTCAAAAACAAGAAATTTGTTCCAGCCAGGCACAGTGGTTCATGCCTGTAATTCTAACACTTTGGGAGGCTAAGGTGGAGGATTGCTTGAGTCTAGGAATTTGAGACCAGCCTGGACAACACAGTGAGACCCTGTCTCTACAAAAACTAAAAAAAAAAAAAAAAAAAAAAATAGCCTGGCATGATGGCGCACGCCTGTAGTCCCAGCTACTTAGGAGGCTAAGGTGGGAGGGCTGCTTGAGTCTGAGAGGTTGAGGCTACAGTGAGCCATAATCATGCCACTGCACTCCAGTCTGGGTGACAGAGCGAGACCCTGTCTCCAAAAAAATAAAATAAAATAAACAAGAAATTTGTTCCGTATATACTTAGAACAAGGGTTATCAAACATTTTTGCTAACATTCCCTTAAAAGAATTTTGAAAAACTGTAAGCTCCTTTGCACACTTTAGAAATGAAGGTGTAATTAACATAAAATAAACAATTTTTTAACTTTTATTTCAGATGCAATGGTATGTGTGCAGGTTTGTAATATAGGTAAACTCATGTCATGGGGATTTGATGTACAGATTATTTCATCACCCAGGTACTAAGCACTGTACCTGATAGATATTGTTTTCTGATCTTCTCCTTTCTCCCACCCTCCACTCTCAAGGGGGCCCCAATATCTGTTGTTTCCCTCTTCGTGTCCATGTGTTCTTATTGTTTAGCTCCCACTTATAAGTGAGAACATGTGGTATTTGGTTTTCTGTTTCTGCATTACTTTGCTTAGGATAATAGCCTCCAGCTCCATCCTTGTTGCAGCAAATGACATAATCTCATTATTTTTATGGCTGCATAGTATTCCACGGTGTATATGCACCACATTTTCTTTATCCAGTCTACTGTTGAGGGGCATTTAAGCTGACTCCATGTCTTTGCTATTGTAAATTGTGCTGTAATGAACTTACGCATGTATGTGTCCTTATGGTAGAACAATTTCTTTTCCTTCAGGTATATACCCAACAATGGGATTGCTGGGTTGGATGGTAATTCTGTTTTTAGTTCTTTGAGGAATTGCCACATTGCTTTCCACAATGGCTGAACTAGTTTACTCTCACCAGCAGTGTATAAGTGATCCCTTTTCTCTACAGCCTCGCCAGCATCTGTTATTTTTTTTATTTTTTAATAACAGCCATTCTGACTGGGGTGAGATGGTATCTCATTATAGTTTTGATTTGCATTTCTCTAATGATTAGTGATATTGAACATTTTTTCATATACTTTTTGGCTGCATGTATGTCTTCTTTTGAAAACTATCTGTTCATGTCCTTTGCCCACTTTTTAATAGGGTTGTTTTTTGCTTGTAGATTTAAGTTCATTATAGAGTCTGGATATTAGACCTTTGTTGGATGCATAGCTTGAAAATATTTTCTTCCATTCTGTAGGTTGTCTACTTACTCTGTTGATAGTTTCTTTTGCTGTGCAGAAGCTCTTTAGTTTAATTGATCCCATTTGTTGATTTTTGCTTTTGTTGCAATTGCTTTTGATGTCTTGATCATGAAATATTTGCTAGGTCTTATGTCCAGAATGATATTTCCTAGGTTGTCTTCCAGAGTTTTTATAGTTTTAGGTTTTACATTTAAGTCTTTAATCCATCTTGAGTTCATTTTTGTATATGGTGTAAGGAAGGGACCCAGTTTCATTCTTCTGCATATGGTTAGCCAGTTCTCCCAGCACCATTTATTGAATAGAGAGTCCTTTCCCCATTGCCATTGCTTGTTTTTGTCAGGTTTGTCAAATATCAGATGGTTATAGGTGTGCGGTCTTATTTGTGTGCTCTCTATTCTGTTCCATTGATCTATGTGTCTGTTTTTGTATCAGTGCCATGCTGTTTTGGTTACTGTGATCCTGTAGTATAGTTTGAAGTTGTAACGTGATTCCTCCAGCTTTGTTGTTTTTGCTTGGGATTGTCTTGGCTCCTTAGGCTCTTTCTTAGTTCCATATGAATTTTGAAATAGTTTTTTTTCTGGTTCTGTGAAGCATATCATTGGTAGTTTGATAGGAATAGCATTGAATCTGTAAATTGCTTTGGGCATTATGACCATGTTAGTGATATTAATTCTTCCTATCCATGAGCATGGAATATTTTTCCATTTGTTTCTGTCATCTCTGATATCTCTGAGTAGAGTTTTTAATTCTTGTTGTAGAGATTTTTCACTTCCCCGTTAGCTGTATTTCTAGGTATTTTATTCTTTCTATGGCAATTAAATACACAAATCTTAAGAGCGCCTTTCCTATGTGTTGTAGACATCTGAATAACCACCATCCAAAACAAGGTGTGGAACATTTCCATCACCCCAAAATATTCCCTCATACCTCTTTCCAGGAAGTCCCCCAAACATTTCCTGATTGTCACTCTAGATTAGTTTTTCTTTTGCACATCTTTGACATCTAAGTTTTAAAAATACATTTAACTACTTGCAAATGAAATAAATGATTAGCTAAAAGTTTCCCACAGTTGCTCAATTAGGAATGAAAGTGAATATTGGAGCCACATTGTGTATTATTTGTAATTTTCTATGTACTGAATTTTGCTTAAAGGTGTCTAGTTCTCACAGTTTGGTCCCAAGTATTAGCTCAATTGTTTTTGTGCTCTTTATTTATTATGTCCTGAATAAAATAACCTCATCAGAGTGGTAGGAACATTTGCAACCACAAGCTTGGTGTTCAGAGTGAGCCAACCATGTCACCAGTGCCCTTTCTAGAATGCTGTTGAGGGGAGAGGGGAGTGTGTAGGGTTAGGGAAGTGGGTTCCCTGTACATTTGACCCTACAGTTGGCATTTGAACTTCAACCTGCCTTGAACTATTGGAGAACTGTCTATGGATGAGCTATTTTATTCCCCAGGTAGACTGAAGTATAATGATAAGGGAACGGAAACTGGAACCAGAAGACCTGGGTAGGGGACTCAATTCTGTCATTACTGTGTGATCAGAGACAGATTTCCGAAACTTTCTGAGCCTCTGTCAAATGAGACTAAAACCTACATTCCTGGAATGTTCCAAGGAAAGTATTAGGTAAGAATAGTGAAAGTGCTTTGTAGAATGTCAAGTTCTCATCAGTGGGACTTTACTATTATTTTAAACAGGTGCTATTTTTCCTACTTCTTTTAATTCTCACTGAACATTGCATGTAGAAGATCTTAACAAGTATATGTCAACTGAAGGATATACTTATGTATAATAAATAACAATAATGAGTTAAATATTACTGTTTAGGGAGTCAAGAATTTACCAATTAAATTCTCAACACATACATGAGTATAGATTTCTTACATATGCTTAATACACATATATAAGGTACAAGAAACAAGCCACATTCCATTTACAAGGGAGTGAGACACTAACTTCTATACTTTATTAATTTGAAGATCTGCATGGAAAATTGTCACCACTCATTCCTTTCCAACCAGTAAAATTAAGTAATGCCACATAATACAGCCTCTCTTTGGAGCATCTACTTTCTATCCTTAATCATACCTTCAGTTCTCTTGAGAACTGTTCCAAATATTTCTACGCTTATATAAATTGTAAAGCCAAGAACAAGAAATGCTGTTCTAGTAAGACTATACCATAGTTGATCTTACAAATCTGGAAAATTAATTACTTCACCTGGAAAACCATTATTAAGGTTCCACTGTGAGCCAGGTATTCAGGCGGGAAATTGGATA
Source organism: Homo sapiens (assembly GCF_000001405.40). NCBI lineage: Eukaryota > Metazoa > Chordata > Mammalia > Primates > Hominidae > Homo > Homo sapiens. The sequence goes on from NC_000023.11 coordinate 17,939,061, forward strand.
CAAAAACAAGATGGTGGAGGAGGTGCTGGCCAAGATGGGGTAAGCCATTTACATTCTACCTGTCTCACTCACTGCAACTACAAATTCTGGGCAGGAAACAAAACCATAACAACAAACAATTGTCTGAGGACCAAAAAATAAGTAATAGCAGGCAGATTGGGTAGGAAAAGCAAAACGATGAAGTCAGTATGATGGTGAAGTTCCTGTTTTTGTTTTTCCCTCTTCTGTCTCCCAGTTTTTACCACAGGGTGGCCCTAGTTGCAGAATTGTACAAGTGATTTTATCTACCTTGGGACTCCTCTCTTCCCTAGGTCCTCAGTCCTCTACTAAGCTGAGAGGAAAGAGAACAGGAACCGTAAATGAGAGGTTGTTATGGGCCAGGCCTAAAAGTGGCACACATCACTTCTGCCCACATTCCATTGGCCAGGACTCGCATATAGCCATCCTTAGCTGCCAGGGAGCATGGGAAATGTGTCTAGCTGTATGCCCAAGAGGAAAGTAAAATATAGCTACTAGTCAGGACTAAAAAAGTCTGTGACACATAAGTGCTTTGGTAGGAAAAGTGTGTACAGACAGCTTTGTGAACATAGAGGAGGAAATTCTAAATCAGAATGGAGAGACAGAGGCCAGAGAAGGCTTTCTGGACAGGACCTGAGTTTTGCAGGAGAATTAGAAGAGTGAAAGAAAGGGGGAGCATGGGAGGAGACCATAGCATGTGAAAGACGCAGAGGCAGGAAATACACTGAAGAATTTGGGAGACCCCACATGGTTCTCTCTTCCTTGGGCAATGATTGTGCTGTGGTTTGGTTATGGTTTGTTTGTCCCCAACAAGTCTCATGCTGAAATGTGATCCCTGATATTGGAGGTGAGCCTGGTGGGAGGTGTTTGTATCATGGGGGCGGATCCCTCATGAATGGCTTGGTGCCATTCTCAAGGGAGTGAGTAAGTTCTCACTGTTAATTCCTGCAAGAACTGGTTGTTGGAAAGAGCCTGACACCTCCTCCTCTCCCTCCTGCTTCTGCTCTCACTGCAAGATCTCTGTACACATCAGCTCTCCTTTATCTTCTGTTGTGAGTGGAAGCTTCCTGACGTGCTCACCAGAAGCAGATGCTGGCACCATGCTTCTTATACAGTCTGCAGAACCATAAGCCAAATAAACCTCTTCTCTGTAGAAATTACCCAGCCTCGGGTATTCCTTTATAGCAACACTAATGTACTAAGACAGGCCGCACGGAGAGAGAGCCAGGAGATGAGCCTGGAGAGGGAGGCAGGGGCCAAGATTTAATCTAGAAAATTCAGTAGTGTCATTGATAGATGTGGAGCAGGGGCACAATAGAATCTGGTTTCCCTTTTAGAAAGACCCTGGTACTTGTGTGGAGGGTAGCTGTAGGCAGAAATAAGAGTTAGGAGACTTTTGCAATGGTCCAAGCAAGATGCTAGTTGGGCTTGAGGTAAGCAGTGGAGTGCAGTGATGGGATCAGGTAGGAGATTTGAGATATTCATGAGTCAAAATCAATAGTACTAATTGCTTATGGTAAATGAGATTATAAAAAGAGTCAAGGGAAATTCCTTTTTTTCATTCATTTTTTGGTTTATTCCTTCAACAAATATTTTTTGAACATCTATGTGTGTTCCTCCAGGTGCTAGAGATACAGCAATGAATAAACAAGGAATGTTCCTGTCCTTAAAGAGTTTGCATTCTGGTGGAAAATTTTAAAACGTTACAAGTAAATACAAACTTACAGTGTGATTAAGGTTGCCATTCTTTAGCAGATAATACGTTGTGTTTGAGATCCTTGTGGGACACCTGTGTGGAAATTGTTTAGTTGGATGTTATTTCTATGAGCCTGTTGCTCAGGAGAGAAGCCTTGGCTACAGATGTAGATTTGGGAGTCATCAGCATATGGATAGTTGCAAGTGACAAAAAGAAAAACAATACAGACTAGTGCATGCAGAAAAGGGAACTCATTGGCCTAGGACACCAAAAAGCCCAGGAGTTGTTTCTTTGGCTTCAGGCATAGCTGGATCCAAAAGTTTATATGATAATTTAGGGGATTTTGTCTCTCTTTTAATGTCTTGGACTATTTTGAGCGTAATAGTCTCTGGCAACCTCAAAGTCCCGAATTCACATCTATTGGTTCAACAACCTCATCAGAGGCTAGGTGCAGTGGCTCACACCTGTAATCCCAACCCTTTGGGAGGCTGAGGCAGGAGGATCACTTAAGGCCAGGAGTTCAAGACCAGCCTGGGCAACACAGCAAGACCCCATCTCTACAAAAAATTAAAAACTAGCCTGGTATGGTGGTGCACATCTGTAGTCCCAGCTACTTGGGAGGCTGAGGTGAGAGGATCACATGAGACAGGTAATTCAATGTTGCAGTGAGGTATGATCATACCACTCTACTCCAGCCTGGGCAACAGAGTGAGACCCTGTCTCAGGAAAAAAAAAATCAAAGTTGCATTTGTGTTTGTTTGTTTGTTTGTTTCCTGCAGTTCCAGCAGAAACGTCTCAGTGAATACTTACCGGCCCATTGTGGGTTATATGCCTATTCCTGAACCAAGCACTGTAATCTGGAGTTGGAATATTCTGATTGGCCATGCCCGGGTCACAGGCCTAAACTTGTGGCCATGTGTGGGGCAGGATCAGCTTCCACAAGTGTATTCTTCCAGAAAAGAGAAATTCTGGTACTAGCTGGGGAGAAGAGACAAAGACTAGAATGTTCTTTACAGGTGGAAACTGAGGTTTTGGATATTCGTGAGGTCACCCTTGGAGGAAATATAATGAGAAGAACCCTGAGATGATGTCAAAGTCCTGAGAAGCATGACACTTAGGAGCTGAATAGAAAAAGATGATCCTGCAAAAGAGACAGAGGAGTGGCCAGAGGGGTAGAAGGAGATCCTGAAGCTACTGTTGTCCCAGAAACCAACTCACTCAGTTTTGAAAAGGGCTGAGTGGTCAATTATGTCAACAGTTGCAGAGGAGTCAATGAAAACGAAGGGAGGAGAGGATGTATTATAATACCCTGGGCTAAAAGACTGTGAGGGAAAGCTACACAATGCCCATCACAGGATGGAAGGTAGTATTAAGGAGGAGCTGGTAAAAAGTACACCAGATAATTTGGGAGGAGGATCCAGGGAGTTTACAAAATCAAATGGTTCTAAATATCTCAGTTTCTCAAACTGAGAGGCAGGCACATCCAGAGGATCAGGAAAGCCATGGGATGAATGCAGGGCATCTCTCCTGACTTTCAATTTTATGCAAAAAATTATTAGGGCTCACATTACTTCTATAAGAAAACATACTATAGGCCGGGTGCAGTGGCTCACGCCTGTAATCCCAGCACTTTGGGAGGCCAAGGTGGGTGGATCACTTGAGCTCAGGAGTTCGAGACAAGCTTGGCCAACATGGCATAACCTCATCTGTACAAAAAATACCAAAACAAAACAAAAAAATTAGCTGGGCATGGTGGTGCACACCTGTATTCCCAGCTACTTGGAAGGCTGAGGTGGAAGAATCCCTTGAGCCCAGGAGACAGAGGTTGCAGTGAGCCCAGATTGCACCACTGCACTCCACACTCCAGCCTGGATGACAGAGACAGACCCAGTCTCGAAGGAGAAGGAGAAGGAGAAGGAGGAGGAGGTGGAGGAGGAGGAAGAGGGAAAAACATACTATATTCTGATGGAGGTTTCAAAATGTGTGGGGTTTTTAACTAAAACATTGAACTTAAAAGAGACTTGTACTTGTAAGTGGCTTCCTTCAGACTCTACTCCCAGAGTTCCTTGCAGTGAGCATGCAGGGCTAACCTCTGGTTAGGAGGTCCTTGGGTGGAAAAGAATAGGAAACATGGTTGTTTGTTATTTGAGCTTTTGCCTGTTGCTCTGTGAGTGAAAAGATCTTATTTCAAGCACGTTTTAAGAAAGACCCACTTGTACATAACGATAACAATGGCTAGCATTTGTAAAGCACTTACCATGTAACAGGCACTGTTTTAAGTGCTTGACCTCACTTCTCCTCACGATAATCCCCTGAGATGGGTACCACTATCATTACTTCTATTTTAAAGATGAGGAAGTTGATGCACAAAGAGGTTAAATAGCTTACCCAAGGTCACACAGCTTCACCTGCAACCAGGGAACCTGGCTTTTAAGCCAGTGTTCTTAACCACTGAGCTACTGCCCTCCTCGTTCAGTCCCATGGTTTCCATATGGCCCAGTGCACTTGTTAATAGGTTCTGATATTGGTTCAGAAAAGAAGGTCAGTCCTCATTCAATGGTCTGTGAATTTCTAAAAGAGGCAGGGAGTAAGTTGGGGAGGCAAGATCTGGTAGCTGGATCCCACCTCTGCCCTATCCAACTCACCCCATGGTGAGACAACGGGCATGCCACAGACACACAGAAGCAATTTTGCACCTTGGAACCATGGAATTCATTAGTCCACTGGGTGATTGTAGGTTTATCAGAACCCTACAATTACCTTTGTTGTTTGGACTTGTATTTTTAATTTGTGTTATTTGTAATGTGTTCCCCAAATGAGAATAATTTCAGAGATGTTTTTTACAATAGCTGCTTTCATAAAAACATTTCACCTTAACCTTTTCATAACCTAAGGACGAAGAGAAAAATCTGCAATTTCACAGTATAAATCTGTTTTCTTTGAATGTATATGTATAAATTACTTTTTACTTCATTTCAAAACTCACGCAAGGGTAAGTACAGCAGTATATGAACCCACATGGCCCATGATTCAGCAACAACGATTGACCTACGGACAATCTCGCCCATTCCCTCCCCCATCCCTATATTATCTTCAAGCAAAAAGCAGACATCCTATCATTTCATCCATAAATATTTCAGGACATATCTCTAAAAGATAAGGATTATTTTTTAAAACATGACCACAATACCATGATGCATAATTTCTTAACATCAGCAAATAGCCCATGTTCATATTTCCATAAGTTATTTTTAAAATTCTGCTTGTTTTACTTTTCTATACCCCTTAATTATTAGTAACTTCATTATATTTGTTATTGTTGAAGTAATTTTCAATTTTTTATTTTGAAAAATTTCAAATGCACCAATGTAGAGAGAATACATTGAACCCCCTGAACTCATCATCCAGCTTCAACAATTACCTATATTTGACCAATCTTCCTTCATCTACTTCCCCTTTACATAACCCCTATTTGCTGCATGTTTATAAAGCAAGCCCCAGACAACATTTTGTGTTATTGGACTTGCATTCTTAGCTTGGTTAGAGGCAAGAAAATGTGGAGATGTTCTCTGGTAGGCATTTATATATTTATTTCACTTCTAAATCCCTAGAAAAGGATTAGATTAAATGCAACACTTTTAGCAGATCAGATAAAGTGCCACTTGGCTTTTTGCTATTTCTTTTTTTTCTAAAAATGTTTAAAATAAAACCAAATTCTAAACAAATTGCACTAATAGTCTATGACATGAGTACCAAACAGAATATTTGTATCACATGAGCTCTGTCAGCTGTACCCAGATCTTTCAAAGTACACATTTTTCTAAGACTAATTGAATAAAAGCTGAAACAACAAATTTTAAGCCTAATTATAATTCTGTTTAAAAAGGAAGAAAAAATATAAAGATTTACCATCAGATGGTTTAGATTCAAAATGGGGCCTGAATGATGACACTCCATTGGCAAAGCCCCTGGGTTCCTTTCACACTCCTTCTAGATTTTAAAATCCACTATTTTTCAAACAGCTCTTGAGGGATCTGTAAGAATTGTGTGTCTTGTTACCTGGGAGGCAAAAGAAAGAGTTCAAGCTTTAGGGGCTGATGAAATAATGACACAGGTCATAATTTGTTGAGATTTACCAAGATGCTTTGTTTTGTCTCAGCGGGACTTACCATGAAATTCACAGTAACACTCACACTAACTGTAAAATCACAGTGTGTCGCCATATCACTCGTTCTGTCATTGCCACCACGAGCTAATGACAAATGACAGCCATATTGGCTTATACACCATTACAAACCCAGGGGGGTAATGAAAACTTGTCATGGGTTAGGTCAAGCGAATGGCAAGAGAAGAGCTATTGAGCATTTTCAGTAACAACAGCAGAAAATCTGGGCAAACAAAAAGTCATCGGTTAGGATTGCAAATTGGTTCGACACTTTTGCAAAAGGTTTGGCAGTACCAATGAAAGCTAAACATGCATGTACCCTATAATCCAGCAATTCCACTTTCTGGCACTAGAGGTCAGAGTAGTGCTTACCCTGGGGTACTGGCTGAGGGGGCGTGAGTAAGCCTTTTGGGGGTCCGGAAATGTTTTATATGTTGATGTGGTGGTGGTCACAGGTACACCCTGTGTATAGAAACAGGTATACCCTATTGGTATACACACTGGTGTAGACACAGATATAGCCCGTCTTTGTGCACTCCTATAAGCTGTATCACAAATAAAGAAAAGTAGTTAGTAAACATTCCTAATAAAGAGGCTTTTGCAATGTGCTAGCAATTTAAGAGAACTTCTGTCTCTAGGTGAAGACAATGCTGTGTTCACTCTCCCAGGTTGAAGACTCCCAACCGAAATGTGGGGGCGGGGTGCAGCCCTTTCCCCTAAGACATTAGATCTCACCTCTCCCTTTCTTTTTCTTTCTTTTCTTTTTCTTTTTCTTTTTTTTTCTTTTTTTGAGACGGAGTCTCGCTCTGTCGCCCAGGCTGGAGTGCAGTGGCGCATCTCAGCTCACTGCAAGCTCCGCTTCCCGGGTTCACTCCATTCTCCTGCCTCAGCCTCCCGAGTAGCTGGGACTACAGGCGCCCGCCACCACACCTGGCTAATTTTTTGTATTTTTTTAGTAGAGACGGGGTTTCACCATGTTAGCCAGGATGGTCTCAATCTCCTGACCTCGTAATCCACCTGCCTCGGCCTCCCAAAGTGTCACCTATCCCTTTCAACAAGAACCTGGATCCCACCGAGATAAAAGCTCATCTTTCCCAGAAGGGCATTGCTATATTTATGGGCACTGATAAAACTTTACCCACAGATACTGATTTCTGGCTCTTTTTGACTGTTCAAATGGCCTTTCTTTGATGAATTTATACCAATGGTTGACAGTCAGGTTGCTTTGGAATTGCCCTTTCTTGGCAAAGCCAAAATTGGCAATGTCAAGTCATATATGCCAAATTACTTTTTAAATTAAGTTAAATGGCAGGCTCTGCTGATGTTGCTTCACATTTCTTCATGCTGATATTGCAGCCTCTGCCACTTGACATTATGTTTGAGCATCCTTTAATCATTCATTGGTGTCCAGTTATTCAGGTGTACCCATTTGGTTGTAAATCATTGAAGACCCACCCTAGCTGCATTTCTATGTCGATATGCTGTCAGCAGAACAGCAGAACTCTCCCAGTGCTCACGCCTGGTAAACTCTGCTTGCACCAAGTTACTCTCTATTCACAGAGTTGAAATCAATTTTATTCTGTAAAGGGAGGCAGGCCTGTACTTTACTTGGGAAACTGCAATAGGTTCCCGGGAACACAGCACTGTCTTTATCAAGAGGCTGGGGTCCTCTGAAATTGCCAGCACCTTGCAAGGGGAGGAAGACCTGTTGTAAGAGGCACCAAGTTGTCAGAGGATTTGGCTTTCAGTTTATGATGAGTAAATGTGAGGGGGGGAAACTCCTGAAGCTTAAAGAGCACAAAAAGCTTGGAATCAGAATATGGATAAATCCACACATTTTCTAGGTTAAAGCGGTTTTATGTTTGTTTACACACAGGCTTAGGAAATGTGATCGTATTAATGCCAGAATATGGCTATGATTTAGAAGGGATCGATGCTAAATTGGGAAACAAAATGATGTTACATGTACCAAGACTAAACACTATTTTCTTATTCATGACTTGGTATCACACCTTTATGGCATCTTTTAAATATGAAAAAAATCTGTGAGAATGTAATGAATTAAAGCTGTGGAAATTTTCTAAAGACAACAGTGCTCTACATTTTGAGGCATTACATCCCCTGGATATTTCTATTTGATTTTAATTTAAGGGTCAAATTTTTACGGTTGGGTAAACAGCGGAGAAAGATTCCATCAGCTGCTTTTGAATTATAATAATACGGGAGAACCTAGTATACCTTTGCTATTTAAAAGCTTTTTTAAAAGATCACAACATGTGTTCCACTTCATGGTATCAAACATAGAGCAAAATGGTTCTAATTGAGAACATACTTGGCATACGATTGGATTAAAATGACTGAGAATTATAAATGTTGGAAATGTCTATTTCAGGCATGAGTAGGGGAAATGGCACTAATTTCTAGAGTATGCACATAATGATTAAATTAGCCTACAGAGATGAAGAGTATATCAGCCTTCACCCTGGAGAAGAAATACCATATGAATAAGAAAAGAGCCAATCAATTCTTTAGTGGGCAGCAATCACCATGAGAAAGTCCTTTCCCACTATCACATGTTTCCATATCTAGCCCATTTTTCTACAATTCCATTAGCCTCCCCTGTCGTATCCACCAAACTAAATAAAATGCTGTCTACAAGCCTGTTCCTTAGTCAATTGCTCTGTTTGGTCATATTTAGACCCTTTTAAAGGAGTCCCAGTAGATGCATTGGGCTTATATTGGTATAGTGGAAAATGCCAACTTTTGACTTTGACTTTGACCTTTGACTTTGGCCTTAACCTCTGGCTCCATGGATACCAACATTTATATCTTCTCCTCAGCCTCAATTGTTTCTGGAAGAAGTTGGTGAACCATAAAAATCTGGATGTATAAAAAGACTCAGATGCACACACACAATCTACATGCACACACATGTACATGCTTTTTGCTGCTCTTTCTCCCTTCGATCCTGACTCCTGGGCTCTTGTGTCTGCCTACTTCAATGTATATGTGGTTGGAGAATATTCTAAGATGAAAGGAAACATTCTGAATGGCAGCAGGATTGGGGTGTGGGTGTTAGAATAAAGGGACAGTCACTGTTAGTGGGGACTCTGCCCCTATCTGCTGTGCATTAACCTTTCCAAAATATACTAACAGTGTCCTACTGCAAGCAGTGTCTGCAACTCTCTGCCTGAGCGTTTCCTGTTTGCCCAAGAACTGAGTTATCTAGAGGGGCCATGGAATAAACACCCATGAGAGCAGCCCTCATTCAATATGGGACGGGCATGAGAGGTAAATACACGAGCTTCTTCGCCTCCTGATTAAGTAGGACAGGACTCCAAGGCATACTCTATTGCATCTCCCAGAGTCCCCTCGTGGGACTGAGCCCCAGTTGCTCACAGAGACAATCTGCTCCATAATGTACTCTTCCCTGCCATGCTTCCCTGCTCCCCCGATAGAGTTTCGGATCGCCTCTCAAATAAGCTTCTTGCACTTAAATCCTTGTTTCAGGGTCTGTGTCTGTGGGAACCAACCTAGGCCAGGTGGGTTTAAATGTAAGTAATCATGGCATCTGGAACTCAAACATGTGCATTTGAATCTCCCTTGGCAATTTACTGTCTGTGATCATAGGTGAGTTACTTTATCTCTCTGAATCTCAGTTTTCTCATCTATAAAATGGGAATAATAGAGTACCTTTGCTAGTTAATGTTGTTGGGAGGAACAAATGAGATAACATATTTGGAAGTGTTTTAGAAACTGTACAGAACCACATAAATATTTGTTATTGTTCATAAGCATGATTATTTTTTTCTTGGGGTAAAGGGCTCTTTTTTGCCTGGGGGCAGGACTTTGAAGAAACATTTTATTTTGAAATAATTATAGACTCACAGGAAGTTGCCAGGATAGTAGTACACAGTGCCATGTACCCATCCCCCAGCTTCCCCCGTATTATATGACTGTAGTAGGATATCAAAAGCAGGCAACTGATATTGGTACAGTACTGTTAACTAGACTACTGACTTTACTCAGTTTTATGCTTTTTAAGTTCTTACCAATTTGACATTCTATTTCTCCTCAGTCCTTTGGTCTCCACTCTTCCCCATCTCTGGTGGTCTTTGAGGAGTCTAAACTAGCTACTTGAATCACCAATTCTTAGTGTCCACCATGTTCAAGCAGGTTCTGATTTAACACCTTCAGCCATTGTCCTAACCACACTTCAAAACTGTGGAACAAAATTCTGTTCCTTCTAATCTAAAACCTGTCACTACCTCCTGACCAATCGGTAGGCTTTGCAGGAGAAATCCCAAAAGCTTGGATCCTGCTAAGCAACTTACTGTAACAAAATGGTGAATGCAGCCAGTACTGAAAGAACTGTTCCCAATGATGAGCTAGATAACTATATTTTCATTAGGAGGTTAGTGAATTTTGTTTTGTGGCTTTAGAAGTCTGGGATAAACGTCTTCTTGTTTAATTGATTCCTACGCTTCTTAATTTTTCAAGTTGCCATGTCACCTGCTCCTTAGTACTCCTGGGACTTCAACTTCAGTGCCTGGAGAAAAAGTGAGGGGAACCTTTCTGTATCAATCCTCCAGTAAAGAGAGGGGTCATGGGGTCACTCGGAGTAGTGCCTCAGTAATCTCCTGTTTTTTCTTTGAATGCAACCATTATTCCTCCTTGGGCAGATAATTTATCTCTTCTCCACCTGCCTTCTTGGTTAAAGGTTAACAAAAATGACATCCTCCTTCAAGTTCAAACCCTTGGAATGCTATTTTAATAACCCTGCTGCCAACAAAGTCATTCAAAACAAGAGAACAGAAAATGTGCCAGGGCCAAGTCTCAGAAAACTGCTGCCATTTATTTGTCTTTCTTCTCAATGCCTATGGGTTATGCTCACAATCCGTATCTTCTTAAAAGGCTTTAGGACATACATTTTGAAGGACCCATGCCCGTTTGTTTTGTAGTAATTCGGGATGCATTTTCGAAATGCTGGCGATATGCCTCTCACAGCGTTGCAAGCCTCCATTCTTTTCTCCTACGTTCTCTCTTCGGCGTCTCACCCCCCTTCCTGGTTTCCAGACATTAGACGTTAGCTCTACAGGTATGATTCCAAAACTACATCTCATTCCCAGCATCTCTTAAGGGATCTGATCCCATATTTCACTTGCCTGCAAGGCCCACCTCTACTAGTGCTACCGCCATTCTCACAGTTCTCTGGACTCACTCTCAGGCTCCTTTAGTTCCTTACTAAGAAGTGTTCCTGGAACTGTGTGGTCCCGTTCTGTCACTCCTGCCTAACACAGCCACCAGCCACCAAAGTACTGCAACATCTCATATGTCCAATGTCCAAGTAATGGATCTTAGAGATCTCCTAACTTGGAGCAAACCAGATAATGCTTTAGAAAAACATCAAAAGTCAATGATGCAAAGGAACAACAGCCTGCTTCACTGATTCCCAACTCATAAGACAGTCTTCTTCAAACACTCTATGCTCATCCCCAGGCTACTATTTTTTGCTCCAATTACTCTTCTTGACCCAAACTGACTATTTTCCACCTATGAATTTCTGCCTAGGCTGAAAGGGTCTGGACACTCCCAGGTTTAATGCTATACCACCTGGTACTCTTTACTAATTTTTTGTCCCTTGTCTTCCTCAGCTACATTGCAAACCCCTTGGGGTCAAAGATAATGTCTATTTTTTGTAACCTCTGTAACACCTAGGAGTCTGCCTCATCTAGAAGTGGTACCATACATTTCTCATGATGGGTTGATATCCATATGTCCACTGGTCTCAAGAAAAGAAAAAAAAAAGAAAAGAAAAGAAAAGAAAAGCAAGGCAATAAAACCAATTCTTATTGAGCAGCTGGATGTGCTACAACTTTCTTTAACCACCCAATCTAAGGTGGTGTATTAGTCCATTCTCGTGCTTCAAATAAAGACATACCCACGACTGGGTAATTTATAAAGTAAAGAGGTTTAATGGACTCACAGTTCCACATGGCTAGGGAGGCCTCAAAATCATGGTGAAAGAGGAAGGAAGAGCAAAGGGACGTCTTACATGGTGGCAGGTAAGAGAGCCTGTGCAGGGGAAGTCCCCTTTTATAAAACCATCAGATCTCATGAGTCTTATTAACTATCATGAGAACAGCATGGGAAAAACCCACCCCTATGATTCAATTACTTCCCACAAGGTCCCTCCCATGACACGTCGGTATTATGGGAGCTACAATTCAGGGTGAGATTTGGGTGGGGACACAGCCAAACCATATCAGGTGGGTGCCTTACTCCCCTGTCTATCATGTCCTCAAGTTTCATTGTTTTCATAGCATCTATTTCTATCTGAACTTACCAGGTCCAGTGATGTATTTGTGGAATAGATGCTCTGTTGTGCTCTCAGATCCTCCTTTTAGGACTGTGGTTCTCATTCCTACAGGTGTTGGGAGCTATGGCTGTTGAGTGTTCTCAGCTGAGTGCCCCTCCAAGCATTGTCCTTGGAAGGGACTACCTGGCCTTTGATCACACCTCTTTCCTGAAGGCAGCCTGGATTCAATGACTGGTCAAGATGGAGGTACAAAGGCCCACTTATTTGCCTTCCCTTGGGGCAACTCTGAAGGGCTGTCTGTGGGATTGGCTGAAGCCTCTGTTACACTTGCATTGCAGTTCAACTTCTCTCTCTGCTTAATTCCTCTTCCCTCATTCTTCTATAAGTGTTGTTCCTACGAGCATCCATGATAAACTTCCTGCAGGCAGATCATTGAAGTCCATCTTCAGTGAACCTGACTTAAGGTGGTTACTTTTTCATCATATGTTCTCCTCACTAGAATCTTCCATGAGAGCAGGAACCTTACCTGCCTCATTTACTGCTGGACCTAGAATAGTGTCTGGCATGTGACTGATGCCCAGAAATGATTGGTGAACCATGAATGAATGAACACATGACTTTTATTTATCTAAATCTCACAAGTCTGATGCATTTTCCATATGAAAAAACAAGCACAGAGAGACCAATGAAATCACTCAAGGACACACAGCCAGTCAGTTGTGGAACTAGGACCATGCTTGTATGAATGCAATATCCACACTCTTCAAAACCAAGCATGGCCTCTTGATGTCTTCATCATTGTGGGTAGTACCTCCTGCTTGGCTGGAGGCCATGTGTCTTTGGCTCTTGTGGTCTGGTTGACTTCTTGGTGTATTTGGCATAGAAACCCCCATTTAGCCTTTAATTCTTCACTCTCTCTTTCTCTCTCTGTTCTCTATCTTACCCATACCACTGGCATCTTCCATGCCTCTCTATGTAAGTTTATTCCAAAGTGTCTTTTTTCCTTTGGTTACACTGACAACTTGGTTTGGACCCTGATTAATCCCCAGTTCAGTTGCTGCAGTCCTTGCATTGGCTCCATCACCTCACGCTCTCACCTCCTTCAGTTCAACCTATATGTCACTCCCAACATTCTTTTCCTCACCATCTTCACCATCTCAATCTGGGTCCAGGTAGAACATAGAATTCATACCAGATGCTTTTAATGAAGAAAGTTCAATGGAGGAACAACTCACTGAGGTATAGGCAGGGCTGGGAGAATAAGCCAAGATAGTGAGCCACTCAGGAACCAGCAAAAGCTGGGAGCAATTACCACCCTTAAAGCTCAAGAAAACAGTGTTGCTTTAGCCTGGTGAGAGAGCCATGGAGGAGGGTGCTTCTTGGGGGTTGGGGGAGAACCCTGGAGGGGTACAGATACTATCAGAGACAGAATGTCAAAGCAGGGAAAGAACAGAAGTCCACTGGCTTCTGTCTCCTGCCACACCCAGATCTCCCACTGGTGTCTCCCATTGGTCAAACCCAACTGGTTGTCAGGTGACAAGGGAGACTGGGTGATGCAGGGTGCTGGGGTAAGTTCCTGAGACACAGAGCAAGACAGAGACTGGATCTGGGGTTTGGGAGGGGCAAAAGAGGAACCAGCACACCTCAATTCTACAAGGGCAACAGAAAAACTAATTTTCATGTACCACCAACATCATCCCACAACACCTTTCTATTTGTAGATTATGGTACAGACTATAAAGCCCTTTGAAACACATATAACCTTTGATCTTCACCACATCCCCATGAGATAAGTGTTTTAATCTACCGTATTTTGCAGATTAGGACACAAGCATAGAGAAGCAAATTTATGGCTCACCCAAGATCATCACACAGCTAAGAAATGGCACAGTCGAAACAAGAGCCCAGATTTGTAAGTTCCAATTTTTTTGCCCAAATCCAGCACACAGTTAAGGTGTATAATCTTTTGACACCTCTTCATTCCCAACCTCTCCCCTTTCTATACACACACAGCCATGTTGTGCTAAAGCTTCTTATTAACTTACATTTTGGCCTTGGCCTTCTCCTGTTCTTCAGCAATTCTGCCTGAGATCTCTTCATCCCTCTTCATAGCTCCTTCTTTCAGTTAACTCAGGCTCATCCCCTCCCTATTTGGGACCTCAACTCCTTACCCACTGCCTCTTGCCTCTAATATTGAAATGTGATATTATGCAGGGTTGCCCTATGCAATATGGTAGCCCCTAGCCACTTCAAATATGGCTAGTGTGACTGAAGAACTAGTTTTTTATTTAATTTTAATAAATTTAAATGTAAAAGTAATACTCAGATCCCAAACCCCTGCCCACCATCCTTAAACATAGGCTCTGCTTAGTGACTTGCTTCCAAAGAATAGAGTATGGAAAGGGAGAAAAAGGTAACTTAGAGTGCAGAAACCTGGCAAATACTACCTTGGCAGATGACCAAGATTAAAATCCCCAGTGATAAGTCATGTTGATAGCATATACCCTTGATATGTTGTGATGAAAATGGCACTTTATCTCTGTGGTCAAATTCCCCAAAACCCATAACCTCAGTCTAATCAGGAGGAAAATATCAACAAACCCCAACTGTGAGGCATTCTTCAAAATACCTGACCAGCACGCGTCAAAACTGTCAAAGTCATGAAAAACAAGAGAAGTCTGAGAAGCTGACTAATGACACATTATTAAATGCAATGTGGCATCTTGGATTGGATCCCAGAACAGAAAAAGGATATTAGTGGAAAAATTGGTAAAATCTAAGTAAAGACTGGAGTTTAATTTATAATAATGTATCAATGTTGTTTTCTGAGTTGTAATAAGTGGCCGTGGTAATGTAAGATGTTAATAATAGGGAAACATGTGAGTTGAGTGCAGAAACTGCTGTACCATCTTTGCAAAGACAAAAAATAGCAGATGCTGGTAGGGAGGCAGAGAAAAGGGAACTCATACACTCTTGGTGGGAATGTAAAGTAGCACAGCTATTACAGAAAATAGTATGGAGAGTTCTCAAAAAAGCAAAAATAGAACTACCATATGATCCAGCAATCCCACTACTGGGTATTTATCCAAAGGAAAGGAAATCAGTATATCAAAAGGATACCTGCACCCCCACCACACCATGTTTATTGTAGCACAATTTACAGTCTCAAAGACATGGAATCAACATAAATGTCCATCAACCAATGAATGCATAAAGGAAATGTGGTATATACACACAATAGAATACTATTCAGCCATAAAAGGAATGAAATCTTGTCATTTGCAGCAACCTGGATGGAACTGAACATAATTTTATTAAGTGAAATAAGTCAGGCACAGAAAGACAAATATCACATGTTCTCACTCCTATGTGGGAGCTAACAGAATTGGTCTCACGGAGGTAGAAAGTAGAATGATAGTTACCAGAGACTTGGAAGGGTGTGGGAGTTGGGGATGAAGAGAGATTGCTTAATGTGTGCAAACATACAGTTAGATCAAATGAATAAGTTCTAATGTTCAATAGCAGAGTAGAGTGACCATAGTTAACAACAATGTGTTGTATATTTCAAAATAGCTAGAAGAGAGGATTAGAAATGTTCCCAACACATAGAAATGATATAAATGCTCACAGTGATGGATATTCTAAAAGCCCTGACGTGATCATTACATTCTATGCATATAACAACATATTACCTGCACTCCATAGATACATACAAATATTATGCATCAATAAAAATAAAAGCAAACAAAATAAATACAGATCAAGTATTTCCAAAAATTTAGAGTCCCAAACAAGATGTGTTGTAAGTACCATTCACGGGGCTCAGCCTCCAGGGGCAAAGAGCGAGACTAAGAAAGGAAGAGAATAATCTGGGGGAACTGGGGGCAGACAGGGGGACAAAGGAAGATAATCGGCACACCTCACAACTCCTGTAGCAACTGAAAGCCTAAACTTTAGGCTAAAGCAACCTGCTTTCCATGCCCGCTCAGCCCAATCTCTCTGCTCCATCCTTGAACACTGGAACTGCCCCGTTTAGTGAGTTTCCCTTAGCCACTCCCACCACTTAGTTCATAGCGAACTCAGCCCTTGCCATACTTAGAGCCTCTGAGCCATTGCCAGTCCTAGACTTCACTTCTTTAGATAGAATTCATGTACATGAAAAGATCAGCATTTCTCTGTCTTTTCACTGAATGCTTGCCTCTATTCTGTAAGAGGAATGGCTGATCTTTGAAGGCAAAAAGCAGGTATTCCCAACATTATGTACACCCCACTGCAGCCGGAACTGACTGATTGATAAAGATAATGACAATGATGATTAATGGCCTCAGAATTGTGATTTTAGCGTTTTACCCCCGACAGAATCCTTCCTAGTGTTTCTAATGTCTACCTTAGCTGGCCAAGCCACCATTCTCTGAAATAAATGAAGCTAGAGCAGATCTCTTTTGTGCAGGGCAAGTGTCACCTTTTTGAACCGAATGTACTCGCTTTCCTGTCATGCTGGCCATATGGTCTCATCTCTGCTCAGTTTTTCCAGGGCACACGTGCAAGAAATCTAATAATGGATTCCAGCCAGCCTCCGGGCTATTATGTAAATAGGAATCCTCTAGCGCCCCCCCACACTCCCTTAGGAATCTCTCTAATTCATTAAGTTAAAGCACACACACACACACACACACACACACACACACACACACACACACACCCCTCCTTTTTATGGTGTTAGGTGATCTAACACTATTCTATTCGGAGGTATGGCTCTACCTTTAAAAATAGCGAGCACTCGATTTTATGACACTGGTTTCTTAAGTGCTCAATCTCATTAAGCTCCTAGTCATCACTTGCTCAAGGGTCATCCAATGGGCTGTTTCCCGTGCCAATATTTATGTGCTTTTGGCTGTTTTATTAGGTATACACAAGCTTGGAATTATTTTATCTTTTTGAAGAATCGAAGCCTTTATCATGATCTAGTGATCCCTCTAACCCTGATAATGCTTTTTATCTATATTTTCCATTAGAGCTTTCTTTTGGTTAGTAGTTGCCTGTTATGTCTTTTTATTTTTTAATCCTGTTACATTCTACCTTTCTACATTCTTTATGCCTTAAGTGTGGCTCTTGTAATCGACATACAGCTAAATTTTTAAAAAATCCTATCTGACAATTTCTGTTTTTTAATTGGCTGGTTTAATTCACTTGCCTATATGGTGATTAATAATAATTATATTTTGCCACCTTTTGTATACATATTTTGATCGTATTCACAGGTCTTTATTTCATTTTTCAAAGACTTTATTTTTTAGGGAAGTTTTAGGTTCACAGCAAAATTGAGAGGAAGGTACAGTGGTTTCCCAATATGCTGCTTACCCCCACACATTGCACAACCACCCTTATTATCAATATCCAATACTAGAGTGGTACATTTTGTTACAATTGATGAATCTACATTATTGCCTAAAAGTCCATTGTTTACATTAGGGTTCACTCTTGGTGTTGCATATTCTATGGGTTTGGACAAATGTATAATCACAGTTATCGACAGTTATAGTATTGTACAGAGTAATTTCACTGCCCTAAAAATCCTCTCTGCTCTGCCTATTCATCCCTCCCACCCCCAACCCCTGGCAATCACTGACCTTTTACTGTCTCCATGGTTTTGCCTTTTCCAGCATGCCATATAGTTGAAATCATACAGTACCTAGGCTTTTCAGATTGACGTATTTCATTTAGTAACATTTAAGTTTCCTCCATGTGTTTTCATAGCTTGGTAGCTCATTTCTTTTTAGTTGAGGTTATCCAACCATCTTATTTTTCTATTTTTTATTTATTCTGATTTTCTGTGATTTTTTTTCTTTCTAATTTCTTCCCATTTTTTGGACTGTTTGTGGTTTATTTGTGTGTGTGTGTGTGTGTGTGTGTGTGTGTGTGTGTGTGTGTGTGACCTTATTTCATTGCTTATTACTTGCTTGGAAGTTATAGATTCTACTTCTATTCTTTTGGTGCTGATTTTTGAAATTTCATCATGCGTATTTAACTTACAAAGTCAAAAATTAAACACTATTTCAACTTCCCTATAGAACAGGAGTTGACAAACAATGACCACCCAATGACTAATCTGCCCAATACCTGTCTTTGTAAATAAAGTTTTATTGGAACACAGCCATGTTCTTTTGTTTGTGTGCTGTCAATGGCTGCTTTTACGCTACAATGACAGAGCTGAGCAGTTGTGACAGAGACTGTGTGGCCAGCAAAACTTAGAATATTTGCTATCTAACCTTTTACAGAAAAACTGTGCCAACCTATGCTGTATAATAATACTCTTAAGGATCTTAGGAGATTTAGACTCTGATCTCTCCCCTCCTCACTCACATGTGATTGCTCTCCAGTATTTTATTTTTGTCATTTTTTCTGAGCTCCATAAATTTGACATTAGTATTCCTTTTCCCCCAAATAATGTTTGCTCATATGTACATGCATTTTTACCATTTTATTGTTCACTATTCCTTTCAGCATCTCAGATCATCTTTCTGACATCCTTTTCCTCCTTCCTGTAGCATAGCTTTTAGAAGAGGTTCCTCTAGTGAAATTCTTTTGGTGGTAAATCCCTCTGGGTTTTTTTTTAAATTGTATCTATAAATATCTTCATTTTACCCTCCTTCTTGAAATGTGATTTTCTGAATACATAATTCTAAGCCCATGGTTATTTTCTCTCAACAGTTGGAAAATATTATTCCACTGTCTTCTGAGTTCCATTGTTGTTGAAGGCAACTGCTGGTCTAATCTTTTGAGGATAATCTATCTTTTCTCTCTGGCCCCTTTTAAGATCTCTTGGCAGTTGGTGTTCTGCAGTTGAATTATGATGTGTTTAGGCATGAATTTCCTCTTTTTTATATGCTGCTTGGTATGTGTTATTATGTTTTTCATCAGTCTTGGAAGATTCAGGCCATTATCTCTTCAAATACTGCATTCTTTCTCTCTCTCCTCTTATTCTGGAACTCCAGTTAGATTTATGTTTGACCCTCTGTGCTGCATTCTGGGTAATTTCTAATCCTTTCGTCAACTGGATTTAAGCTACTATTTAACCAGTCCATTTAGCATTTTTGCTTCAATAATTGTATTTGAATTTATAGAAGTTCCATGAAAAAATCTTCCTGGTTATTTCTGCTAGCCTATTGTTGCTTGCTCATTTATGTGACTGCATCTTTTATTTATTTAAGCATTTCATATACAGCTGTTCTATATTCTCTATCTTGACAATTCCTGTATCCAGTTAGAGTGGGAATCTGAATCTATTATGTATTTGTAATGCTGCCTCTGGTATATGGCGGCTTGCCTTAGCATACTGTGAACTTCTCCCTTGATTTTAATCTTTGGGTCTAATCCTGTAGGTCTAAATTAGAAATTAGAGACGCTTTCTTCAAACAGAATTTGCTTCAGCAGGGAATCAGGGACACATCTGACCAAAGACTACATCAGCCGCTG
This sequence comes from Homo sapiens, assembly GCF_000001405.40. Taxonomy (NCBI): domain Eukaryota; kingdom Metazoa; phylum Chordata; class Mammalia; order Primates; family Hominidae; genus Homo; species Homo sapiens. Next base: position 17,958,735 of record NC_000023.11, read on the forward strand.
TGAAGATCCACTGTATATAAATCTCAGAGTCAGCATCCCACCACAATGCTGGCCCAAGTATCAGTATTCCCATAACAGTATTGTTATTGGTATTTGCTCTCAAGGCACCCCCCCCCCACACACACCCCCACACATACACCTATTCCTTGCAGTTTAAAGCTTCCTCCTCTGGTACGGGCTTGGATTGGTTTTTATTTTGTGGATTGCAGTTGTGGAAGCCTTTGAAAATCTCTCCAACCACTTGCAAGTCCAGAAATGCCTTGAAGAGTGTCTTGTATCCAGGATATAGCTATATATCTGCTATGCAGTGGAAGAGTCCCTCAGAGCACTCCCCCGACCCCCAACACACACACACACACACACACACACACACACACACACACACACACACACACCCCACTATATTGCTAGAAGGAGAAGGCTTATTGTTAAATTTTGAAACACACTGTTTTAGAGGAAATCGGGTTTTTTAAAATGCCATTATTCATTGTTGCACTGAATATGCCAAATATACAAGTTGCTTTCTTCTTTAGTCACTATTTATCATTCTTATTGTTGAGAATGGCTATGGACCTCAAGATGCTTGCTTCTGGCATACAAACTTGATATTTTGGCACATGGTACCCAAAGATAGATAGGTCCTGTCCCATAAGTGAGTTCATCTCTGGAGGTGGCACTGGCGATCCTGGTCAGGAAAATGGCATTCTGCTTAATCTTACATACACAATCTTAGAAACTGTTGATGCTTCAACACCACATGAAGATATTATTTAACATTCATAGCTTACTGTATACTTGCCAAATGCTTTACAGCCCTTTTTTGGTAAGTAATTTTTTGCTACCACTCAGAGAGAAAATCAAGGTGTCCCTTCTAGATCCAATTCCGTATCTGGCACAATCCATCTTTGTGGCATGATTCAAACCCTACAAACTTCCATCCCTTTCTGCTCTACATTTATTGAATAACTAAATCAGCTGAAATGAAACACTGGCTGCCACTTCCCCCTGTTTCCTGATATCATTTCTTTCTGATTAGGCATCAGGAAAAGGAAGTTGATTTGACAAGTTTGAAAACAAACACTGATACACAGGTTTTTCTTTGGACCCCTGCTATGAAATGATGCAAAGGGGAAACCTTAGCACCCAGCGTCGGTGCTGTGGACAGGTGCCTCTCTGCATGGCTCTTTTCATTACTAGGCAAACTGCTTGTCTTCAAAATTCCCCAAAGATATATAGAGTGTGCTGTCAGAGAAAGGGCAGGAAGCTTTTAAGTAGGTGGCCATGGGAAACGTTCCGAAGGTTGGGTGGAAAATATATGGAAAGCATTACAATAGTTATGAGAAGACTATAAGGCCCCTAGGACTATGAAGGCAAGAAGGGAGATTCACATTTGTTGAACTCCTATGATGGACCTAGTACTTTTGTTTCTTGAATAAACTATGAAAAAAAGATAAAAAATAACAGAGCTTAAGGAGAATAACATTCATTTATCTATTATCTAGATTTAACAATCATTAACATTTTGCCATATTTGTTTCATCTATTTTTTGCTGAAGTATTTAGAATCATAGACATAATAATATTTTTCCCTTAAAGCTTTATCACATTCTATATAATCACAATGCCATTATCACATCTAACAAAATTAACAGTAATTTCTTGATATTATCTAATACTCATTTCATATTAAAATTTTCCCCAATATCTTTTGTAGCCACTTGTTCAAAGCAGGATCTAATCAAAGACTATGCATTGCATTTCATGATTATATCTAAGACTCTATTAACGCAGATGGTCCTGGTAATTTTCATGTCTTATCTTTTTATCTTCATAAAAACCCTAAGAGGCAGTTATCATTATTTCCATTGTACAAATGCAAAAAAATGAGGCTAGAAAAGTACTTAGCCTAAGAGCACACTGTCAGTAAGTATGTAGAGGAAATTTCCTGCTTTTTTAGCTGCCCAGCATCCAAATCCCCTTCCTATTTTGAGCAAAGTTCTAGTGCATCTTGGTGGGGGCACCCTTGGCAGCCAGGAAGGAAGTGCATAAACTAGCTTGGCAAATTGGATACCTTGGTCCAGGACTTTGAGTCTACACCAATAAAATTTTCTGCAGTGATGCAAATAGTCTATATATGCACTGTCCAATACGGTACTATCAGCCACATGTAGAAGCTACTGTATTGGACAGCATGGGTCTAGACAGAGTGGTGGTAAGCTGCAGGGTATGAGAAATCATGTACACTATCAGTGACAGCATTTAGAGCCCAGTGGTGTTGGCAGCTCCGAGGGTTGGGTTGATGGTTGTGTTCTAAATAAATTGCTTGCTCACTTTCAGAGCCTGACCCTCTAATCAGCCTATCAATTATCTGAACCACACAACAGCCAACCAGTTCCCCTTTTGCTTAAAATCTTCAGTCAGTTTCTGTTGTTTGAAATCAAACGTCCCTTGGCAGATACTGTTAGTTGTCAGTAGTTTGTCGGTAGTTTGTGAACTAGTTGTTGGTTTTTCTCCTTAGGAAGAGAATCTACATGCTTAGCTGGCACAAGTTCTAACTAGTTGTGGCTACATAACTAAGTCCTGATCCATGAGATGAAGGTAGAAGTGTAGTGTGCAAATTCTGGAGAGTATTTTTAACAGGATTCATGCTCTTTTTTCCCCTCTTTCTACTTCCAACTGGTGGAATGTGGAGGTGATGGGTGAAGCTTAAGAAGCCATCTTGGATCATGAAGTAGAAACCCAGTCTTGAGGATGGCAGCGTTTCAAAGTAGAAAGAGCTTATGACCCTGGGGATTATGGAGTCACTACAGTAACCTTGATTGCTAATATTCATGTGAAAATAAAAAACTTCTATCTTGTTTATACCACTGTGCTTTGTTTTGGTTTTGTTTCATTTTAGCTGACTACTGCTACTTTTCAGTTGAACCTAACATTAACTAATTAAAAACCCTGAGACAGGTGTGGCTGGTAAATCTAAATTTGAATCCATATCTGGGACTAAAAGATTGGGAAATAAGATAAACATATTTTTCTCTGGGACTATTCTCCAGACACTGATTTCCATGTTTCTACGGGCTAAGCTTATATAGCTTGTAGAACTCATCCATCATCTTGCTTATACATAGGGCTATTCTTTGGCCCCATCAAGAAGGGTCTACTCTGGGCCTTGCCTACTAGAGGGCTCCACTTTGGCAGGCCCCTTCCTACAGGAGGAGTCAGTAAGGCCAAGACCTTCTAGACCATGGTTTAGGTGACAGAAATCTTGGGATTCCCTGCCCAAACAGACCAAGCCAGCTTCCAAAGCCTACAAGGGCTTCTTCCCAGGGTTCTTCTTCACAAGGGCAGACTACGTAGCAAGTATAACCACCATACGCCAGAGGTAAGGCCAAAGGGTAGCTATTTGCAAGGAGGTGAGGATAGAATTTACATGGATACTCCAACCTGTTGGTCACTATGCCCATTCGACCCTTTACAGTGGGGGATGGAGTCTATAAGCAAAGAGATGGGGATTGGGCTATAGATTGGCAACCTGGGCTTACTCTCCCCATGCCATTGTGGTCCAGTCTGGAACTCCAAGGAGTCCCATAATTTTACATTGAAACCTGGTATTCCACGTCTAACAGAGGTATAAAGGTAGGAAGATTGGCATGTTTTGATTACAAATTTGTAGCTTGTGTATAATTGTTAAGTATTTCGATGCATATGTGGGCTTCCATTTGTACTCTGGTGCCAGGTGTTACAAATATTCGTGGCGAACCTACTTGTGCATAAGCTTAAATACTACTTTCTACCTCTGAAACAGCAAATGTTGCATACAGTCCCCATGGCCTTACTTCTGAGTTGTTTTCCTCTCACTTTATTATTTTCTTGTTCTCTTCCTAATGTTCTCCTCTGGTTGTAATAAATCACTTGTAGGCAAGAACTTGGCTTTCTGCTTCTTTCCAGCATTCTGGCTCCTTCATACAAGTGTTCTAGGTGAACTGGTTGTGCGTCCAGAATGTCTTAACTCTGGCTGCACAGCAGAATGATGAGAATGCTTTAAAAACACAGAAACCCTAGCTCCAACCCAGCAATTCTGATTCTGAAGTCTGGGCTGAGGTTAGGGAATCTGTATTTTTTTTTTTTTAAGTTCTACAGATTATCCTGAAAGACAGCTGTGGCTGAGACACTGAACACAATGACCAACTCACTCACTCACTCCTGACTTGAGACCAATGCTGTCAAAGATACAAGAACAAGGGTAACGATATGAGAATGGGGTGACTTAAAACGTTGTCACCCCTGGATGTTCTAACTCCTCCTCCTTCCAAGCTCTAGGACACTACATCTGTGTCTCATTTCTACTGGCCTCTTGGCATTGGAAGGATGTCATTAGCACTTCCATGGCTCGAAGCTTGATCATGGATTTCAAAATCACAGTGGTAGCTGGTGGTTCTTAAATTTGTACCCATACCTCTTTACATTTTTTGAGTATACACTCAATCTTCTAGCACAGTGTCTTACTCAGTTTTGTGCCACTATAACAGAACACCAGAGACTAGGAAATTCACAAAGAAGAGAAATTTATTTGGTTCATGGCTCTGGAGGCTGGGAAATCTGAATCAAGAGGCTGCATGTGGTGAGGGCCTCCTTACTGTGCCATAATATGGCAGAAGGCATCATATGGTGAAAAAGTACATGAGAGAGAGTGAGGGGGACTAAACTCCCCTTTTATAACTCACTCCCATGTTAATGGCATTAATTCATCCATGACAGTGGTGCCCCATAACCCAAACACCTCCCATTAAGCTCCACCTCCCACCACTGCCACATTGCAGATTAAGCTTCCAACACATGAACTTTGGGGGACACATTCAAACCATAGCACACAGTAATTGGCACATGGTGGATACTCACTGAATATTTATCTAAGAAAAAATATGTTTTTTTCTTTTCAACTTTTATTTTAGGTTCAGGGGGTACATGTTCAGGTTTGTTTCATGGGTATGTAATTGCATGTTGTTGGGGTTTGGTGTACAGATTATTTCATCACCTTGGTAATGAGCATAGTAGCCAATAGGTAGTTTTTTGATCCTCACCTTTATCCCACCCTCAGCCGTCAAGTAGGCCCAGTGACTATTGTTTTCTTCTTTGTCTCTGTGTATACTCAATGTTTAGCTCCCACTTATAAGTGAGAACATACAGTATTTAGTTTTCTGTTCCGGAGTTAATTCACTTAGGATAATGGCTTCCATCTGCATCCATGTTGCTGCAAAGGACATAATTTAATTCTTTGTTTATGGCTGTGTATATGCCATGGTGTATATGTACCACATTTTCTTTATCCAGTCCACCATTATGGGCAGTTAGGCTGATTCCACATCTTTGTTATTGTGAATAGTGCTGCAATGAACATATACATGCATATGTCTTTATGGTAGAGCAATTTATATTCCTTTGGGTATATTCCCAGTAATGGGATTTCTGGGTCAAATGGTAGTTCTGTATTAAGTTCTTTGAGAAATCTCCAAACTGCTTTCCACAGTGACTGAACTAATTTACACTCCCACCAGCAGTGTATAAGCATTCCCTTTTCTCCACAACCTCACCAGCATCTGTTATTTTTTGACTTTTTAGTAATAGCCATTCTGACTGGGGTGAGATGGTATCTCACTGTGGTTTTGATTCGTATTTCTCTAATGATTAGTGGTATTGAGCATTTTTTCATATGCTTGTTGGCTGTGTGTATTTCTTAAGAAAAACATCTTGATCTGTGTTCAAGGATCATTGCATTTGGTTCTGGGAAAACATTAGAATCATTGGGATTTTATATTCAGCTTCCTTCAAAGAATGGACTAAGTGTTCTTTTTAGTTTTACGTAACTGCAGACCGACTTGTTTAGTAGCCAATTACTACCCACAGTTAGAATATAATGGGGACTTTAAAACTCCCAGTCACCTCACAGAAATACCTGTCCAATCTCTTCCTCCTTATCTCTCATGGGCATTATAACCAAGGCTTCTGATATTTACATTTTTAATATTCTCATTATTTAAAACACTGTCAGATACAATATGACCACAATCTGCTTGAAACCTTTAGTGGATCATTCATTTTATGCTATATTTTCAGATAAACGTAAGTTCTTTTAAAAAACCAAGAACACATAGCAAAGCAGAAACCCAACAAACATTTAGACACAAAACAAGAAAACTTCAGAGCTGGGGGCCACATGTCCTGAAGAATTTTTGTAAGAAAAAAATATTTGAGATAAACTATCTCTGTTGGTTTGCTGCCCAGCATTTTTCCCATTGGAGTTGCTATTGCACAAGATTGCAACAGTAGTTTGATCTTTGTCTTGATCTCAGTTATTTTTGGCCCCAGTGGGTTGGGATTATTTTCAATAACTGTGCTGGAAACAGCTCCATCAAGTCCCTCCTTTGTTTCATGCCACAGATCTTGACTGAAAATAGTACAATGGCTTCATTAGGGTCTATAAAAGGCTCATACCAGGAATCCTTGGGAAGCCACAATAGAACGATATTAAGGCTGTTTAGGAGGATGAAATGGGAACAACTATCCACCAAAGGGTCAATTAAACATGCTTTTCCTCCTTTGCTAGAGCAAGTGAGTAACTGAGTCTCACCATTTGGGTCTGCTTCTTGCAAGAGCTTACATTGACTCAACCTACAGAGCACTATGCTGTAGCGTCATCGGACTTGATGCTTCATATAAGTACCACTGCTAAGTTCCCTTGAAGGAAAATGTTAAATTAAAACCAACCCCATTGCCATTGTTTCTCAAAATAAAAAGAACCTGCTAAGTGAGACAACCACAACGTATCATCTCCTCCACTCTGCTTTTTGCCAGAATATTCTATTAACTAAGCAATATTCACAACCTTGTCAGGAGTCCATATTACAGTCCATAGACTTAATTGGGATCATACAGAGAGAATGGCAAATGTGGGTTTCGTTTCTCAGGGGCTTGGGATTATTGCAAAGAGGGTCATACAGTGTGGACTAGGATTGAGGGAGCTGTGCATGGGGAGGCAGGCAGCTCCAAAGCAAGATCCACTGCAGCCTAGAGTATCTTGATCTGTTTGGCTTTTGCTTATATGTTAGAATTTTAGAAATTTTTAAATCATAAGCCAGAAAAAAATCTTTAAAATAATGCCCTTGATATTTCAATAAAATGCCTGAGACTCAAAGAGGTACAGCAACTAGATGTGAGACTCAAGGTCATACAGCTGAGTTGTGATTGACCCGTGCCTATTTGTTCATGCTCAAGAAATATTTTTGGTAGCTAATGGTAGCTGCTGAAAAGATTTGTGTGAATGAGGGTTAGCTGCTGGCAGCAGCTTCAGAACGAGATTTTGAGGGAAGTAATTCTCAAACTATATTCTATCACCTTGTGTGAAAATTTCACTCGAAAGTAGACACAACAACATAGAGATAAAATTATGTTATCATTACAGTCAGCATCAGACAATGAGAAATCCTCCTAAATCAATTGTGGGGCAAGGACCCATGCAGGGTTCAATTCTTGGGTGCCATTCTTAACGGTACAAGCTATGGATGTCACTAGGTTTTTACCCCTGCTTGATGCAAGAGTAGGAAGTATTGCTAAAATATTTGAGCTGATCCACATATCTTGAACTCATGCAATTTAATCAATGAGAGCTCATTTCAACATTCATCATGTCAATTAACAAGTCATTAATTTCACCAATAAAGCCCCTTTCTGATATTTGCTATCCTCATTAGCAAAACCTAGGTGATCTAGATAGCAGAAATGGGTATAAGAAGAGCCTCTAAAAGGTGGCTTTCCTGCTGAGAATACCCACAGACCAGCCCTGGGACGTGCACGCTTGACTAGCATCTGGGCTAGTGCTTAACCTAAATTTGACACATGAGATGTCCCTCTGTAATTGGTGAAGTTTTCAAGTAAATTTCAGACATTATAACAAACTTCTTAGGGGTGAAATATGAACTGGAAACCAGGTTATCTGACTTCCATTCCAAAATCTTTTCCAAAAACCACCTGCCTCTCTTATAACAATTAAAAAAAAAAAAAAACAGAAAGCTGCTAAACATATGCCAGAAAGGATGCCAAAATACTAAATCATGCATGTCCATGAAATTGGGATTCTCTGAAACTGATTCTTAGGAATCCAGACTGGGGTGTCCTACAACTTCTAAAAAGGAGTGTGTTTCAGAGCTGAGAACCCACCTCCACAGAGTCCCATAGAGTCATCAGCAGACACACACAGGGTGACCTTTCAGCATCACAGTGCTGAGACTCTACAGAAAACTTGATCTTGCCCACAAGGTGATTTTACCTTCTGGCTTGAGTGGACCTCTGGGGTGTGGTGAGATGGACCCATAATAGGCACTGAATACTTATCAAGTTGAATTGTGCTGAAACTCCAGTTCTTCCCCTAGGAGACTGGGGGGCGGGGCAGGGAGAGATTCTGGAAATATCCATGGGGCACTGATTTAAGTTTAGAATTGTTTGGGGTTCTATCCTCTAAGATTTTGTGTAATCCAGTGATTCTTGCCCTTGGCTTCCTGTTAGATCTCTTGAGGAGCTTATTGAACTAAGCTAGAATGATTAAATCAATCCCTGGAGGTGGGGTCCAGGCATCAGTATTTTCTTTCAAGGGTCTCAGATGGTTTGAATCTGCAGCCAGGGTTGAGACCCAATCGTCTAATCCAATGTCTCTCAAACCATAATGTGCAGGCCACCTGAGGATCTTCTTAGAATATAGATTCTGATTCAGCAGCTCTGGAGTGGAGCCTGAGAGTCTGCATTTCTAACAAACTCACAGGTGATGCTTATGCTGCTGGTCCACAGACCACATTGTGAGCAGCAAGGGTTTAATTTCTACCCAAAGGGTTTTTAGAGCCAAACCATTAAAGCAAAATCTGGGATGGGCCAAGATGATCTAACTCATAATGCATCCTTCTGGAGAATGCGAGGAATACAGCTTCAGTGTGACTGTGAAGCAAATAAAATGGTTAAACACCTAAACGTTTTGTAAAAACTAGACTTCGACTTCCCATAGACTTGCCTTAAATGTTTAGAAGATTTTTCAAATCACAAAAATAGCATGGCTCTCATTCCAAAGAGCTCACCGTCTAATGTACTCAAAAATTTTAAAAAGAATTGTCTCTCCATTCCCTGTTTCTTGTCCCCTTTATATTTATTGATTGCCTTGAATCTCACTGCCTCTGTAGTTAGCCTGCCAGAGTACAATACCTGTGTTTGGTGTTGTTTTTGCAGCTCTAGCTTAAGCCAATTAATTGCACAATCCAGGGAGGGTGCAGAAGAAGCTGCGTCACCAACAACCAGCAGGTCTGCAAATAGCATAGGCAGCTGGAAAGGAAAGGGCAATCTTTAAATGTAAACAAAGGAATAGGCTGGGGCTCATTGAGTGGCCTTTTCACTACACCTGCATAAGCGGATAGTGACTGACATCAGTTACAGCAGCTTGATTCTGAAGGATGAGCGAGAGAATTTTGCAAACTCAGAAAGAAAAGAAAGCCCAAGCCACTACCCACAGAGCCCAAGGTGCGAGCGCCTGTGAATTATGTTATCAGCTGCACAGCAGGACTGCAGAAAGCACAAACTATGAACAATATATAAATTACAGGGGTCATTCTATGAGCGGATCAAGTGCAATTAAAATGCAAAAGACTTTTCTTTTTACCTGACTCAAAAAATGTTGCAACCTCTCTGGATCACACAAGAGGGCCTTCAGTTGTCCGGAAGAGCGTAAAGTAGAGCAGGGGGAGAAAAACCTGATTACTGCACTCAAAAAGGCTAACGTGCAATTTGTGCTCTTTTTATGTAGATTAAATGCATTGACTGCAGCTTGTACCGCGTAGATACGCAGCAGGGAGTCAAAAGCTTGGGTATCAGTCAACCACAGCCAGCAGCTGAACCACGGAGCCAAATCTGTTATTGTGCCTTGGATGAGACACTTAATCTAATCTAATGGGAGCAAACCCCCCTGGACAAATAAAAGGGCATTACCAGCAGCAATGGTAGCTGTAATGTTAAGGAAAAGCACCAAATATTTTTTATGATAACATAATTAATGACTTCTTCAGTCTCCTGCTTGGTCCTTAAAAATCCTGCCTTTCAGCTCACAGTGGCTTGTCTCACACCCTGATGGAGAATCTCACAATGTATTAGAAGGCAGCAGTCTGCTTTCTTCCTGTCTCAGGAAGCCATGTGTCCTAGGCATATCACAATCACAAAAATGTGGGTTTTCTGCACCCTGAAGTAGAGAGAAAACACTATTGGGTTTTAATGAATTTGCCTATTAAAGAAAACAATAGTGTGACAAGGGGTAGGAAGAAAGAAGACGATGAAACTCAGGATTTAGGGCTCCCGGGACAGGTACTATAGACATTTAAGACAGGAGAGGCTGGGGGCGGTGGCTCACACCTGTAATCCCAGCACTTTGGAAGGCCAAGGCAGATGGATGGCTTGAGCCCAAGAGTTCAAGACCAGCCTGGGCAACACGGCAAAACCCCGGCTCTACAGAAATGACAAAAAAAATTAGCCGGGCATGGTGGCATGTGCCTGTAGTCCCAGCTACTTAGGAGGCTGAGGTGAGAGAATCAACTGAGCCCAGGAGGTCGAGGCTGCAATGAGCCTTGATCGCACCACTGCACTCCATCCTGGGTGACAGAGTGAGACCCTGTCTCAAAAGAAAAAGAGAAAAAAAAAAAAGACCAGAGAAAATTGGAGACGAGGATCACAAAATACACCAACAGAGTATTGAAACTGGAATTAATCTTGGAAAACATGAAATCCAATCTGCCCTCATTCAGGAATTGATTCTACAGAGTTCCAATCAGGTTTGGAGACTACTCCCAGTTAAAAGGAACCCCTTTCCAGAAGCTACCCTTCTAGAATGTATTCCCTTCAATTCCCAAGTCACCACACAGGATCCTTTAGTTAAGTGCATCTCTTACTTTGAAGTGCGTACAAATATCCTAGAATCTTGTTAAAATAAAGATTCTTATTCAGTAGGTCTGGGGTGGGGTGTGCCAATGCTGCTGGTCCATGAACCAAGCTTCGAAAAAAGCTATGGTTATCTGCCCATATCCCAAATCAAGCCTAAATTTGTTAGCTTGGGTGAGTCTGGTGCTAAGAAGGCCAAGAATTCTGAATTTATCCTCATGTGGTGCTTTTTCCTTCATGATCACAGCTCTAACCCTGATCAACAACCTCACACTTGGTCTATGGCCACCACCCCTAGAAAAGCAAAGCCAGGTAGGTCAGTTTCCTGCACAATGGAAGGCCTCTTATTGCAGAAGCTTCTCTGAATGACAGACATGTAGCCATTTTGCCAAACATATTAGTTATCTATTACTGGTAACAAATCACCCTGAAACTTGGTGCCTTAAAACAATAAACATTTATTACCTTCCAAAACTTCTGTGGATCAGGAATTTAAGAGCAGCTTGGCCAGATGGTTCTGGCTTGAGATTTCCCAAAGCAATATAGCCAAATGTTGGCCAAAGCTGCAGTTATCTGCAGCCTTCACTTGGGCTGGACAGTCTCCTTCCAAGGTGGCCCATTCCCATAGCTGGCAAATTGGTGCTGGTGAGAGACCTCAGATCCTTTCCATGTGGTTCTCTCCACAGGGCTGCCTGAACGTCCTCATGGCATGAAGACTGGCTTCTCCCAAAGTGAATGACCTAAGAGACCAAGACATAAGTTGCACTCTTTATGACTGATCCTCTGCAGTCACACAATGGACACTTCTGCCATATTCTATTGGTCACACAGACCAGCCATGAATTCAGTGTGGGAGGAGACTACACAGGGTCTGAATACCAAAAGGCAAGGATCACTGTGGGCCACCTTGGAGGCTGGCAACCCACACCAAATTAACCATGGCTCCCTACTCTCTCTGCAAACCATGCTGACTGAGGTCAATAGCCCACTGAACACTCCAAGCCATACTCTACTAGCCTATGTGTCTGTTCTCACTGCGTAAGCTCTACTTACTTACTGCAAGTCGATTGTGTTTGCTCCCAAACCTCTTTATGACAATTATTCCGGTTGCACTTGTTATTAAAACTTAGTAATTTATACAAAGTGTGAATTGATGAAATACGAATGCAAAAAGTTTTTTCTATGGAAATTAAGTTGAAAATTTTGGAAAGATTTGATAGTAGCAGATAGCTAGAAATGCTGTTAAATTATGTGTGTGCCAAACAATTGTAAAAGATTGAAAAAAATCATCTAAAAATTGGGGGGATTATGCACTGAGCTTGCTTCACAAGTGTCTTGCTCCACTTTCAAGAAACTACAACTGGAAATTATAGACAGTGCATTTTAAGTATGGCTCATGCAAAAAGGAAAACCCACAACTCCTATCAGCAGATTTGTATTCAAAGAAAATGACTTGGACGCACATCAAAAGCTTAGTGAATGAATGTATATTTACATGTTTTAAGTTAACTAGAATGTTTAATGATTGTGTGTACCACTTTTCAAAAATAATTCTCTGCTTTACTTATTTTTTAACTAACCAACCAAATCCAGGCTCCCCACAATTTTTAAATGTTTTTTTCCATCTTTTACAATTGTTTGGCACACACGTAATTCAACAGCATTTCCAGCTACCTGCTACTATTGAATCTCTCAAAAATTTCAACTTAATTTCCATAGAAACAACTTTTGCATTCATATTTTGTCGATTCACATGTTGTATAAATTACTTAGGTTTAAGAAATCAGGCTCAGATGGATGGGTATGAAAGCACGCATTGCAATTGGGAAATTGTTCCAGGGCCTGGCACTTTTGTAAGAAGTAGGAAGAAAGGATAGAGCTAGAGATAAGGAGGGGTTTAATCGCCTGGTTTTAGAAAGTTCTGAGGCTGAAAGACAATTTGTCTGCAACCTCATCTACTTGCTACCAACAGGGTGGGGCCACAGCTGCCCTATTCTACCCATGCCTTGGGCTTCATAATGTCTTTTCCCTTTCAAGGCAGCTTGCCATCTATTTTAACCTGATTTCACTTGCATGCAATGGTTAGGAAGCAATATGGCTTGCTGGCCACCAAAACTTTATGCTCTGCTTTCCGTGGTGTGGAGTTGTTGCTAGGAAATGGTTTCACAGACAGGAACTACATTCTCCAGCCCAGCTTCCATCCAGATGTGGTCGTGCAATCAGTTCTCATTGATGAAATATGACTGGAAGTGATGGCCAGCACTTCCAGGCTAAGATTTCAAAGAAGCTGTTGTACCTTAGTAGTGGTCTTTCTCCTGCTGGCTGAATGCACAGGGCTCTGAGGTTCTGAAGGACAGTAGAGCTACCAGGTAGAAGAAACCTGGGTCCCTGAATTACCGCCTGTGAGCAAGTCACTCACTTGCTGTCCAGGAACACCTACAAGAGAAAATTTCAGTGTCAAGACACTGAAATTCAGAGCATTGTTATAGTAGCTAGTGTTATGTCCCTTTGACCAATACAGGGGCTGCTTACCCTGAGGCTTGCCCTTCTTTCTTCCTCCTTCTTCTGTCCCCCTTCCTCCTCCTACACCAGCATCTTCTGTTTCAATGGGATATGAGCTATAGTATGTACTTCAATGAGGTATGAGCTATATAGTATGTATAGTATATGCTTCTGTAGTATGATCTATGGATTCTTAACCTGAGGCATCTGTACAATTAATTACCTGCAAAAGGTTGTCTATAGGTGCATTTTTCTGGGAAGAAGGTCCACTGATTTTGTGAGCTTCTCATAGAAGCCTGGGAGCCCCCCAAAGTGTTATGAAGTGTTCCTCTAAGAGATTCTCCTTTGGCTGGGCACAGTGGCTCATGCCTGTAATCCCAGCACTTTGGGAGGCCAAGGTGGGCAGATCACAAGGTCAGGAGATCGAGACCATCCTGGCTAACACAGTGAAACCCCATCTGTACTAATAATACAAAAAAAATTATCCAGACATGGTGGCATGTGCCTGTAGTCCCAGCTACTTGGGAGGCTGAGGGAGAATCGCTTGAACCAGAGAGGTGGAAGTTGCAGTGAGCTGAGATCGCACCACTGCACTCCAGCCTGGGCGACAGAGCGAGACTCCACCTCAAAAAAAAAAAAAAAAAAAAAAAAGGAAAAAAAGAAAAGAAAAGAAAAAGAGATTCTCCTTCAATGTCTTATTCCTAATTTAATCTATGACCTTAATTCATGCTATGATTTAGAGATCTGAATATCTGTGGGTAATCAATAGATGCAGATGAAAGTGAAAGCCAAAGTAAAGGGCTCTAGTTGGGTTGTGCATGCAAATGGAGAGGTACATTGTGGTTGGGATAGAATGGTGGCCTGAGGAAGATGAATGAAAGCCCCCTCTGGGATTTTTAAAGTAGCTGCCCTTCTCCTTTTGCAGTAAGTATAGCCCCAAAGTGTCTCCTAGTGACCTCAGAGAGCTACCATATTCATTTCCATTAGCCTAATTTACAGCCTCAACTAAGGAGATCCTGTTTTTGTATATTGTGAGAAGTCATAGCTCAAGTCACATGTCCCGAGGAGTTTATGTCCAGCAAAACTGCCTTACTTCTAGGGAAGTAAAAAAATAAATAAATAAAATGGCCTGGAGGATTCTGAAAGAAACTGGAAGTATGAGACCATGTATCATGCTTGTTCCAAGTGTTGAAAATTAATGGGTGGAAATTAAGGGTCTCCAGGGAGTCCATTATTCATAGGAAGGTGTCTAGTCTTTCCCAAGGCTGGGAATGACCTGAATTCTAAGCCAAGGGTTGACATAGAGCTTCCCATTTTACTTGGTGTCTTTTAATAGAGCAGATATAAATACATCACTTTCATCTTGAAGGAGTGTGGAGAATTATGGCGCCACCACACCAAGGTCCTTTCCCCAAGAAGCAGGCATGCAGGTAGGAGGTAGAAATGTTTATCCAAGCAGGATACGGGAGTATTCATCTTTCAGGATTCCCCTTGCTCATGCTTTTGACTAGGGTCTGTGGATATTTTCTCTTGTTGCCCCATTTTTAGACAAGTTTTCATATACTTTGTTCCTTGGACATTCTAGACCTTGGTCTAAACCTTGGACTTTGGTCCAACCCAGTGGTTCTCAATGTATAATCCCCAGACCAGCAGCACCAACAAATTCTTGGGCCCCATCTGCTGAATCAGACCCTCTGAGGATGGGGCCAAACAATACATTTTAACAAGCCCTCCTGGTCATTCTGACACATGCTCAAGTGTGAGAACCGTTGGACAAACCTCTACCAAGAGTTTGTCCTTTGCTGCCTGAACTTGACCCATGCAGTCTCTTAGTAGATCCACATTAAGTTCCCTTCGAGACTGAAATGGTGTAAGCAGCTTCAGAGACATTTTGGGTTTTTGAGTGTTTGGGTTTTGTTTTTGTTTTGGCTATTACTGAGATAATGATGCTGTGTTTAGCTCACGTAAGAACAACACAGCAGAAAAAAATAGCTTCTGGAAAATTAATGTTTTTGTATACTATGAGATGCAGGCATTCTTGGGTCTCCTTTTTCCCCAGGTATTCCTGAGGTGTTGGTTCCCTCTAAGTTGTAATGTGTGGGAAGACCTGCCGGGTACACACAACCTGTCTCATCTTGATCTGGCACTGCAGAAAAGATATTTATCTCCAGCTGAAAGACAGCCTGATAATCTCTCTTACTTTAATCTACTCCTTTACATTATGTAGCTTCAAATACTCATGTTTGCCTTCAGAGTTTATTAGCGGGAAGGCTGCTTCTTAATGCTCAGAGCTGTAAAGCAATTATTTGATACAGAAGTCATTGCCTGGCAACCTATGCCACTCACAGCCGCCTGCCCTATTTGAGGTGTTCTCCTCGTTCTTCCTCTTCTTTTCCTCATCTCATGACCATTTCACTTTCTTCCTCTTTTTTTCCTCCATTTTCTTCCTTTTACTCTATGCTCAAAACATTCTAAGACTGTACTTTTCAACCTTTATTTTGAATCATCTGGAGTTCTTGTTTAAAATGCAAATTGCTACGTCCCACTCTCTCTAGACACTGAATCAGCATCAGGGAGTGCAGCCCAGGAATCTGCCTTTTCAACACGTGCCCCCCACCCCCACCACCATGATTCTAAGACTTACTGGATCACTGTTCCAAGGTCTCTGAAGATTGCCAGCTCTGGAATGTCTTAGGACTTGGGATAGCATTCTGTTCTACAGAGTCTGAAGTGGGCTGAGCGACTTGTCTAGCTGCATTGGCTTGCAGTCACCTGGCTTCACTGTGGTCTCTATGTTTATTCAAAGTGGCTTTGGAGGAAGGCTGATGGAAATTACGGAGGTACTAAAGTCTCCCTCCACAACCCCCAATCCCACAGCCATGCCATATGATAGTATTACTCTCCTACCCACCACTCTCAAAAAGATGCTGAAACCCAAAGTGATCATCTTATTTGAACTTTGAATGAGACAGGCACAAAGATATTTTTTAAAATCCAGCCTCTTGGCCGGGTGCGGTGGCTCACGCCTGTAATCCCAGCACTTTGGGAGGCCGAGGCAGGTGGATCACCTGAGGTCAGGAGTTCAAGACCAGCCTGGTCAACATAGCAAAACCCTGTCTCTAGTAAAAATACAAGAATTAGCTGGGCATGGTGGCAGCCGCCTGTAATCCCAGCTATTTGGGAGGCTGAGGCAGGAGAATCACTTGAACCCAGGAGGCAGAGGTTGCCGTGAGCTGAGATCGCACCACTGCACTCCAGCCTGGACCACAGAGAGAAACTCTGTCTCAAAAATAAATAAATAAATAAATAAATAAATAAATAAATAAATAAATAAATAAATCCGGGCCCTTGACACTTGCACCTCAATACCCTGCATGAGAGCAGCAATGCATTTTGATCGAACCTCAGTGTTTTTCACTCTCCCCACACTGTTCTACTCTCCCCACACTGAACTTAGGGACTGAAGAATCTTCCTAGGGTGGAGCAGAATGCCCTCCCTGTGCTTGTGAGCTCCTGTAGCAAATCCTATTGGCACCCTTGCATATCCTCCTCCCTCTACATTCAGGCTGCCAACTGAAAAACATCCATAACTCTCTTCGAGGATGCACTTGGCTGGTGCTCAGGGCAAGATGGAAATGCTGTAGAGTTAATGTCCCTGGAAGCAGCCCTCAAACAATGACAGATGTGAGATTTGATGGAGAAATAGCCCAGCTTCCTCATCCCTCTAGGAGGATAACTCTGGAGTGAATTCAGCCATCCTCCAGAGTCCCCAAAGGAATTGCTCCGCAGGAGTCCATAGTGGGAACTTGCCTATTACACATGAAGTAGCAGCTTCCTTCTCTCTCCTTCTCCACTTTCCAACCAGCATCTCCCAAGACCACCTTCCAAATAAACAACAGCAGCTCCCCCTTATCCACAGTTTTGCTTTCAGAGCTTGGTTTCAGTTACCTGAGGTCAACCACAGTCCAAAAACTTTAAATGAAAAGTTCCAGAAATAAACAATTCATGAGTTTTACATTGCGTGCTGTTCTGAGTGTGATAAAATCTTGTGCTGTCTTCTCTGTCCTGTTGAGGACATGAATCTTCTCTTTGTCCAGAGTCTCCACGCTGTAGATGCTCCCCACCTGTGAGTCTCTTAGCTGGCTCAGGGATCCAATCCAAAAATAACATAAATTATATAGGGTTTGGCACTATCTGCAGTTTCAGGCATCCAGTGGGGGAATCTTGGAACGTATCCCCCTCAGATAAGGAGGTACTACTATACTTGCATTTGAATCTTTGTCTCTGGATCTGCTTCTGAGGGCACCCAAACCCTGGCACCCCTCCCATCTCCAGGACTTAAAAAACACAAAGATGAGCTAACAGTTCCAAATGGACACAGGAACTGTAAGAGACGGGAGTGCTCCCTTGTCTCTGGACTCCAGACAAAATTAGTGGATGCCAGGGAAACTTCATGGCCTGTTTCATAGCTCCTCCTAAATAATGAGCCTTATACTACCTAGAATGACTGGGGCAGAGCAATAGCAGTCCTCTTTTGCCCTGTCGCAAACTGAAGGCTCTGTGTTCCTCGTCAGAAGGTCAAGATCTAAGCACAATCTGGGGTCTTGCAAAGTCACCAATTCACGTTCATCAGAAGTCCTTAGAAGACAGGGCATTCCACATTTGTTCATCCCTTTAACAAATATTTATGCAGCAATTGCTGCTAGTCAGGGTCTGGGAGATACAGAAGGAGTGTGTGTGAGTTCAGCCTGGTCAGGCTGTTGCTAGACGGAACCCTACCAACTTCTTCCATTTTACATGGAAGCTTGCATCTCCTCCTGCCTGGATGAAGCCAAAGTCTGCTAAACGGGCTCCCCACCTTCAGTTCAGCCTCATCTGCTTCACCCTCCATCCCGGGAGCAGTGTTATCCTTCTGAAATATAAAACTATGTGGCCCTCCCCTGCTCAATAACCTTCTGTAGCTTCACTTTGCCTATGGAGTAGAGTACACATTTCAGATTTTATATGCTCCCAAGGGCTCTCAAGTTTGGCTCTTTTCCCATCCTTCTCTTCCCCTTCCCATTAGGTGGTTTGTACTCCCTCAAACACTCCATATTCTTTCAGTCCCCCTGCCCTTTTTTTTTTTTTTTGCACTTCCTGTTCCCTAGGCCTAAATCTCACTTATGACTTTAGCCAAACTCTATTCATTGTTGAGCACACTTAGGCAGAATGTCACCCTCTTCCATGAAGTTTTCCTCACCCCACTTCTGTACCTCCAACAGTACCAACAACCATGTCCTCTAAATCCCTTACTAACGTCACACATATGACAAATTCAATATTGATCACACTATGTTGTCATTGCTTCTCTCAAAAGACTATGAGCCTGTAGAAAGCAGGGACATTGCCATTTTGTTCATCTTCGTACCCTGCTGTGGGCCTAAGATAATGCCCGGGACACTACATTTGTAAGAAATGTTTGAGAATGACTGCATGGTCCCATGAAAGCCAGAAGGAAATTCAGCCCTTTCTCTCTGGTAATTGGCACCACTGCTGACATAAGATTGGCTCCACACTCCTGCATGGAAATGTCAGCTTGGGCTGTCCTCTGCAGCTTCCTTCCGTTTCAGGGCTCCCAGCAGTTGTCTCCCCAACTTTAGAGCCGAGATCTGGAGGTTGCCCTGGCATAGGAGGCCAGTAGGGTGCTGCGATCTGTCAGGAGCCAGAGCTGAGCAGATGGATGTTCATTTCCCTGGGGTGCATTCATGCTGCTCCCATGGGACTCCACTGACACAAGGTGGCAGGAAGCTGATCACATTGCAAGCCCTCATAGGTATTCACAGGGAGTCTTCAATGCTGATGGTCACAAGGAGATTCAAGACAGGGAAAGAATCAGATCAAGGTGCCTTATACCCAGAGAAGCTGAGATGGCATTCACAGGGAGAGATGTCTCAGAAGGGACAACTCAAGGAGTTCTCTACTGGCAGGCATCCAGGGAAGAGAGGGGAGGATGAGTCAATATTATAGCTGCTCAGCTAAAGCCAGCAGCCACTTAATTCTACCAGAGAGCTGGTGGCAGTGCTGGCCTGAACCATCTTTGATCGCTCTCAAACTAAAACAAACAAACAAACAATGCAACACTTTGGGAGGCCAAGGCAGGAGGATTGCTTGAGGCCAGGAGTTGGAGACCTGCCTGGGCAACATAGCAAGACCCATCTCTATAAAAATAAATAAGTAAATAAATAAAACAAAAAACCCTCACTCAACCCCAAATCCATCACACATCTTTCTGTACTTCTGCAAGGTATAGGCCAGAATGTTTCATTCTAGAGAGACCTGGGCTTTATAAATATTTACTATGGACCAGGCACAATGCTATGTGTTTTCTGTGCATCATCTCAATTAATCTTCATAACAAACCCTGGTTGATAAGTATTATAATTATCCCCCATTTTACAGATGAGAAATTGGACGCTCAATGAGGTGAACTTGGCCATCTTCGTACAGTTGGCAAGGAGCAGAACTGGGATTCTTACCAGGTTTATAGGACTCCATGATCTGTGTTTGGAACTTCCACATGATGCCACTGAGAGTACAATGGCTTCCCTGATGTTCACGTGAAGAGGCAGCAGAGTATAGAAATGAGGCAGGGGCCCTGATTCCTGGTACTTGGCCACCAACTAGTTGTGTGGCTGTGGATAAAGCATCCAATCTTTCTGGACCTCAGTAATTTCCTTGATAGGCAAGTGCGAGGGTTGGACTGAATGATCTCTAAACCTCCTTTAGATCTAGCATTCTAGTACTCCATAGTGGAATCACATTTTCTTAGATGCATGGCCATCATGGGTGGGTATCCTTGCTCTTAGAAAAGACTGACTGGTGGGAAATGAAACTGAGCTTAAGCAGGTGGCATATCCCTGAGTCATGATATGAAGGGGGGCTTTAGTTGTCATTTGGAGGCTGTTGAATAAAGCTGCCTAGAGGACCAGATTTTTAGTCCCCTTCACACATTCTGGTTGTCAAGTATTAAGCCCCTCGGGTTGGGTCTGCCCGTTTCAGGCTGTGAACTTCTGAGGATGGTAATTTTCTTTAAATTGCTGTCTATAAATCCCAGCAAGTTTCACAAATGGACAGTGTTTCAATTATGACTACTGTATTTAAAAATGTCCCCAAACTTGGTGACATAAATCAACACTTTTATTATGCCTATGGATGGATTCTGTGAGTCAGTAATTCAAACAGGACACAGTAGGGATGGTTTGCATCTGCTCCTTGTTGTTTGGGATCTAAGTTAGGAAGACTCAATGATTAGAGGTAACTGAATGGCTGGGGGCTGGAATCTCCCGGAGGAGTCTTCACTCACAGGTCCAGCAGTTGATCTGGCTGTTGGCTGGGACATCCACTGGGTCTGTTTATCAGAACACATTACTTCTTCATGTAACTTCTTGGGCTTCCTCACACTATGGTGGCCTGAGGGTAGTCGGAATACTTCTTTTTTTTAATAGTGTGTAAAGACTAATGGCATTTAATTCATATGTATCATGCTTTGGGATAATTTTTCTTTTTTATTATACTTTAAGTTCTGGGATACATGTGCAGAACGTGCAGGTTTGTTACATAGGTGCCATATGCCATGGTGGTTTGCTGCATCCATCAACCCGTCATCTACATTAGTTATTTCTCCTAATACTAACCCTGCCCTACCCTCCCAACCCACAGACAGGCCTCAGCGTGTGATGTTCCCTTCCCTGCATCCATGTGTTTTCATTGTTCAAGTCCCACTTATGAGTGAGAACATGCAGTGTTTGGTTTTCTGTTCCTGTGTTAGTTTGCTGAGGATGATGGTTTCCAGCTTCATCCATGTCCCTACAAAGGACATGAACTCATCCTTTTTTATTGCTGCATAGTATTCCATGGTGTACCCAAAGGATTATAAATCATTCTGCTATAAAGACACATGCACACGTATGTTTATTGCAGCACTGTTCACAATAGCAAAGACTTGGAACCAACCCAAATGCCCATCAGTGATAGAATGGAATTCTTTCATAGTAGTTCAAGATCTAAGTGTGAGTGTCCCAGAAACTGAAGAATAAGCTGTATTGCCTTTTGTGACTTAATTTCATAAGTTATTTCCACTTCATTCTATTGACTACAAGTGAGTCATTACGGCCAGATAAGATTCAAGGGAAGAGGACATGAACTCTTACCTCTAAAAGGGAGGAGCATCAAAACTGGCATAGCATTTTCATTGTTGTATAGGGCAGGGACTGTGTCTTAGTTATCTCTGAATCCCTACAATCTAGCATAGGGAATGATAAAGAATAGATGCTCAAAGAGCGACTGGTGATAAAGCAGTGCATAAGTGAGTGATTGAAGGAAAATGTATCCCATTGAAGAGTGTCTTGTTGAGAAGTATAGGCATTTATTCTACCTATTTTTTTGTTTGCATTGTCTTCGCTTTGGTATTTCAAGGGTAAAATAAACCATGATTTGTGAATGACATGCAGAGTGGAAAAAAAAGTTCAATTGCATTATGGTAGCTTCACCTTTAAAGAGGATTCTATGCTCATTAATTCTTCCTCAGTCCCATATGGTCTTCTGTGTTGGGGTGTCTTCCATGTTTTTCAACAAAATGGTTCAGAAATCAGGTTCTACCAGAACCAACTGAACATTTTGTAGTGAGGTCTGAGCTGACCTCCCCAACCTGCCCACCCAGCTCTATGTCTGTGTTCTCCTAGTTAGTTGAGTTCTAGCCTTCCCCTCTCCTCCCCTGCCCCTTCTCCTGCCTCTCCCCTCCTCTTGTGGGAGGAGTGACCCCTTGCCCCTACCCCACCCCTTACTCCTTCTGCCCTTCTCCCTAACACCCTCTTCTTTTTTTACTCTCATGTTCCCTCCCCTGCTCCTTCCCCTCCCTCTCCTCCTCCTGCTGTCTCTCCTTTCCCCTCCCCTACTCTCCCTCACTCCCTGTTCCTCCCACAATGTCATCACCTCTAGCTTGGGGTTGAGAATATCTTCAGGATTGTCAGAAGAGTCAAGGGGAAGCCAAGCCACCTCTGCCCCCAGCACCAAACCAGGAGAATGTCCAGGACCATCAGCCCCTGGACTTCTCCTCATTGGTTTGGTATATGGCTTTTCATCAATTTATGGGCACCAAGTTATGATGTCACACAAAAGGCTTAAAGCTCCTTTGGCTGTTTCAAACTAGCATGCAAAGCCCAAAATTACAGAAACACGACAGAAAATAAGTCTTTAAGAAGAAAAACCATGACAATGGGAATTTGCCATTCCCAAATTAACATTTGGAAAATACTAGTCACACTTATGCCAGCAGAGACCTCAGAGAGCATCTTGCTCAGCTCCTCATTTAACAAACAGGGAGTTAAGAGCCAAAGAGGAAGAGCTATAACAACAACCAGCATTTACTAGGTACTGATTCTGCCCCAGGAACTTTCTTATTTTATGACAGTTGTGCAACAATCAGATGAGTTGAAATCATTAACCCCGTTTCTAAGATAAAGAGACAAAAGCTCAGAGAGGGTCAGTAAGTTCCGCAAGGATACACAGCCAGAAAATAGGAGAGTAGGGATTTAAACCCAGTATCTAGGATGAGTCCCCAAACTGTGTTCTTAACCATTAGGCTGAACTGTATCTCTAAGTGATTTTTTATTACCCTCCCTTTCCCCAGATCACACATATTGCTAATGGTTAGATTAATTTCAGAACAGTAAGTTGAGCAGTGCCTGAAATTGAACAAGTGATGCTACAGTTCAAGTCAAAGTCAAAGTCAGACTTCATTAAACTGAATTCAAGTAGAAAGGACTCAGGGCAGAGATCTTAAGAGGCTTAGAGGATGGTTGTTTGCAGGGACAACTACGAGCTTAGGGTCAGCAAAGACCACATGGTTCAATGACTTTAAGACTTAAACTGGAAATCAGTCTTTCATTCAACACTAGCTCTGATTCTTCTTAGCTTAACCTCTGCACCTAGTTTCCTTCATCTGTAAAACGAGAGATGGTAATAGTATCTGCCTGATAGAATAGATGTGAAAGACCAGTAAGATTCACAAACGTAAGGTTCTCAGAATTGTCTGACACGTAACAAATTCTTCATAAGAATTTGTTCTGTTATTACTCAATAATATCTCCATGGCCTAATAATTTCCAGGGACTAACATAGTTCCTAACACATGGAAGGTGTTCAATAAATTGTTGCTAAATAAATGAAGAGAAATGTATTAGTAGCTCTAATAATATTCATCTGTTCTTCATCCTCTCAAAACAGAAAACATGAAAAAATGAGTTTCTCCTTTACTTTACCTTACAGTCTTTCCATATGTTGAAGCCTCATTCTTCAGTGATTAAAACCACTTTTCCTTGGCAAAGGCTGGAGGATCCTGAGGACCAGCTGTTTTCCACTTTTTCTGAGGCCCATTTTACCAAAAAAAAAAAAAAAAAAAGACATCTTAAAGATGTAGAAGACACAGCCTCAGGACCCTTTCAGTTACAACTGTCAAAAACCCAACTCAAATGGGAAGAAGCAAAGAGGTGAAAGTATAGAATCAATTAAAAACTACAAGGATGACTTCAGGCATGGCTAAATCCAGGAGTTCAAATGATGTCAGCAGGACTTGGTTTTGTTCCATCTCCTCGCTCTGCCTTCTTCAATGATGGTGCTATTCTTAAGCACATTCTCTCCTATAATAGCAAGATGGCTGCCAGCAGCTTCAGATTTATATCCTCACAACTCCAAAACCAGGGGAACTAAAACACTTATTTTTATGACAACTCCAGCCAAAGTCCCAGTTTGACTGGACCAACTTGGGTCAGGTGTTCATTCCTAAACCAATCACTGAATCACTATGGCTCTAGGAATGGAACACTTTGATTTTCTAGGCTTCATATGTGTGTCCTCCTCCTTGATTCCAACGGACAGAGTTAGCTCCAGACAAACTATATAGACTAAGACTGGGATGGTGTTACCAAAGGAAGGGAAGGTGGATTGAACAGCCACAATCGACAAACTTCCATGACAAACATCTACAAGGTAGGGATGGCTAGCAAGTGCATAGCTTGCTTCTTAAAGGGTTGTAGATATGCATCCCCATTTTACCTAAAGCTTTCTCATGATTCACACCCCCAACCCTCCCTCCAGCTATAAGGCAGTGATTTTCAAAACTTTCCACCTCCACCTCCAGCAAAAAAAATAAAATTCATATTAAAAACGAGTATCCATATGAACTGAACTGAAACAAATGCTTCATCAAACAATATTTATTTTTCACTACCTGCAATGCACTTTGATAGTTTTTGTTCTGTTCTATTCTACTCTAGTTTAATTGAATATATTCCATTATGTTCCCTCCCTTCCACCCCATTCCATTTTATTGTTGTAGTTATTAGTCAGGGCAATGCTTGCTAGCTGCTGAAACAAACAGCCCCTAAATCTCAGTGATTTAACAAAAGTGTATTTCTTGTTCATGTTGTAGCCTGATCCTTATTAGGAAGCTCTGCTCAATGGCCTTCTTCCTCCTCTAGGGCTCCAGGCTCTTTCTATATCATGGTGCCACCATCTTCAACACAGGATCATGGCATAAATGGGGACAGGGAGGATAGAGGGAAAGGGAGGAGATGGGAGGGGATGAAAGGAGAGGGAAACGGAGGGGAAGGGAGAGGATAGGAGAGAATCACTCGGGAGGATTTATAGTTAGGCTTGTAAGTGGCTTCTACCACTTTTGCCTGTACTCTGCTGGCCAGAAACTAGTCACGTGTCTCCAGCTGCAAGGGCCACAGGGAAACATGGTCTGAGCACCCAAAAAGAGGAAATGGGATTGATGGACATCAATCTATATTCACAGTCTATGTCACAGGATTTTATTCAAGTTTGTTGAGAAAAAGAACATGATGGTCCCACTACGTGGAATTCAGGACTCTCTAGTGGATGCAATTCCTTAGTTTGAAAAACCTTGCCCTACCAACCTGCCTTGGTTTTTCTACCTTGCAGACCAAGGCTTTTTTTGCTCCTGTCTTTCTATTCTCATCTGTCTGTCATGGCACGTGAATTCATCATCCCTGGTGAGGAGATCCTGACCACCTTCCCACACGCCTTCCTCAAACCTGTCTCTGACTCTGCCTGAGAACCCTGAATTCCTTGAGCCACTCTGTGGCTACTATGGCAGCCATGAGCCATGACTCCTATCTCCTGCCTCAAATTGTCCTTCTCCATCTCTCTTATCCTATCTGGCTACTCTCTTACCCTTGCCCAGCCCAGGGGACTATAGTGACAGAGATGGTAAATGAGACCAGGGTCCGTGGGGCAGCTAGCCACCCCTCCAACTCCAGGGCTCTGCCCTGGGCTGGCTCCAGCGTCTGTCTATGTCAGGACTGAAGTAATTGAGCCAGCCAGGCATGTAATAAGATAGCTCTTTTACCCCCTGCTACTATGGTGAGTGGCTGTGGAATCTGATTCTAGCAGCATCTTTATCTCCGCAATTAGGCTTCGGGGTTCATTATTTAAAAAGCACTGGCCAGTAGCACAGAGCAAGTCAGTTAGCTTAGAGGGGAACTGGCCCTTTAATCCAAGCCGTGAGGAGGCCAGGATCTTGGATTTCTCAGTTAAAAGACCTTCTGGTTCTGGAAGAACTGCAAGCTGACTGCTCTTCAGGTTGATAAACAATTTTAGTCCATACTTAAATGGTGATCACCATGTGCCACACACTGGTAGGAGTGCTTTATAATATTAATTCACTTAAGCCTCACAGAAACTCCATAGGTGAGGAAATTAAGGCCCCAAAACAGTAAAGATCTGCCCATGTCACACAACTAAACAAAAGCAGAGCCAGGATTGGCAGATCCAG
Source organism: Homo sapiens (assembly GCF_000001405.40). Taxonomy (NCBI): domain Eukaryota; kingdom Metazoa; phylum Chordata; class Mammalia; order Primates; family Hominidae; genus Homo; species Homo sapiens. The sequence continues at coordinate 17,985,028 of NC_000023.11, forward strand.
GCTCCAGACACTACCCTTTTGACCACTAAGTTACTGTACCCATGAGAATAAATTGTATTTGTATATAATATTTATATGCTGCTTACAGTTTTTGAAATGCTTTTACATACTTTTCTGACCGTCACAAGAACCCTGTGATCCAGTTATGATTATTTTGATGAGAAAAAGATCCCATTTTAACATTGAGAAAATTGAGGCTCCAAGGAATTCAGTAAGATTCCCAAGTAGTAGCACTTTGGAGCCAGCTTACTCCAACTTCCTCAGGCTGATGGTTCAATCATCAGGAACTTTGTAAGCCAATTACAAACCATGGTTATTATTTAAAATTAAATTATATAAATTTATAACTTAAAAACTCTATTCAAAACAAAGGTAATAAATACCCAGAACTCATCACTTTCTAATTCTTTTCCTACATTTTACTATTATCAAGGCACTTGAGGCCATCTGTAACTCTATCGTATCTGTACGGTGGAAATAATGTTTCACGGGCACTTTAGTGACATCACATTGATAGATTGAAGTTAGCTACAGTGGTGGTATCTACACTTGGGAAATCAGCAAATTCTGTGGCTCTTCCTGCCCCATGAGAGCTTGTTGTTGATTATTTCCCAGCGCACCCCTGTTTCCGTGACTCTGGCCATCTCAGGTGTGTGCTCATGTGACTTGTTTTCCTGTCCTACTCAATGTTGTATTTCCAGGGCCTCATGTGATCTCCTTCCTCTCGCATTGCTCATAAACACCCCTGCCCAGCCTCCTGAGTCTCTCTACCCCATCTCTTTGACTTGCATTTCCCAGAAGGGCTTTCCCAAACAGCCCACAGTTGCCCTCACCTGGCCTGAGTCAGCTAACACCCAGCCAGCCCAACAGCCTTCATTCCTGCCAGGTCCAAGTTCTGCCCAAGTTTTGCCTTCCCCAAGCTAAAAGACCCACCCACCTGCTTATTTGCCCTCTTAGAGGCAGGAATCAACGAGGCCCGAAAATGTTCCTGCCCCAGACTTTGCTTCCACCGTCTGACCTAGCTAGGCTGGCAAGGGGATGGTTAGTTTATCCGTGTGTGTTCTTTGGGAGCTGTTGCAGATCAAACAGTGGTCCTTCCCTAGTCCTAATGCAGAACACCCCTAAGCATGCCATGTACTCCTAACCATGCCAAATGCTCCTGCTTGCAGCCTGGACACTGACTTATGGGCATCCAAGGGGGGGTGGCAGGTGGGGATTTTAGTGAACCATCTGACACCTAATAAGCACAAAATATATGCTTGTCTTTATTCTCTCTAAAACACAGCTAGATTTGTTTTTTTCAATTAAGGATTCCCTTCCATTCACTAGCTCCTTTTCAGCCTCATGGACTTCTGGGAATTCTGTAACATTAGCATAATATATGTAGGACTCATTACATGCCAGGCACTGTCCTAATCACTTGAACAATCCAAGGGGGTAGGCACTACTATCACCTCCATTTGAAAAATGAGGAACTGAGGCATAGAGAGCTTAAGTAATTTGTCCCAAGTCACACAGCTAGTAAGGGGGAAGCCAGATCTTGCCCAAGTGCTCTGGCTTCAAAGCCTGTGCTCTTTGTGGCTTTGCCGAAGTGATCTGAAATCTAACTGGTTCTCCCTCTGGGTTTCGACAGCTTTCTGTTTATACCTGGGTTAAGAACTTACCAAGTTGCAATATCATTATCTGGTTACAAGTTTGTCTACATTCCTCCCAGCTCCTCCCCTGAGTCCTTGGAGGACGAGAACGATGTCTTATTTTTATTTGTGCCCAGGGTCCAAGGTTGAGTCTGGCATGTGCTAAGTGGTAAACGTTAGTTAAAATGCATAGTCCTCCTCACTTTCCAGATGAGGAAACTGAGGCCCAGAGAGCTGACAGAGGACTGTCGAGAACCGAGGTGGCATGGCTTGAAGTCTGGTACTTGTTCTGCTCTGCCTCACTGCTCTTCTTGCTAACTTGGGAGTTGTGGGCCAGGTCATGGGGATCTAGAGCAGGCTGGCATTGCCTATCCACCATACTGCAACACTGGTCCATGGTTTCTCCCAGAAAGAACATGCATGTCCAAACCCACCCCCAGGAGAGACTGAGAAAAGCACCACTGTGCTGGTCACGCACTCACTTCTGGCACAGATGGGTACAGCTTGGGAAGCAGGTCAGGTTCTAGCCTCACCTGATGAGGCTGAAGATGAACAGATGCCCAGAGCATTGAGGGCTTAAAAATGAAATTCAAAGACTCCTCATCCACTTTTTATTTGCATCAAGATTATTCTAACCCAAATCCTATCAAAGAAAGCAGAAAGATCCTAAACCATGAATTCGCCCCTCCCACGCTTGCTACCCCCATTTTGTTAGTTTCTTAACGTGAACAGATTACCTTACTCTTGGGTTTCAACTAGCTGTTTTCATCCTTATCCTTAGTTGTAAAGAAAAAACTCCCATTTAACCTAAATGCAAATAGCCAGGAAAAGAAAAGGAGGGTCAGGTTCCATGTTATTTTATAAAGCATTACAAAATGACAAACAAGATAATACTGGGAATTTAAAAAAAATTCAATTAACTTCAAGAGCTATCACAAGGTTTGTGTAATTCATAGGAACAATGTAATGAAATGTTTATAGTGTCACTAGAGTCCTGGCAAAGATTGAAGTACCTGTGACAGATCAAAGAAAAAATAAAACATTATTCCATTTAGGTGCAGTGTTATGGATATCCTGGTACTATAGCTCTTTGGAAATGATTAACTCCATGTGGTATTGATGGTAATGATCCATTTTCTGGCATAATGAATTAGGCATTCCTCCATTGTTCCATAGCTTGGCTTCATTGTGTGTGTATATATCAATGGCAACTTTTTTTATATACCTTTCAGTTTCACACTCACAAAATAAAAACACACCCCCTAGGCTGCCAGAGAAGAAAACATGAGCCTCAGAGCTGATTTATTTTTATCACCCACATAACCCTATTTCCTACGTGAGACATGAAACCACATCAAAGAAGGAATAGTTTTTACTTCTCTGAGCTGGGAGGGAAATTGCTATTCTTCAAGCTGGGAGCTCAGAAACCTTTGTTGAAAAGTGTCCATTTTTATCTAACACGTTCTTCTTCTGAAAGGCCCTTGTTTTTAAGGAATAATTCTTCCAACAAAGACTCACCCATCAGGCATCCCACTCATGATTAGTTAATCTGTGAAAATGAGAAACAACCTCTAAGTGGTTGACATACTTTAGCAGCAAGAGATAATCACAGCCTCTAATTTCTGAAAAGCATAATTGTCTTGCGACCGTGGGCTTTTTAAATGGCAGGAACACCAAAAGAAATGAGGTAAAAAGATAGAAAAGTCAGCTATGTGATATTTTTATCAAATGCCATCGTACTGCCTCTCTCTTCGGTTTGTTTGTTTGTTCGTTTGTTTGTTTTTAATGAAGAGTGGCCTCTAAGACTAATCTGTTTAACATCATGGCGTTTCCTTGTACTACACTGAACCATCTCCATGGCATTTAAAAGTGAAATATTTGCTTCAGAAATAAAAAAAAAAAGATAGGCAATAAAATGTAGCTGTAAACAAGGCTTCATGGCTTTATTTTTCATAGATAAATACACAATAAGTTCAAAGTAGAAATGAATTCCTAAAGCAATACTCCACTAATCTGTATTCGGGGGTCTCGAGCGTATTATCTGTAATTTACAACCAATTTAAATGGCATTAACAGCCTTTCCCTTATGGGAATTTAAATTTGCATCCTACCATTGAATTAAACAGTGATTGCGTATTTTCTATAGGGGACGAAATGCTCTTTGATGCTTGTTTTGAATAATGAAGCATCTATTCATGCACAGGGTGTGATGTGCTCCTTTGTCCTCAATGTAATTGAAGCAAAATGTGAGTTAAAGGGATTTTTTCCTCCTAGCCAAAGGTTTGTTGATTGGTGCTTATTTTCATCTATTCAAAATTAAGAAAACAGTCATCTCTCACTACACGGGGAAATCATTTACCTAAAAAGGCCCTGAATGAAGGGAGGTCAAGTTTTGCCTTATTTGATCTTTTCAAAGATGAAGGAGGATGTCAGAAAATATTGCAAACTAACCTTTGGGGGAATGGTATTATGGAATTAATTTGCAGTTCTTCTCTAGGACCAGAACAAGAAAATTAGAAGTGGAGGATAGGGCAAAGGGAGAATATGGCCTGTTTCCAAAGTAAGAAACTTAAATAACCTTGCTCACCTACACCAAACTATACTGAAATAGAAAGGGCAGAGTCTTTGCAAATCACAGAATCTGAAGCCTTAGAAGTCCAGGGATGGCAAATTCATGCGGATTGCCCTCAGTTTCCACAGTGTGCCTATGCCAGACATCAGTAATCAGTGATAGCCCTCGTGGCCATTAAATGAAGATAGAACCTCATAATCAAGTGCTCTGGGCAGCCAATAGCAATTGATGTGTTGGCACTAGAGGTGAAACCTATTTGCCATTTTAGTTAATCCACCTATCTCACTTAATACATGGTTCCAGAAAGATGAAGTGGCCCTCCAAAAGTCTGAGAGGTGGCCACTGGCAAAGCTAGAACTAAGAATATACCACCACTGGTGCTCCATAGTGTGCTTTCCACCCACTACCACCAGCATGCACTCTGTGCCTGTCTTGTGCACACTTATATCCCCATAACAGAGCAACTAGTAGATGCTCAATAATTACCTTTTTCTGAGACAGAGTCTCACTCTGTTGCCCAGGCTGGAGTGCAGTGGTGCAATCACAGCTCACTGTAGTCTTGACCTCCAAGGCTCAAGCCAACCTCCCACCTCAGCCTCCAGAGCAGCTAGGACTATAGGCATGTGCCACCATGCCTGGCTTATGGTGGCACAGGCCTGTAGTAAAGGCGGGGTTTTGCCTTGTTGCTCAGGCTGAATAATTACCTTTTTTTAAGTGAATGAATGAATGAATGAGAGATATATACATTGTTAAACCTTTATCGTTATGGAAAAGAAGATCCTTCTTTGAAAAACAATAACTCCCCTGGCCTTGCTGGACCATAATTAGGCAAGATCCAAACAAAAATTTAACATCTGTTTACCTAAACCTTTATTTAGAGATAGGGAAAATCACAAGTGTCAATAACATCAACAAAAACAAAGCATTTAGAGAAGAAGTAGTTTTTCTTCTTAAAGCACTCTCATAATATCTATTAATACGCAACTGATACAAAATTGCAAATCATTATTCAGCAAAGAAGTTTCTGAAAAGCTCACCCTGCTGCATTCGAAGTAAAATCATATTGAAAAATGACATAACTCAGATTTTCCAATAGTTGAAATGGGGTTTTCTGTTTATTATTCTGTATTAATATTCTAGTTATTTCCCTTAAGGAAGTAAAACACTAAGTGTTCTTGACACTTGTCTATGGAGTATCAGAGTTCCTTGATATTAAATGTCGGCCCTTCTCCCTTACAATAGGACCCACCTGCAAGATTTAGAATGTTAGGAAATAGGAAAGCTCAACTGTCCCACATTCTTAACATAAGTGTATCCCAGTGATTCAACCAGGGTCAGTTTTGCTCCCCCATACACATTTGGCAATGTCTCAAGACATTTTGGTTGTCTCAATTGGGTGCTGCTGGCATCTATGGGTGGGAGCCAGGGATGCTGCTGAGCATTCTACAGTGTTCGGAACAATTCCACAACAAAGAGTCATCCAGCTCCAAAGGTCAATAGTGCCAAGGTTGAGTAACCCTGGTATCTCCCTTCCACCCAAAAGTGTTCATATCAGTTCAGCCCTATGTTGAATTAGAATGTGTCTCTCTGTGCCAAATAAAACATTTAACTGTGGTTGCCCAAATGTGTCTTTTTTTTTTTTTTTCACTAAGATGTCCAGTTTCCTTATGCAGAGGGAAAGGTAGCTACTGATATTCCTCTTGTTTGCTTTCGCACAGAGCCAAACTAAAGACTAGCTCAGGTAGCTCAATGCTGGATTTTTCCAGAGCATAGAGAAAGGTTTCAGGAGCTCCCCAGTGTCTCAGCTATGCTCACCTAGTGTACTGCACGTTGGCCTAATAAAAGCAGGCAGGGGCATGAACTGCCCACTACTGCATATATCTGAGGATGGCCTCCCTTTGAAGCTTTATGACCTAGTTGCTCAGAAAAAAGAGTGGAATGTGTGCGTGTTTGTTTCTTTGTGTTGTTGTTGTTGTTCTGCTAGTTCTAGCTTCACTGCTAATTTGCCTTATGATTCTAGAGATCATGAGCCTGTCACTTACATTTTTTTGCATTTCAACCTTTTTGTCTGTACGTAGCACTCCTGTCCTTCTGTTGAAAGATAAAAAGGGAACAGTAAGAGCCAAGATATTTAAAGTGCTACTTAGGGGGGTAGCATTTCTAACTCCACAGGGGAAGGGACTATGTCTTGTTTATCGTATAGCTTCAGAACCCAGCTGGTGGTTCCGTGCTTAGCACAAAGTAGATCATTAACAGATAAGTATTGTCAATACATTGGAAACTGTTTGACAGCCTCTAGAAAGCTGAACAGTGATCTATCAATTCCACTTCCAGGTATGTACGCAAGAGAAATGGAAGAGAAATGGGTGCACATATCCTGCAAAGGATGACTACAAAAAGGTTCATAGCAGCTTAATTAACAATAGCCAAAAACTACGAAGAAACTCACCTGTCTATTGACAGGAGAATGGATAAAGAGTGTTCATACAATGGAATGATGTAGTGCAATAAAAAAGATCCAACTATTTCACATAAAATGCTCAGTAAGTGTCTGGTAGTGAGGGATGCTCAGTAATGATAAAAAAAATGGTAATAATTATTGAGCATCCACCTTGTGCCAGGCACTTTTAGATGCTTTACACATACTGATTCATCTAATCCTAAGAACAACACCAGGGATAGTTTCTATTCCTGTTCTCATTTTACAGAAGAAAATAGTGAGGTACAGAGAGGATCAGTAAATTTTTGTTGAACTAAACTGAAGTAAAAATACATTCTGACATTTTTTAAGTACCATGTCTTGGTTCAGGCTGCTATAACAAAGTGCCATACAATGGGGGGCTTACAAACAACAGAAATTTATGTCTCCCAGTTCTGGAGGCTAGAAATCTGAGATCAGGGTGCCAGCATGATCAGGTTCTGGTGAGGGCTTTCTTCAGGGTTGCAGACCAGAAACTCCACCCTCATGACCAAATCACCTCCCAAAGGCCCCACCTCTTAATACCATCACGTTGGAGGTTAGAGTTTCACATGTGAATTTCGTGGAGGAGCACATTTAGTCTATTGCATACCGTATCAAAAGCAATATTGAGAAAATGAAAAGCAATGCCTTGTATTTAGTCTAGACAAATCATTTCTGTCCTATGTTTTGGTGCTTTATTCCAGGCCATTCCATCTTATTCTTTTAACCAATATTGTTTTTCACCAAAGCCTGTGTAGATGTTGTTCTTGTGGTTAAGGGTTGCTATTCAAAAAGCTCCAGCTAATGGAAACTTGGGGAGGCATTTTGTCTTTGATTTGCTTTGCCTGTCCGGCTACAGGAGGGCAGTCAGTGAATGAAAACTTGAGAGTGAAGTTTTAGGGCAAGCCAGAGGAGCTTGGAGACCTTAGCTTCACTGCTTGTTAAATAATATAGGCCACACCCCTCCAGAGCTGCCAGGGCTGGGGATACGGGGCGATGGAAAGGGCTACTCCTCCCATCCTGCAGTTTCAAGAACTCCACAGTTAATATGGTGTTCATGTTTTACAGTGGGTCCATGGAAATATTGTTAAGGTGGTCTTATGCTTTGTAGTGACCCAAGTGTTTATCTTGTTTGCTGTGATCGTGTTGAGGAAATTGATAGTTGGAGGGGAAGGTGTCACTAGAGTGACGAGCAACTGTGGTCGTGTCTCAATTGTTCGCATCCAATGCTTCTGCACATTATTTTGGACTCACAAAAATTTCTCCATTAGGAAAGGAAATAAGTACAGGTGATGTAGGAATACTCACCTCCATGTCATATTGAAAAAAGGGTTCATTGGTAATGACAAATTTGTGTATGTCTGTGTGTGTGAGAGAGAGAGAATTGGAAAGAGAGAGAGAGAAAGATAGAAAGCGAGAGAGCATGGAGAGTTGCAATCACATCCTAGCAGCAAGTTTATTTATGGTTTGCTCAAGGTTTATTCCCCCACCCCCATCCCTGCATCCCCAGTGGAAGGATTCTGAGAGGACAGAGATGGGACTATTAAATCCCCTCATCTGCACCTCATCTCAGCTCTCAGCAGCAGCTGGTGCCTCCCCTCTGTGGATGTCGTTACCTGGGTAGCCGAGAGTTCTGGCAGAGGTGATGGATAGAGTGAGCCCTGCTTTCTTGGAGGCTATTCTGGACACCAGTTTAGAGTAGCTCAAAAATTCAGTAAGTTCAATGCTTTTAGCTGGACTTAACTGACTGTGTTTTGTGGGGCCTAAAAAAGTGTCCCCAAAATTCTGAAAAGGATCCATTTGAGAGCAGAAGGTAATGACTTGGTCTTGAAATTCTGAGGACATTGAGTAGAAATTCCCTTTCTCTAAGAAACACTTCTAAGACTTTTTAAGTTAAAGAATGTTTTTCATATGCATACGAATTAATTTTTTTTAGTAATTGACCCTTTTAAATTATACAAGTAATAGAGGGTCACTGTAAAACTTATAAAATTGAGAAGTAAAAAGAATAAGTTAAAATAACACTCAAAGAACCAAAATTTGGTATATAACCTTTCAGTTTTCCATGTGTATATGTGTGTATTTCAATAATTATTTTTCTTAAATGGAATACTAATGCACTTAGTGATTTGTAAACTTTTTTAAATTAAATAGTATCACTTGAATACATTTCCAAGTTAATAAATAACCTTCTACACTGTTATTTAATACAGTTGCCTAGTATTCCATTGTGTAGTGTACTAGAATTTATTTAACCAATCCGCTTTTGTGAGCATGTTTCTGAAACTGGATGTTTCCAGTTTTCCACTCTCGTAAATAAAACTGTGGTAAAATATTTATTTACAATCACTTATGTGCTCTTATAATTAATCGCTAGAATTGTAATTGATGGGCCAAGAGGCATTTTTAAGGCTTTTGATATGTATTGCTGAATTGCCTTCAGAAAGCCAACATGGGCCCACTCATTCACCAGGAGTGTATGAGAAGAGCCTGTATCCCAAGCACAGAGGGGTTTGTTTAAACAACATTTTAAAAGCCTGCAATTAACTTCCTTTCTATCACTTTTGCCTCATCTTATAATGTCCATGGTTTCTCTCTGTTCTCTACCCACTGCTCTGGTACTCTTAGAAAGCCAAGATAGAGGGTAGAACCCATTAGGGGAACTGGTTTTGGCAAACTCTCAAGGAATTTCAGTTTCATGCTGGAATGAGATGACACAAAGAGCTGCCCATTCATTCTGTGCAAGAGGATATTTACGTTATGTTTTATAACAGTCATAAATGAAAATGGCATTAATCTGCCAAGTTGATGTTTTTAAAAGAGAAAAAGGGAGGAGGTGGTTGACCTACCAGAGAAAGCCCTGTGTCTGCCAGAGCTTTGCTGTGCATATGATTCTAAATAGCAGGGCAAAGGTGATAGAGCCAGCTCAACATTTCTGTCTCTATGGCAACAGCATCCCTTCTTTGAGCCTCTGACACAGCAGCAGGGACCAAAATACACTCCTTGCGCACAGTTACACTGCAACTTAGGAGTTTCTTTTTATTCCTTGTAAATGCACAATTTAAAAATATGAGCAAGGACAGAGAAAGAGCAAATCATGCACAGCTAGAGAAGAGTCTTTTAAATGACTAAGCAAAGAAAATGAACATCCAAAGGGTTTCATGAAGTCTGCAGCCTACATTCACCATGTACAGAGAGGCTGAAAACCTTTCTCCTATGTAAGTAGAAAAAAAAGCTATGCATACATATAAGTGTGTGCATTAACATTTTCAAGTGTCCTTTCCCTAAATTTTTAATACAGGTCAGTCTTGCTATCAGCATATCCACTTAGCTCAGGTTATGATTTAATCAATTTAAGCAGCTATCCAGTTTACATAGCTGGAAGCTCCTCATATGCTAAACCCAACAAAACTTCAAAAAAACTCCATTAGCCTTGAGTGTGGAGGGCGTAATTGGCCCCCTTTAAGGTCAGCTCAAACCTACAAGTGGACACTAATGCATACTTGAATCCTGTTGAGGTCTATCTAGTCTTCTATTTATTTTGAAAAGATCTTGACAATAAAGAAATGCAGACTTGTGATTATAAACTGTTGGATTATTTCCGAGCTGATGCCGGGTGATTAGTATTCAAGAAACCTGAAGTGATCATTTAACTGTTAAAGTTAACACTTAGTTCTTAAGAATGTGTCTCAATAAATGTCAAGGGAATAGATGAATGACAGAAATACCAAGGAAATATAAGATAGACATTTGATAGTTTCCCTATGTGTGTACTTCCACTGAGTGTGCCAAGACCATCTGGTTCAGTGGGTCTCAAACAGGGGCAATCTTGCCTCCCCAGGGAACACTTGACAGTGTACGAAGTATTTTTGGTTGTCACAACTTTGGGGAGGAGAGCTACGCATCTCCTCCTGCGATGCACAGGACAGCTGCATAGCAAATAATGATCTGGCCCCAAATGTCAATAGTACTGAGGTTAAGAAATCCTGCTACAGTCTGATTGTCCATTTGGCTACTTTTGGCCCAGAGGGTTCTGTGGGTAGATTAAATGGTTATAATTTCTGGCTTGTGTATAAAGGTAAAATTCTACTTACCTTACCTGAGCATTAGAATTTTCTTCACTGGTTTTATTGTTACATGATTCCCCCCTTGCTTTAAGCACAGTATGTTCTATTTTATTTTAGGTTAGGACTCCTGAAAGTAAAAACCAATAAACAGAAAATGAGAGGTGGAGCATTAAAAAAAAAAAAGCTCAGGATGCATTCCTTCAAAGAGAGCACCTGCAAGGTGGCTAGCACAGAGGGATGCTCAAAAAACAGTAGCTATTGTTATTTTTCCCTATACTTTTTAACACAAAAACACCATATATAAGATAATGTATTGTGTGCTCACTGCTGAAATAATAATAATAATAATAAACATTTAAGTACTCATTGCCCAACAGCTTTGAAACTTCATTATCCTGCTTTTGTTAATAACTTTCTTGATATTGATATAGATATAGATATATAAATACGCAAATTATTTGGCTTTCCTTGTTCTTGAACTTCATATAAATAACATCATACTGTATGCTAATCTCTATGAATTGTTTATATCACTCAGTAGTATGGTGGGTTTTGGGGGTTTTTTGTTTTTTGGTTTTTGTTTTCTTTTTTTTTTTTTGAGATGATATCTCACTCTCTCACCCAGGCTGGAGAATAGTGGCATGATCTCAGCTCACTGCAACCTCCGCCTCCTGGGTTCAAGCCATTCTCATGCCTCAGCCTCCCAAGTAGCTGAGACCACAGGTGCACCACCACCACACCCAGCTAATTTTTGTATTTTTTTAGTAGAGACAGGGTTTTGTCATGTTGGCCAAGCTGGTCTCCAACTCCTGACCTCAAGCCATCCGCCCACTTCAGCCTCCCAAAGTGCTGGGATTACAAATGTGAGTTACCGCACGCACCCAGCCAATAATATGGTTTTTTTTTTAATGTTCCTCATGTTCATGTGTATAGCTGTAGTTTATTCACTTTAGCTACTAGATGGTATTCTATTGTATGACTATGTCACAATTTATCCATTTTACTGGTGCTGCACATTTGGCTTTGTGGTATTGGTCTATTACAAATTAGGTTGCTATGTATGTTGTTGTACATTTCTCCCAGGGCACATGCACAACGGTTTCTTTAGAGTGTATGCTTGAAGTTAAATTATCAGGCTAAAGGTTTCTGCATTTTAACTTTATTAGGTAATGCCAAATTCTTTTCCAAAGTTTTGTTGTACCAATTTGCACACTTATGAAAAATATGTACTAGTTAGCATTGCTCCAACATATGGAAATAATCAACAACTAATACAGTCATTTTTGAATTTTTCTGTTTTGGTGGGCATGAAATGATATCCACTGTGGTATTAGAAATTAATTAATTAATGGAGTTGAGCAGCATTTCAACTGTTTATAAGTCTTTTGTGTTTCCCTTGTGAAATATTTGTTAATGCCTTTTGTATAATTTCCTATTGGGCTGACATATATTGTAGCAGGCTGACTTCTAAGATGACCTCCAGTGATTCCCACTTCCTAATATTCACGCTCTTGTGTTATCCCCTTCCCTTTAATGTGGACTGGACCTAGTGATGTGCTTCTAACCAATAGAGTATGGCAAAAGTGATGGGATTACTTCCGAGATTAGCATAGGGACTAAACAAGGGAACAGGAAGGAGACCACAGACACAGATACATGCATATTGCAAATTAAGAAGATAAAATGAACTATTCAATATATGATACTGAGGTAATAGTCTGTCTCTAGGGGAAAGAATGGAAACGAATCCCCACCTCACCATACACTATCCAAAATGAACCTCTACATTATTATACACAGTTATATAATAAGTCATGGTATTTGGGCGAGCCAATTCCTCCACTTGGTTTCTCTTCTTTAGGAGCATCTTAGATAGGCTGCAGCATTATTCTTCATGTATATTTTGGAAGCAGTATGCCAAGATCCATCTTGTTGAAATTGTATTCAATTGTATTCAGTTTATAGTTCAATCTGGGGAAGAGTAGACTATTTATCCTATTAAATCCTCCTACCTGTGAACATAGTATGTTCATAGACTTGACTGATTTAGTTTTTCTTTACCATCTTTCAATAGTTTTACAATTTTTTTCATAGAATTATTGTACATGTTAGATTTATTCCTAGGTACCTTATATAGTTTTGTTACCATTATAATTGGTATCTTTTAAAAATTTCTTGCAATTGACTTTCATGTATTCATGGAAGCTCCAAAATTATAATTATAACCAAGAAAAAAACTGATAGATTTTTGCCTAAGTTTCCAGGAATGCATTTGAGGAACTAAATGAAACAAAACTGTAATTAAGTTATAGTCATATTTTAATAATAATTTATATATTCCTATCCCCAGAGTTAATTTAGATATTTTTATATCAAAATGTACAATTAAGAAAAGACATTCTTTTCATTAGTTCTTTATATTTGTCTAATTATTTGAACTTTCTTGTTGTTGCGCTTACATTTACTTCGGTCTGACCAAATTTCCCACCAATGTGAGGAGTTATGATTATTTAATGGCTACTCCAGATGGCATTTTCAGAAGAAAATTTTGTTCTTATTACTTCATTTTTTTCAATTTTCATCAGCTGTTAACATCTCCAAAATTTCATCACAGACATTCTTCAGCGACTCTGCTTTATTACGGGATTACCGGGTTTTATTGATAAATATAAGGAACTGTACAAGGAAAATCATTATATATACATTAAAACAATGTAAAGGTAGGGTTTAAACTACCCACCTAACTTCTCTCCTCCTTAACACCTCTTAACATGTGCAGAAAGATTTAAGAAATATGAGTACTCTGTGCACATGTACACTCATACTTTTTCATCACTTAGTGATTGACTTCAACTGCTGATGTCTATATATAATAAATGAAGATAAATTTATCTTCAAGTAATACTCTTGAGAAGTGTTCATTTCTTTATTTCAAGGCAGAACCATGATGAAAAGATGTCTTTTGGAAGCCTTATCCATTCCAGATGAGGCTGAGGCATGCTCAGCTTGGGGGTGGGTTTCTAAAGAAACAGGAGGTGAGAGGCTAGGTTGAAGTTGGAAATTTTCACCTTAGGGGAACTAAAGACAGCAAGGTGAGGAAAGTTGAATTTTGAGGTCCAAGAAGCAGGGAAGGGAGACCAGAAGATTGTTCAAACTAGAGGAGCCCATTTGGGTCTCAGAGTTGGAGAACAAGGCTAGAGATTCATGGCTGGGGGAACAAGAGCCCAAGTGTCTGCAAGGTACCATCAAGACATGCACTAAACCCCAAACCAAGCTCTTTTGCATGGCTGCTAGAGAAGTCCAGGTCCTATTGGCTGAATACTCCAGGGCATTCAGTGAGCTGAGAATGACCCTCAGACATGAAATCTGAAACACAAAGAGGGCCTCAGTCATTCATGCTGCTGGGGCCCTGGCTGCCCCACCTTCCATGACTCCACCCCTTTCTCACCCTGCCCTGTGATGTGCAGCCCCAGCTTCCTGACCTTGCTGGGTCTGTTTCCAGCCCTTACCACTCATCAGTACTGTTTGCTCCTTAGTCAGATGGGCTGAGGTGCTTTGTATTCTTCTTCCTGTCCATATACGATTCCCTTATATCTATTCCCTGTACCCTCTTGAAGCATCACCTACTAACCATAATAGTTAAGGGAAGCTATGGTGCTATTACAAAGAGCCTCCAAAAATTCAGTGGCTTAAAGAATCAAAGACGTTTTTTTTTCTCTTAGTATTGGTCTAAAGTAAGGGTTCTATATTCATAGGCAGCACTGCCTCATGGAGTCATTCAAGGACCCAGGTTCCTTCCACTTTGTAGCTCCCCAAAACCTTAGGGTAAGAATTCTTAACCTAGGGTTCATGGATAGAACTCAAGAGGTTCATGAACACTGATGGAAAAAAAAATCACCATTATTTTAACTAACCTTATATGCATTTCCCATTGCTGCTGTGACGAATGGCCACAAACTTAATGGCTTTAAATAACACAGATCTATTCCCTTATAGTTTTGGAGGTCGGAAGTCTTAAATCAGTTTCACTGGGATAAAGTCAAGGTATTGGCAAGGCTGTGTTCCTTCTGGAAGCTCTGGCAGTTAATCAATTTCCCTGCCTTTTCCTCCTTCTGGAGTCTTCCTTGCATTCCTTGGCTTGTGACCCTTCTTCCATCTTCAAAACTGGCAACATAGCATCCATCATTACATTGCCTTATCCTCATCTATTATCCAATCTCCCTCTGTCTTCCTCTTATAAGGACACTTGTGATAACATTTAGGCCCCACCTGAATAATCCAGGATAATTTTCCCATCTCAAAATCCTTAACTTAATCACCTCTGCTGTAAAGTCCCTTTTGCCATGTAAGGTAACAGTCACAGGTTCTGGGATTCACACATGGATGTCTTTGGGGGCTATTATTCAGCCTACCACAAATCTCTAATTGAAATTTAGCATTTCCTTACATTAGAAATGTAGACAACAACCTATAGTAGGAGTACCTGGAACTTTGTCACCAATAGAAATCACAGACAATAAATGTTCATTTGAATTGAAAAAAAAAGAGAAATCACAGATATTTTCCATATTATATTACAGTTTTTGCAGATATCTCAAATTTATGTAAGTCATTATACCTACCACCAGATCTTGTTAATGCATTACTAAAACTGTACATATAGTGCTGTTTCAAAGATTTGTGGTTTATTTGTTTTTGTTTTCATTTTTGAGACAGGGTCTCACTCTGTTGCCCAGGCTGGAGTGCAGTAGCACAATCTCAGCTCACTGGAACCTCCACCTCCTGAGTTTAAGTGATTCTCCCACCTCAGCCTCCCAAGTAGCTGGGATTACTGGTGCATGCCACCACACCCAGCTAATTTTTTGTATTTTTAGTACAGACGGGATTTCACCATGTTGGCCAGGCTAGTCTCAAACTCCTGACCTCAAGTGATCTGCCTGTCTTGGCCTCCCAAACTGCTGGGATTACAGGTGTCAGCCACTGCACCAGGCCAATACAAATGGTTTTTAAAAATAATCTTATATATTTTACTGTATGCATTCGAAACTTAAATCTGAGACTCTTTAGCTTCATCAAACTGGCATAAAACCTCTGCCCTAAAGCACTGTCTCCATCAGCATGGTTGATCCGAGGTTGAAGCCTTATCTGGCTCTGGCCTGAAGGAAGCAGGACAAGAGCATGGAAGAGGCCTACTCAATGTCTTTAGGCCTAGGCATGGAAGGACCACACATTATTTCTATTCACGTTTTATTTTCAGGAACCTCAACATGCATCAGAATACCCTGCAGGTCTTGTTAAAATGCATACTGTGAGCTCTGCCCCCAGAGTTTCTGATTCACTGAATATGGGAATTTGTATATCTAACAAGCTCTCAGGTGATGCTGATGTTTTTAGAACCACTGGTCTAGAGCATAGTCACATGGTCACAAATAACTGCAAACAATACTAGCAAACGTGTCGCCAGGCAATTATGTTTAAATACACTGTAGCTGTACAGAGGGGCTCAAATGTAAGAACATGACAGAGGCCTTCGATGTGTCTGGCAACAACTTTATTACTGTGGAAGAAGGGGACAATGGATTTTGGTGGCCAGCTGTTAGCCTCCGCCACAATGCCCTTCTGCCCTGACCTGACTTCCCATGACTTATGTAGAAATCCGGGGCTCCTACTCAGATGCAGATGTGCAGAGTGCATTTGTACAAGGAAAGGAAAAGGGATCTTTGATCCCATTCTGCTAACTCTGAGTGGTTGGAAGTATCAAGGAACATCTCTTTTGAGGCTTTCTGGGTGTATATTCATTCTCCATGCTGGGTCCCAGGAATGGTGTAGAAATATACAGTTCTTGAAGAAAGTTCAGTTATCTTCATTGGGTGGTATGCCTGTGTAGCGTAAGTGGGAAATCAGAATTCCACGTTGCTGTCATGAATATAGGAAAACTCAGTAATCACTTGGTGCAACAAAATAGTAAAAATAGTAAAGATGAATGGGTGCAGGCTGCCAGTAAGACAGTATAACATAACCAAGTGGGTTAATATTATTGTGGGCAGGCTTCTACCATTCCCAAGGAAAGCTATTCTTTACATTAAGTATAAGGTAACTTGTAAGATCTTCTCTTACAGAGTCCCGTGTGCTGCCCAGGCACCACTCTGATTCAGCCAGATGATCTGTCTTGAGTGACTGTGCTGAGTGCTATGGTATTGTAAACAGACTTCCAGGAATACCAACCTGGCAAGGATCACTGTGGGAGTCTGAGAAAGTCTGAAATCTTAGCCTTTACATTGCCATCTACGAAATGTAGATTGTATCTTCAATCCTGAACAAGAGGCAATTTTGTCTATCAGAAAAGAGCACGGGTTCTAAAGTCAGGCTACCTGAGTTCAAACTGTAGAAACTTGGGGGCTTGGGTGAATCTCCTAGAGCCTCAGTTTCTTCATCTAAAAAATGGAGAGAATTATACTAATCTTATAGCACATGCGTAGAGACTTTAATTGCACTGGCGAAAATGGCTAGCCCAATGGCAATCCATTGCAGAAACTCAATTATCATCAATGCTTTTCGTTTGCTCCTATGCATTTCTTGTTTGGGGAGAGTTTGGGTATGCCATCACTGTAAGTGGAAGCAGAGTAATGTTATTGAAATCAGTGGTATAATAAAAAATGTATTTAGAGCAGCAAGGGATTAACTATGAAAATAATAGCCTGAATATAGGTATTAAGCCCAAAATAATGGGGGCGGGGGGAAGAACTTGTGCTAGGTTCTAAAGGCCTACTTACTAAGAAGGAAATATATCTTTTTACTCCCTGGTGTAAGTTATTTTCCTTAAAGACTTAGACAAGGACTGTAAAGCTGGGGTTCTATTAGATAAAGCCCAGAGCTCTCCCTGTTCTTTCCTTAAACCAAATCTAATAGCTGGGCTTTGTCTGAGAAACTTCGTGAACTATAATTGTAATTTCAAGAATCACTATACCAAGAGCCCTTGAAACCACTAATGGAGAGAAATCTGGGTCTTTTTCTACATCCTGTGATTTCCTTTCAGATCATTAAAGTTCTCTATAGAAATGGCAAACAGTTGTTTTGATTTGGATAGCAATGGCCCCAGACCAAAGGCTAGAAAGCACTCATCTGTATACAGCCTGGCTAGAAATAGACATATGAGCGAGAAATTTTTCCCCAACAAGCTCTTTAAGCTGCCTATGCTGGAGCTGATTAATTCAGGAGAGCAGAGTCCAGGAAAATGCTTTTCATTCCAGTTAAGCTCTTTCTGGCTCTCTCTTCCTTCCTCAATTCAAGGAGTCTGAAGATGCATTTTCTAAAGCATCCTAGTCTCTCTTATACAGAGAGGGGTGTTAAATCCCACAAAAGGAATGCAGACATGGTTCCTTCTAGATGGCTTTTGACGCAAAGGGGTTTCTATCTTTCAGTGTCCTCGAAAGGTGAGGAAAATTCTGATTTCTGTAACATTGGAGATAAATCAGAGCAGACAGCTATCAGTGGTGGGAAACTGGAACAACAACAACAAAAAACAAGAAATGTTTCTGGGGCAACACCATTTTCCGTCTGTGTATTCTTCCTAGACTAATCTCTCCCTTAGTTGCCCAGTTTGAGTAATAATATGTCCTTGGTGCTGAGCAAAGCAGGTTGATTTCATCTATTCTGCTTTCTGTGTTCCTCTTGTGGGGAGGGCAAGACTGTAAAATGATGGTGGGGATAGTAAATTTTTGTTATTTATTGGCAGGACTTTCTATGCCCTTTACTAAAAGCTCTCATTGGGAGAAGCCAGCAGCAAGGAGGAAAGTATTTCTTTAGCATAGTTGTCATTTTTCAGTGAATGGAATGTAGTTAAAAAGGTCATAAATGCTGCCTCTACCTATTCACAGAGTAGTATCATCACAAGTGCCAATATTTCATATTGAAGTTAAAATCAATTAATTCTTTAAAATTTCCTGTTTTTGAGTAAGTGGTTACAATGGGGCTACCTTTCAGGATTATATTAATTGGAGTATCTGCAATCTTTAGAGGCTCATTTAAAAATTACCACCCTGAGGATCAAAGTGGTGGCATGTGCTTCCCAAATTATTGAAAGCTGGTTTCATGTCTGGCTGTAAAAATACAAATCGGCCTTTTTTACTCAGTGTCGGCTCAGAGAGCAGCTGCTTATGATATAAAAAATATCACGGCTGGCTGGTTTACAGCATCTACTATAAATACAGGAATATTTTATTCATCTGAAGAAAACCATGAATTGGATCAAGACAAGTTAGAAAAAAAGGCAGAAGTTTAGATTTTAGTGAGTGTCACAAAACATGGACCAGGTGGAGGATTTGAGCCCTGAGCTGCTTTTCTGGCAGAAAACCCTCTCCCTCTCCACCCGTCTCCCCTCCCCTGCCTCTTGGGATTCTCCAGAGTTACCATCTTCCCAAAGAATTCATCTTCTCCAATAGATATTGTGTCTGGGGACTTGTGGGGAGAATAGGAGCCGTTGTGATGTGTGGAATAATTGAAATCATGGAATTTCCATACTATCAAGACTACTAAAAGCCACCTGAGATATTATCCAGTAGAAACCACTTCATGGCAGAAGCACCATGTCAGAATTCCACAGACAAGGTGAACAGCCAATTCTAAGGTCAGAAAAGTCACTAGATTATAAGATGAGCCATTTCATGTCAGGATATTAGACTATTTGTGTATTAGAATAAAATGCAATTCTCTATAACTTTCTTGCATTGCATTGGCTTTGCTGCACATAATTAGTGGTTTATTTATATTCTGCCTCATTCTATGAAGGGTTTGAGGCATTTTGCAAAAATAAAATGTACACAGTAGCCAAAAAGAGAAAAAGAAAAAGTAGAGAGAATCAGGTAAAGAGATGATGAGGGTTAGAGAACCATACAGCCAGGAGCCATATTCAAACCAGAAATGTATTTTATATGGTCATTTACAGTTGTTGAAGGTGGCCTGAAATATGGCTCTGTATTTCCTAACAATCAGAGTGTGTTTTCTACACTGAAATGTAGGCTCCATGAGAGCAAGTATATGTGTCTGTTTTGTTCCCTGCTGTGTTCCCCGGGACCTAGACTAGTGACTGGCACTTAGCAGGTGCCAGTATTAGTATGCATTGAATGAATGTTGAATGAAAAAAGAAAACGCAATCAACTATAAGATTTCAAATATTTGGTAAGATTAAAAAGAGTAAATTGTTCTGAAGAAGCAATTTCTGGAAAGCAAACTTGAGAATCAATTCCTCTGAATCCTCAAGTAGAGAACAGAAAGTCATGTAGTGAATGACATCCTTGACAATTTCCCCATAATCGGTAAAAGAATGAATTTTCTCCACTATTTTTTGTAATGGTACTCGGCATCGGCAGAAGGTATAAGGCTGAAGTGCTGTTCAGTGGAAAGGAATTCTGCAAGATGACAAATAATGAAATACAAGTCATTAAGGTTGTAACTCCAAGCTTTTCGAGGTACATGTATACATCCCCAGAGGGTTGTGTCTCTGTAGGAGATGAGCAAAGAGAAGAGCTTATGGGGTATGCAGCCACAGATTAAGCATGGCACATCATCCCAGGGTGTAAAATTTACTGGAAGATGGGAGGAGAGAGGGAAAGCAAGTAAATAGGTTAGTTCACAATTTCAGCCCTGGCTATTCAAACTGTGCATAGACCTTTATCCAGGTGCCTGGAGGCTTCCTAGAAATTCAGAATCTCAATCTCTCCCCAAGACCTCCTGAACTGAAACCTGCATTTTAACTAGATACCCAGGGGATTCATATGCATCGAAGTTTAAGAAGCACCTATTTAATCCATTGTTTGTAAATTCACAGAGACATGAATCCATTGTGGAATAAAATGTAAAGTTTACATAACTTTTAAAGATAATATGAGAAACTTGAGAGAAATTTCTCACTATTAATTGGTGGTTTGGGGCCACACCTCTGGATGGCGGGAAAGATGTGAGAGCTCAGGCTCTGCTGTCCTTAGTGTAAAGATGGGAGTGTTTGAGAAGCATTACTCTCATTTGCTGACAGCAAAAATGTAAACTTTTCAAGTATTTAAAGTTAATGCTGAAGTCCTCATCATCCTCCCTCCCACCCACCACCTCAAGTTTTTGTTTTATTTTTGTTTTTGTTGTTTTTATTGAATGCAATTCAATAATACACTCTCTGACCTGAATAATGTTCCATATTAGGTGACTGATGGAGGTTTCCTGACAAACTCACTCTCTAGAAACAAAAAGTCTTGATTTGCAGCATTTGCCAATTACAATGGTATAAATACTTTCACCATGGCCCATTTCAAGCTACCAAAGGTTTAACAACGAGCTCACAAAATTCCTCAATATTTAGCAATCTCTAGCAAGCAGGTACCAGCCAGCTCCAACACATCATTGGTTCCAGATTCTTTTTCCACTCTAGCTGCCTGTCTCAGATCCATTGCAGCTTGTCAGCCTGCCATGGTCTAAGTACAATAACCCAGACAGAGTCTGGTAGGTACCAAGTACAATGGAATTAGCCTTCTCATTATACTGTAATTAATGTAGTCCAAGATCACATTCAACACTTGGCAGCCATACACACTTTTGGCTCATGACGAGTTTACAATAAATTAAAGGTCCTAAGACTCCCCCCAACCACCACTACACTAATGTTAATCTATGTCTCTTTCATACTGCTCTCGCAGAATTTAATTTTTAAACAAAAGTACATGCATTTACATGCATCCTTATTGCATTTAAGCTTGTTCATTTTAACTGTTCATTATAGCTTGCTGGGAACCCTCTGAATTCTGAGTCTGCCATTGGCCACTGAATCTACTCATCTCTATCCTGCATCTCCTACAAACTTGCTGAGATTTCATCATAAGTGCTTATTATAGCCTTTGAGAAAAAGTAGAATAGGAAAGGGTTAAGGAGAAGGTCCTCACAACAGTATTGAAGCTCTCCCTCAAAGATGACATTCAAGATCAAGCAGAATTCATACACCTATTCTATCACTCAGACCACATTCTTGGCTTCTCATCCACAAAATGTCATAATAGCCCTATCAAATACCTTGTTGAGATCCAGATACACAATATCTAAGCATTCTTCTTACTGACAATTTTATTAACAGTATCCAATGAAAGGGAAAGGGGGATTGAGTTTGGTTTTAGAAGGATTTCTTAATAATCATCACTTTCCATTTCAAGTGCTTCCAAATCAACTAGTTAGTAATACACTTATAATTTTTCCAAGGACCAATGCCCAGCTCAATGGCCTGAACTATGGTGTTTTTACTCATTACTGGAAGGTTTCACTATTGTGAAAATGAACATAAGATTATTCCCAGTCGTAGGAAGAGAGGATGGAAGGGCAGCAAACTAGGCAGATACTGAAATCTTTAACCTGTGAGCAACTGAATGCCATGCCAATTCAGAAAGTCAGATTCCAGAGTCAGACTACCTAGCTCAAATCCTGGCTTCACCACCTACTAACTATATATCTTTAGGCAAGTTCTTAACTTCTCTGTGCCTCTGTTCCCTCATCTGAAAAGTGAGGAGAGTTTTAGTTCATATCTTATAAAGTTGTTATGAAGAATCAACCAGTCAACATATGTAAAACACGCAGGACCAGAATCTAGCACCTAGTAAGTTCTATGTTTGCTGCTAGTACCATGGCCTTTTCAAGTCGGAAAATCCAGACATGCCAATTCTCCAGCATCTCTTCCCTTCTCCATTATTTTCCTGGTAACCAATTGTGGTCCTATTATCTCATCTGCATGTTCTTTCAGTGACCCCAGATATAACTTGCCCAGGCTTTGACATTTTAAATTATTCAAAACAATTAGGGGCTTTAAAAATATTGCTTAATATTTCTACACTTTATTCTTAAGTAGTTGAAGGCCTTGTACCAGAATACTGCTGAAGCCCCACATAAGACTTTGTCTTTGCTCTTCTTGCTCCTGTTTTAAGATGGCTTTTCTTAATGAAAACTGCAGAAGCAAAATAAAATTGAGATTTGGGGTAAGCTGTCAATAAGATTTCAGGGAAAAAAAAGAAATAGAAAAATTCTCAAAGTAGTGAAAAGTAGCCTTAAGAAGTAATTTAAAGATCTGGCTTCTAGTCTTGCTTTCTGACACAGCAGTTTGATTGCAGCAAATGGCTTAACTCTTCTGAATGTTGGGTCCTTATTTGTCAGAGAGAGGTATTGAGTAGGATATTCTCCATGCTTGCTCTGTCCAATATGCTAGTAACTAGCCACGTGTGCTATTGAATGCTTGAAATGTGGCTAGTATGAATTGAGATGGCCGTAAGTGCACAATACATATCATATCTTGAAGAATTAATACCAAAAAGAATATAAACTATCTCATTAATGTTGTTTATGTTGATTACATGTGAAATGAGAATGTCTTGGACATATTGCATTAAATAATATATGCTTTTAAAATTTGCTTCCCCTGTTTTTTTCCACTTTTTAGAATGTGGCTACTGGAAAATTGTAAATTGCATTATATGTGCAATTATTGTAAATTGTAAATTGCATTATAATGTGGCTTGCATTATATTTCCATTGGCCAGCACTGTTCAATGGTATCTCTCTGTCCCAACCATATTATTCTGTAATATTCTGATTGTCTTGCATTGGTGATATTTTCCAAAGTCTGAGATGTCTATCAGTGAGAAGAGACACAGACAGCAAAATTTCTAGTGACATTCTTGAATGATTTCCCTCCTTTACTGCAGCCTGGGCAGGTAAGACTGACCTAGTTCCTGAAGGTGAATTACTAAAAACAACGCAGTAAAATCGCTGTTATGTTGCCCATTGCACAGAAATGTCAGCTGTTCCTTACTGTAACTCATTCCTACCCCAACTTTCAAGAGAATGTAGTAAAGACATTTACAATTTAAATTCCCAGTGAGGAATTGTTCAAACTACTTGAAAAATATCTTACAGTTTATATCCTGACTCTCATTCTGGACCACTTACAAGAGGATGAAAAATTTGCGCTTTCATGTTGGTAGCTTGAATGCATTACAATGGTCCTAAAAACAGATAGAGACCATTTATTTTTAGTGACACCTATAGAACACGTTCATTTCCCTTCCAGGTAATCTTACACGGCCAAAGTTAACTTATAGTGAAGAGGAGTGTTTAGCTTTCTTTGCAAAGAAATTCCTGCCAAAACCAGTGAGGAAATTAGTGGAGAAGATCAGTAACATCAAACAAGTTAAACAACAGTGAGAATGAGAATGAAAGTGAGGATGAGGACAAGAATGTGTGTGTGTGTTTGTTTGTATCTGTGTGTGTGTGAGAGAGAGAGGGAGAGAGAGAGAATCTACACTTTAAAGAGCACTAAAATTTCAAAACATACTAGAAACATACTCAAAATAATACAGATAGGTATAAACCTGAATTCTCAGGGGGTTAATCCAGTGTCTTTGATTTATAATCCCAAAGAAATAATTTGTTAAAATGTGAACTCCCATCTTCAACTTACATGCCTGAGGTCACAGGACCTGAGACTTTGGGTTTATTGTTGACATTATGAATATGCAATCAAGATACTTTACATCCTGACTCTTAATAAATGCTTTTTCCTTAATTTACTTTAAGCCTGTTACCAAAATTTGTTGGACCCAGAGCATAGTAAAGTAGGACTATATTACAAAAAAGTAATATTTCCAAGAAGAGAGAAATGAAAAACACAAACACAAAAGCTGTCCTTTAAAACACTAGACATTAAGAATATTCTACAATGAACCTATAAGTTTCTATTAAATCACCATCTTGACAACCAAAATTTATGCATCCAAATGCATAACAGACATTACATACTATTTTGGAATATTTTCACCCCTGTAGCTATGAATGATGAGCGTGCAGGGAGAAATAATGTCACAGCAGCCAGTAATATATAGGTTTGGGTCATAAAACAAAAAATCAAAACAATTTCTTGGTTTCCCCAAATAGAAGGCATTCTGTTTTTGCTTCTGGGTAGGGGATAAAAGTTAAAATGGAGGCTGGGCGCGGTGGCTCACGCTTGTAATCCCAGCACTTTGGGAGGCCGAGGCGGGCGGATCACGAGGTCAGGAGATCGAGACCATCCTGGCTAACACGGTGAAACCCCGTCTCTACTAAAAATACAAAAAAATTAGCCGGGCGTGGTGGCGGGCGCCTGTAGTCCCAGCTACTCGGGAGGCTGAGGCAGGAGAATGGCGTGAACCTGGGAGGCGGAGCTTGCAGTGAGCCGAGATTGCGCCACTGCACTCCCACCTGGGCCACAGAGCGAGACTCCGTCTCAAAAAAAAAAAAAAAGTTAAAATGGAGAAGGGAATAGAAATAGAAAGCAAGGGTCCTGAAGACCGACTTTTTTGACTTCAAAATGTTGCCTTAAGCTACTCGAGGTCTTGCACATAAAATAAAATGGTTACACTGTTTTAATTGACATAGACTTGGCTAAGCTTGTCCTGTTTTCTGGGATTCAGATTCAATAAAGCCTTCCTGAGGAGCTGCAATGCTCTGAACATTAGCCACATAAATTGTCAACCAGGCCCTCCAACTCGCTGGGCTCACGCGCAGAGGGCCATTTGCTAGAGGTCGGAGCACACATATTGGCTCAGCAAATGCCCAGGGTAAAAGACATTCTAGGTCCTGTTTATCCTTTGAGAACTGTTTGCCTTACATTATTTGCATGGGTGGCTATCTTTGCCATAAAACCCTTTTTGTTTGCTTTCTGGAATCACTTCATCACCAGTGACAAACATTACAAAGCATTTTATGTGGATAGGATATCATCCTAGGAGCTGGGGCTATAAAGAGGAAGGAGACATAGGCTCAGCATTCAAGCAGCATATACTGTAACTGGGGAGAGGATCAGTCAAGGCCCAAAAAATATAAATAGTAATATAAGTATGGAGTGGGAGCAGACTTGCATCTTAGTGGGACTCAAATGTGTATGGGCATGACCAGCAACGGGTTTGGTGGGCCTACAGGAAGCCTGTTTACATGAGTATTGAACAGCTGCTTAGAAAAAAAAAAAAATCCCCCCTAACAGAACTAAAAAAGGCCAGGAATAACATGCTCTTACCAGTAATAAAGCATAAGGGAATAATTTTCTGAGTGAAACCCAACAGCTATACTGTCTCTAACCCAGCCCTAAAGAAACATTGCTTGGATTCTAGAAAGCAAGCAAGCTGTAAGTAAACTTTTGCTTTCACTAAAATTCTGTAGAACATTAGAGAAAGAGCATGCTCTGAGACTTTTCTAACAGAATATAACAGACAAGAACTATGGTAGCCATTATTGCTATTCTCCAAATATTTCCTGCTCTCATCTTATGGGCATAAAAATTGGATTGCTTTTCTTGGCCCCATTGTGTTTGGGTGAGCCTGGTGACTACTTCTGGCAGGTAGCTGGACATATGGAATAGTAAGAAGTTTAAAGATCTAGGATTCTCATGTTAATCCCCACCAGAAAGCATCCATCCTCCATGAATGAGGCACTGAACAATCAAGTAGACAAAATAAACCAGCCAGATGGCATCAATCGGCCTTTGTCGCGGGCCACCAGATTTGGTACAATGGAAACAATGGAGTAGCCATGGTGGTAGAGATGGAGGTCACACTTGGGCCCAGGAAGAACCTATTGCTGCCACCTGTTAGCAATATAGATCAATGCTGAGCCTTCAATATGGTACTTTTCCTTTAGGAGACTGGCCACTTGGTAGCAGTTGACTTTGTTGGATCTCTCCCATCTTGGAAAATACTGCAATTCATTCCCTCAGGAATAGATACTCATTCCAAATGTGGGTTCGCCTTTTCTGCCTGCAGAGCCTGAGCCAGGTTTACTACCCAGGGACTTACAAAGTGCCTGATTTACAAGGATATAATCCCACATAACATAGCATCTGACCAGGATGCTTCATTTTGTAGCACAGGAAGTGGTGGAGTGGTCCGGGATCATGGGATCCACTGGTTGTGGAATTGCCTGTTGAGGGTACAACAGAAGTGCCACCTTAGAGGAAAGGCTCTGCGAAGATAGAGTGCCATCATCCAGAATTCAATACATATGCTGTATCAGAGACCTCTATATGGCATTGTATCCTCCACAGGAAGAACACATGGATCTGTGAACCAGGTTGGGGAAGCAGGGGTGGTCCCACTTGCCATTATTCTCAGTGATCCACTGGGGGAAATTTGTGCTTTTAGTCCTTTCAACTTTGGGCTCTGTAGAATTAGGATGCCCCAAAGTGGATGTACTTCTGCCACCTGTCTCCTTTCAGAGGACACAGCAGCTACAGCGGCTCCCTGGACATTTTGTGCTCTTTGTGTTTTGGGTCCAGCAGACCAATAGAGGGGTCACCATCTTGCAGGAATGGTTGACCCTGATCAGCAGGAGGAGGTAGGGCCACTTTTACACAATGGAGCAGGGAGGGACTCATTGGAACTCGGTTGTTTCACTTGGGTTCCCTGTGGTACTCCCTTGCCCAACCGTGACTGTGAATAGACATGTACATCAACCTCAGCCTGGGAAAGGAACAGTTACCTGGGCTCAGACTCCTCGGAAATGAGGGTTTGGGCCTTATCACCAGCAAGCCACCAAGATCAGTAGAGGTGGTAGCTGAGGGGGAAGGGAATTTAGAAATGATGCTGAAAAGGAAGATAACAAGTACCATTTGTTGCCCCAAGTCCAAGTCTCACTAATCTCTCTCTTCTAAGTTTCGCCTCAGAAAGAAAGACCCTAGCTCCCTGGACTATTTCCTAAACCTGTGTGGAGAAGTGGATTTGTGTGTCTACCATGGAGAGAAAGAATTTGACTACCCAGAACCATTTCTCCATCACAGTCCCCTCAAGCCTCTCAATCAAGGTCACAGAGATTCGGTTCTTACTTGAGATCTCCATGCTGGAGCACATCAAGAACCTGTCTTCCATACATCCCCTCTCCTGCCCCTGTGGAAATAAAGTTCTGAGCCCCTGATCTGCTTTGCCTCCATCTCCTTAATATCCCCCCTAGGCAGAGCATTGCCCTTTTGACATCTGCTTCGACTCCTTCATCTTTCTCTTCTAATTATTCTCCTCAGCACTGACTCGCAACGTGTGACTATTTTATCCTAAGTTATTGTGATTGTGGAAATCGTGTATGGGGGTAATGCTTCCTATATAGCACTCTGATTCAAGAGAGCTATTTGGCAAGCATTTCTATTGAGACAGTTTCATACAGAATGGCAAAGGATGGCGGAGTGTTATGCACTCTGTTGATTGCATATTTTAAAATCCTAAACATACATGACCCTTCTCACACTACTCACAGGTCCACAATACCACAGCTGGGATCCCACTTTACTCTAGCTTGTCTTTAGAGTTCAGTGTAACAGTCACCCAGAGGCAC
This sequence comes from Homo sapiens, assembly GCF_000001405.40. Lineage (NCBI taxonomy): Eukaryota > Metazoa > Chordata > Mammalia > Primates > Hominidae > Homo > Homo sapiens. Next base: position 18,013,132 of record NC_000023.11, read on the forward strand.
TTGCAATAACCATGTGGCTGCTGCCAGGTGGAGTTTGTCTTGCGTCTGTGGCAGTGATGTATGGGCCTGGAGCCCAGCTTTCCCAAGTTCACCCTCTCCGTGACCATTTGTGACACTTGCCACCTGCCCCCAGTCAGAAACTGTGTGTATGTGTGCAAGTCTGTTTTTACTGGGGAGGGGGATATTTATTTGGATTACTCTCTGTGGAAGTGAAGCAGTTTCTCATGGTATTGCTCCATTTCTAGATCTCAATGCTAAGGTAATTCTCCCTGGTCCAGGCAACTGCCTCTAGTTGCCTCCTAGGAACTAGAGAAAGAGCGGAGGAAAAAATCCACTGCCTTACATTCAGCATGTGCACATCCCAGCCACTGGCTGTCCAGACATTTAATGAGAAACAATCATGAGATGTGCAGGCTTGGACTACTTAATCACAGTGTGGTTGTGTTCTGCAGTTTCAAGTGAATATAATAAGAAACAAAATACTTTTGGAGGTCATGGTCTAAATCAAAGAGGAGGGCAGACTCCAGGCACATGATGTTGCACCTCCTGCTCCAGTTGGCTCTGACCCCTCTGTGAGATGGCCGGAGCAGCTCCAGATGTGACATGCAGACATGGCAAAGTCCAGACCAAGAGGGGGCTTCTCTCTCCATGTCTCCTTTCCCGTTCCCCTGGCAAAAGTTCCTCTATGTTTCATTGGCCTGGCTTGGGACATATACTCTTACTTAAATTAATTTCTGATACAGGATTACCATGACTGGTTCAGGTCAATTAAAAAACACATTTTATTGAAGTATAATATACCTCAAAATATGTGTATAGCTTGATGCTTTTATACAAACTGAGCCCACCCATATAACCAGCACTAAATAACCAGCACTAAATAACTTTCTTCTATTCATCTAAATAAGGGTTTTTAACCTTGTTTGTACCAGGGATTCCTTTGGCAGTGTGGTAAAGCCTAGAAGCCCCTTCTAAGAATGTTTTTTAAATACGTAAGATTACAAAGGAATCCAGTTACTTGGAAAGGACGTTATTCGAATTTTAATATGTTCATTCAGGTTAATTAAGATTAATTTGGTCATTCAACAAATTTTTGATATAGTAGTGTGTGTTCTGCTTTATTGACACGTTAAATAACAAAATCTAGTGGCAGATATAACTACTACCATAATTCTGAATTGCTCATGGACATAAAAGATTCTGCTGGTGACAAAGTCACAGGTCCTGCTAACGGTATTGTGGTTTACTGCCTACATTTATGACTAAAAGAAAAGCTACGTTTCAGTTAAAGGTTAGTGAAGACAAAGAGGTATTTTGTTTTTCCATTCACAGTCATATATCCCTTGAATCCTATCCATAGACTTGAGGTCAAGAACACCTGGAACTTGGACTCATCAGTTGGAATGGTCTGGATGTTAAATATCATGACCTTCCACAGTAGATCAAGGAAACTGGAGATTTGGGTCCTGCAGATTCATTCATTCATTCAATAGTTATTTATCACACATCAACTATGTGTTAGGTACCATCGTATGTGTGGATACACAGTGGTGAATTAGGTAGACATGGTCTCTCCCCTCACATAGTTTATAGACCAGTGGAGAGGAGAGAAAATAAAGAAGTAAACAAAGGTGAACTGAAGACTCAGAGAGAGGCTAAATTCGGCACTGAAGCTGGAGTCCAGAAGGCGGTTCAAACCAAAGGATGGATTGCAAGCTAAGTTTGCTAGAGGTAATTGCCAAGAATTTCTCCTGAGCAAAGATTTTCCAGTGAGGCCACTCTGGACCCCTGGTGATCCCCTCCCTGGAGTAGCCCTGTCTGAAACCCTGATCTTCAGTGTGGTGACTGGTTCCATTTACTTTGATACTGCCTGCTGTAGTCTGAATGTCTGTGTTCTTCCAAAATTGACATGTTGAAACCTAATCCACAATGTGATGGTATTAAAAGGTGGGGCTTTGGGAAGGTAATACGTTCCGGAGCGGGGAGCCCTTATAAAAGGGACCTCAAAGACCCAGAAAGCTCTGTCACCTCTTCCCTCATTTAAGAACACAGCAAGAGGTGCCATCTGTGAACCAGGAAGCAGGCCCTCACTAGACACTGTATCTCCTAGTGTCTTGATCTTGGACTTCCCAGCCTCCAGAACTACGAGCAATAAATTTCTGCTGTTTATAATCCACCCAGTCTATAGCAGCATGAATGGACTAAGACATGGTACAATGAAGACCCCTGTGACTCTCCTTGCTATGTCAGTGTTTTCCACCAAAGCTTTCGGCCAAAGCCAGGAATTTGGTCTTTCAGTGATTTACGTTAAGATGCTGTCTCCAAAATACATTATGTCTCTGACCTGCAACTTCCAATAATAATAAAAGCATTTTAGTAAGCACCTTGATGTCCCCAGAAAATAAGGCTTCGTTTCCTCCTTCCCTCTTTCATTATAAAACATGTACTAAGCATCTGCTGAATAATGAGCATGATGCTGGGAGCAAGGGAAACAGACATTAATAACACATGGCCCTACGGCCCTACCCTCAAGCAAATAGTACTCTAGTGGAGATAGAAAGGCATGTAAGCCAGTAAATGCCATTAAGTGCCCCAGCTGCCAGGGGAAAGTCTGTGTGGGTTCCAATGGGAGTACAAAGGCTGAAGGGGACAATTCTAACAGGTCAGAAGGTGGAGCAGGCAGAAAAGATTTCATAAGAAGTCAATTATTGGGTGTCATGATGGAAGAGCGGTGAGTAGAATGTTTCTGGATGGTCAAAGGAGAAAGGGATTTTCTCAGCTACGCTTTCACCAGCTACCACAGCCTTCCTCTGCCCAGAAGAGCTGTGAATCCTTCATCGAAGCCCCAAAGAGGTGGTCCTAAAATTAGGAGTGACCATCATTCAATCTTACTTTTCTTCAGTGGTGCTTAAAAACATGTAAGCCAAAAAAAAAAAAAAAAAAAACTCAGATAGGGAAGAGAAATGAAATGAGGACTAAGCCAGTGGGCAAGAACCAGAAACAGCTTGATAAGAGCAAGGAAATAAAATGAAATTAGTATTTTCATGTTCCGTAAGGGAGCAAATATTTTTAGGTCCTCAAAAGCACCATGTGTGAATATAGTTTTACGTCTTCTTATTTGGGTTATGTGGTTCTCAACATTGGCTGCAAAAGAGAATCACCTGAAGAGCTTTAAAAATGACCAATGCCTAGGATGTACCCCAAACAATTAAATCAGTATCTTTAGGGGAATAACTCATGCATCTATATTTTTTAAAGGTCCCCAAGGTGCAGCCAGAGTTGGGAACTAGTGCCCTATAGACCAGGCGTCAGCAAGCTTTGGCTGTAAAAAGGCAGAGAATAAACACTGTGGGCTTTGCAAGCCATACAGTCTGTTGTAACCTCTCAACTCTGCAATTGTGGCACAAGAGCAGCCACAGGCAATACATAAACAAATGGTATGGCTGTGTTCCAATCAAACTTTATTTATGAACACTGAAATGTCAATTTCATGTAGTTTTTAGGTGTCACAAAATATGTGCCTTTCATTTTCTCTCAACCATTTAAAAACGTAAAGGCCATTCTTGACTTTCTGGCCACACAAAAGTAGGAGGCAGGCGGATTTGGCCCACTGGCCATAGTTGATTGATTCCTCCTGCTTTAGGCACCATGAGATACCAGACCAAGTAGAGCAAAATGGAAAGTTTCCATTACTTCTCGGTGAAATGTCAACTTGCAGATAAAGCACATTTTTGAGGGCTGAGCATGTCTTCCTTCATCCTGAATATTATCTCTAAAACTGCAAGCTTAATAGTATACACACACATTGCTAAAATTATATCTCATTGCTCTTTAAAAACAAACAGGTAAGGTGAGCAAGATATTCAAAAACCAGCTTCGAAATATGGTTCTAACATCCTATTCAATATCCACTTTCAAACTGCCAGTATTGCAACCTGCTTCACAATTTCATCAAACTGGCAGAAACAATTGGACAGCGTTGGAAAGCGATGACTTGCCAAATATCACTTGAACCAGCAAGGGCTGGAAGCAGCCTCGCTGATGAGACTCCAGCTTGGTGAGTGCACACACAGCTATAACCAACCTGTTCTCAACCAAGTAATTACCTTCTCCTGGGGAGACAGAGTGGTATTTAAAAAAATGCAGAAAGACAACACACTGTAGGGGGAGAGAAAGAATGAGGCAGAGAAAAAGAAAGGAAGAGAAAGAGAGGGGTGCAAGAGGAAATCGATTCTTGCAAGATATATATAAAAAAAAAGATGGCTACAGAGAGACTCACCAAAATTCCATCTGGTAAAATCATCCAGGAGATAGAAAAGGAAACGAAAGAGCTGGCAGGTGAACAAGCCTGGCTTTCAATGGCTTAATAATGGGGATGTTTGGTAACCAATGAGGTTAATGCACGAGTAACATAAACCAGCAGGTGGTCTTACAGGGGACTTGCTGCATATACTAATTGAAGGACATTTAATACAGGATAATGGCAGAAAGATAGGGCTGCGGCTGAATTCACTTCCTTTCATTCACAAAGGATGAGCTCGCAGAATTTAATAGCTTGGCACTGTCATTCAAGAGGAACAGCAGTATTGATTGAAATAAAGTCTTCTTTTTAATGTGGGAACAAATGGAGGGAAGGAAGCAAGAAAGGAAGGAAGGAAATGAGGGAGGGAGAGAGAGAGGAAAGGAGAGAAGGAAGGAAGTTAACAAATGAACTTAATGAGAGACCCTGTGGCTGTGATTTCAGGGTTAGAGAGCTATTATCTGCCATTCATTAGAAAATGCCCGGCTAATGCAGTTGATCAATAGACCAGTTTCTCAAACTTTGATGTGTAAACAAATCTCCCAGGGAGCTCATTAAAAGACAGGTTTTGATTCAGTAAGCCTGGAGCAGGGCCTGAGATTCTGCATTTCTAGCAAACTTCCGGTTGATGTGCTGCTGCTGGTCCACAGACCACAGTTTGAGGAGCAAGGCTTTAAGACCTACGCTGCTCCAGTACAGTAGCCACTCGCATGTGGCTACTGAGCACTTGGAATGTGGCCAGTCTAAGATAAGATGTGTTGTAGGTTTCTAAGATGTAGTAAAAAGGAATCTGAAACACTCCATTAATAATGCCTATATTGATCACATGTTGAAATAAGATTTTGGATATACTGGGTTAAATATAATATATTATTACAATTGATTTTACCTGTTTTTCTTTTTTACTTTTTAAAATGTGGCTTCTAGAAAATGTAAATGTAGCACATGTGGCTGGTGTTGTATTTCTTTTTTTTTTCTAGGTACACGGGCAATTTTATTTAAGATTGCAACAAGAATTGGTGTGTTTCTGCCAGTTAGAATGGCCATCATTAAAAAGTCAGGAAACAACAGATGCTGAAGATAATGTGGAGAAATAGGAATGCTTTTACACTGTTGGTGGGAGTATAAATTAGTTCAGCCATTGTGGAAGACAGTGTGGTGATTCCTCAAGGACCTAGAACTAGAAATACCATTTGACCCTGCAATCTCATTACTGGGCATATACCCAAAGGATTATAAATCATTCTACAATAAAGACACATGCACATGTATGTTTATTGAGGCACTATTCACAATAGCAAAGACTTGGAACCAACCCAAATGTCCATCAATGATAGACTAGATTAAGAAAATATGGCATGTATACACCATGGAATACTATGCAGCCATAAAAAAGGATGAGTTCATGTCCTTTGCAGGGACATGGATGAAGCTGGAAACCATCATTCTCAGCAAACTATCACAAGGACAGAAAACCAAACACCACATGTTCTCACTCATAAGTGGGAGTTGAACAATGAGAACACATGGACATGGGGCGGGGACATCACACACTGGGGCCAGTCAGGGGGTAGAGGGCTGGGGGAGGGATAGCATTAGGAGAAATACCTAATGTAAATGAGGAGTTGATGGGTGCAGCAAACCAACATGGCACATGTATACCTGTGTAACAAACCTGCACGTTCTGCACATGTACCCCAGAACTTAAAGTATAATTTTTTAAAAAAGGAAGAATTAGTGTGTTTCTCGCTTCCCTTGGATTCACCTGCATTTTTAAAATGTTTTTAAATTTTTAATTTTCAGTTTTTGTAGATACATAGTAGGCATGCAATATGAAATAAGCACATCATGGAGAATGAGGTATCCATCCCCTCAAGCATTTATCCTTTCAGTTACAAACAACCTGATTACAATCTCAGTTATTTTTAAATGTACAATTAAGTTATTATTGATTGTAGTCACCCTGTTGTGCTATCAAATAGTAGGTCTTATTCTTTCTATTTTTTGTACCCACTAACCATCCTCACCACCCCCACCACCCCCCACTACCCTTCCTCATCTCTGGTAACCATCCTTTTACTCTCTATCTCCCTTCATGTTGTATTTCTATTGGCTACCACAGCTCTAGGCTCTTCCTCCTTGCTGTCTCCTCTGGTTTAAGTTATAAAAACTGTTCCAAGCAGTTTGTACTATTAACCCATGAGCTATGGGCAATGCAGTTTCTCTTCCTCCTTCCTATTATTAAAAAGAAAAAAAAAAACAGAAAAACCTGATGCTGGTGAGGTTGCAGAGAAAAGGGAACACTTATACACGGCTGGAAGGAATGCAAATTAGCTCAGCCGCTGTGAAAAGCAGTGTGACAATTCCTCAAAGAACTTAAAACAGAACTACCATTTGATTCAGCAATCCCATTACCCAAAGGAATATAAATAGTTCCACCATAAAGACACATATACACATATGTTCACTGCAGCACTATTCACAGTAGCAAAGACATGGAATCAGCCTAAATGCCCATCAACGGTAGACAGGATAAAGCAAATGTGGTACATATACACCATAGAATACTATGCTGCAATAAAAAAGAATGAGATTATGTCCTTTGCAGCAACATGGATGGAGCTGGAGGCCATTATCCTAAGCAAAGTAATGTAGGGACAGAAAAGCAAATACTGCATGTTCTCATTTATAAGTGAGAGCTAAACAACAACAAGAACACATGGACACAAAGAGGGGAACAGCAGACACTGGGGTCTATCGGAGGGTGGAGGGTGGAAGGAGGGAGAGGATCAAAAAACTACCTATCAGATCCTATGATTATTACCTGGGTGGTGAAATTATCTGTACACCAAAGCCCTGTGACATGCAGTTTACTTATATAACAAACTTGCACATGTACCCCTGAACCTAAAATAAAAATTTTAAATAAAGAAAAAAAAAGAAAAGGTACCCATGAGTTTATTGCCCACACTAACTCATTTCTCACACAAGCAGTTACTTCAGCACAACCCCTGGTTTGCTCATTAAACCAATGCTGGCAATAGAAGTGTATACGAGGGACACAGTAGAGAACATGATCTAAGCCAGTTTCATTGGCCAGAACTTCCCCTTCTGCAAATTAGCTATGTGACCTTAGGCAAGTGACTTTACCAATCCATGCTTAAGTTTCTGCATCTAAATGGGAATAATAACAGTACCCTTCCTAACAGTGTTGTATGAAAGTTAAATGAGTTCACACTTATGAAGTACTTAAGTCAACACTTAACACGTAGTAAGCTCCATATACATGCTGGCTAGGCTTGGCCATTGGCAATCTGTTGATGAATGTTTTAGGTATAAATGTCTAAATAGTATTATGATCCCATTCCATCCCAATGGCCTTCTGAAATTCAGTACGCAGAAGGCACAGCAAATAAATCAGAGGATAGATAAATTGTAGTTGATTCATACAACTGAATGCTATACGATGATGAAAAAAGAAATAAATGGCTGCTAATCACAACACCATGAATGCACCTCACATACCTAATGTTGAGCAAAAGAAACCAACCACAAAAATGTGCATGCTCTGTGATTGCATCTATAGAAAGTTGAAAAATATGCAAAACTAATTTATGGCAAAAGATTCTCTTTACTTTTGGGGTGGTGGTAATGACAGGATGGATATAAAGTAGGCATCTTGGTGCTAGTAATGCATGCCCTAACCTAGATGGTAGTTCAATGGGTGTGTTCATTTTGTTAAAATTCATTGAGCTGTTCACTTGACATTTGTACGCTTTACAGTATGTATATTATTTCACAATTTAGACAAAAGAAGGAACGGGAAGCGCAGAAGAGAGTTCTTTCTAGTGAGTTTCAGTTGGAAAATCCAGCCATGAACCCCTGGGTATAAACATGTCAGAACCTACTTAAGGCCAGGCGTGGTGGTGCATGTCTGTATTCTTAGCTCCTCAAGAAGCTGAGGCAAGAGACTCACTTGAGCCCAACAGTGAGAGGTCAAACGGAACACTTTCATAAAATTATGAGATTCACTTTGCTTCTGCTCCCCTTCTTGTCATCTCTGACCCAGAATTAAATCTTTCTTAGAATAGGAGGAATGGGTGAGAGAAATGAGAAGAAGATTAGAGTAAATGAGGGTCTTTCTGAAGCTGAGCTTTCTTCTTCCCTAAGATTTTCCTAAACACCCTCCACCTGCAGGATTTCTTCAGTTACCTGTGGGACTAGAGAGTTTTGCAAATTCTTTCCTCACTGAATTTTTTTTTTTTTTTTTTTTTGAGATGGAGTCTCGCTCTGTCACCAGGCTGGAGTGCAGTGGCGCGATCTTGGCTCACTGCAACCTCCGCCTCCCGGGTTCAAGCAATTCCCCTGCCTCAGCCTCCCAATTAGCTGGGACTACAGGCATGCACCACCGCGCCCAGCTAATTTTTGTATTTTTAGTAGAGACGGGGTTTTACCATGTCCAGGATGGTCTCAATCTCTTGATCTCGTGATCTGCCCTCCTCGGCCTCCCAAAACCCTGGGATTACAGATGTGAGCCACCGCGCCCGGCCCGTCACTGCATTTTTAAGCATTGGGAGTGTTGTGAGAGGATGGGGCTGGCTACATCACATGGTGTCTTGTATTTAATAGCTAAATGGGTAGACTTTAAGCAGAAAACCTCTGAGAATAACCAACGGGCATAGTAGAAGGAACCAGAACTGTTACCAGTCTTATCCATAGCTGCAGAAAGATCATCTAACATTCAAGAGGCATATGTGCCAAGCAAAGGGTGATCTTGATTATTTGTACTTTGTTCCATAACAAGTTTATTAATTTTAACAATTATATTTTATTAATATTCACTACTAGTAACATAAAGAAAAATTATTTTCTAAATGTCATGACAATTCAACTAAGTAATAATCCTTTAATATTTTAAATATCCTCCTGGTTTGTGAATAACATTGGCAAGGTTGAAAGAATCTAAGATGAAAAGGTGGGAAAACTGGGTTGTTGTTGCAGCCCAGCCACTGCCTAGGTGTGAGATTCTACCTGTCTTAGTTTACTAAGTAACTAAGTAAACTAACTAAGTAACAACAGTTACTTTGATTATACAATGGGAAGGAGGAATAACAGAGGGCTCTGGACTTTAGAATGTTTAAGGTCCCCCTGAGGTCTAACCTTTAATTCTACGAAACCTAAATCCTCTGACTCTCACCACTTCCAAACACCAGTACGTGCATTTCTTTGTTTGAGGGCTGTCTCTGGCCAGTGAAGCCAGATTTGTCTGCCCACGTGGCAGGCCAGAAATGCTAGGAAATTAACACCATTTGGAAGAAGCCCTCCTCTGATAATACTGGGGAGTTTGTGTATAAATACCCCAGCTCTCTCGCTCATGGGTAGAAGAACCCTGAAGCATGTGTTTAACACTGTCTCCCAGAATTTCCCAGTGAAATCAAGTTCCAGTCAACCACAGTGATAATTGGATAATGCACATTTTATTTGCTGCCTTCCCTATCCTATCTCCCATCCCTACTTCCCTACCAGTATTTCCTTCATCATCTAAAGAAACTATTTGTACTCAAATCCTTGTCTAAGCATCTCTTTCCAGGTGAGCTTAAACTAAGACAAAACCGCACAAACCAGACACTGTGATGATAGGCGAAAGCAGCTGAGAAATAGTTCCCTCCCTAGACATTAATTTTAAGGAGTTGAGTAGATAGTGTGAACAGAGGAAGAATCATTGCCATCCAGACACAAAGCTGATGGCAAGACCACTTAACCAACTGCTCTTCTCCTCCCACCAGAATGATATCCCCTTTAAGCATTTTAACTGCTAAAAATGCACAAGTATTATTAGAAGGTTGGAAAACTTGCACCATCTGGCTAAATCCAGTCTGGTGTCTTGGAGACACACTAAATTTGATGTACACTCCATTAAGGAAGATAATGAAACAGTCGTCTTTCAAAGATTCAAATTAAGTCATTAGTTAAGAGCTCATCCTTCCAATTTGATGGGAGAGACTTTCAAATCTCCTGTTCCAAATAGTTTTCACTATCGGCTATATTCAACACCTTATTCTGAAGGGATCAGTGTGAGGCCTTTTTTTCAATCTACAGAAAGATGGTGATTGAATACCTTTGATCCCTTCACTTGTGTTCCTCTCTTGCCTTTCTCAGTGTGGAAGCCTTTTTTTAATACAGGGAATGTGTAGCACACACTGTTGGGAGATATTCAATGTTCATTCCACACCCCTTCTCCCTTCTCCGTCACAGCCCATAGAGGTTGGAAAAAATCGGAGACTCACATTCCAGTTTCTCTTTTACAAAGGTCGCCATTTTACCTAATTCTGATGAATGAGAGTATTGGGAAAATTTGCTGGAAGTCTTTGCAAACTGAGAGGAGAGAAGTATCTGAGGAGATCTCCTTCACTGCCCACCTATTTCTGTATAGATATAATGGTTGGAGGCTTAGTTGCCATCTTGTGACCATGAGGGGAGACTCTACCAGGAAACTGAGAATGGGCAAGAGAGAAAGTGGAAAGATCTTCGGTCATTGGGATGCCATCAAGCTGACAAATCAACTCTGAGACCACCCACCTCCTTGTTAAATAAATAACGAATACCCTTCTGGTTTAAGCTGCCAAAAGCATTCCCAACAGATATAGTAGATTTTTAAGGTAAAATTTTTATTGAAATATAACATACATACAGAAATATGCACAAATTGTAAGTAGGCAACTTGAAGAATTTTCATGGAATGTTTTTTTGTTTGTAAATCGCCATTACCCAAGTATTTTGGAAACGAAAATAGTGGTTAAGAGCGCAAACTCTAGAGCCAGATTGCTGGGTTCCAAACTCATCTCCACTACCCACTAATTTGATGACCTTGGGCAAATAATTGAATCTCTCTATGTCTCAGCGTTATCACTTGTAATGCGGGAATGACAATACTACCTATTTCACAGAATTTTTGTAAGGATTAAATATGTTAATTTTTAAAATTTATACACCTGGCACATAGTAAGTGCTGATAAATATTTGTTAGATATCAGTAATGTTAACCAGGGCACAACTCAGGGTGGGGAGGTAGAGCAGGAAGGATCTGGGAGAGTTAATAGGTATTTGAGGGCCTGAGACCATCTTGGAAGCTAAAAGTGCCTAATGAGCTAGGAAATGCTAAAACTATTTTACAGCCTAGAGTTGCATAATGGAGCTACAGACCTCTAGAACTTGGGTGCGGCTTTGAAATCTCCTGTATGGCAGTTCTTAACTGGGATCTGACCATGTGCCCCTGGAAACCCGCCACCCTTCCTGTAGCATACAAGGGTGATGCTGTACATCAACAGGCATATATGTGTGTTTTGCTATCCAGACTTTTCATCAGACTCGTGGGGCACTCATGATCCCCAAAAGGCTAAAACTCCCTACTAGTTCATCTCCCTGACATCATAGCTATGGCCCAGAGAAAGGCCATCTAATACTTCAACTGAATTGTCACATTTGGCTTTAGGTACATGTCCCCAGAAGAAAATGAGGTCAAAGAAAACGTATTCTATTCCCAAATTCTAGCATTTTCCAATTGAAAGGACTTAGTAGCTTTTCAAATAGAATCCTGCTACATTTATAGATGAGGAAGCCAAGTTTTAGTGCGGTTAATATGACCTACTCGGCATCCTAGAGAGAAACAGAACCATGAAGGACCAGGTGTCCTGGCTCAGCATCTAATTTTCCCCACAGTAATACTTTGGTGGCAAAAACATCCCACCAGCTAATTTCATGGACTGGCCCCGCTCATAATTGTTAAGTGCTCTAAACTGGAGCCCTTTTAGTGTGGTTGCTAAGGGTAGCCAGGACCAAGGGGCTTCAAACATTCCTTTCATTGCTATGAGCTTCAGAGTGATTAGAATTAGCCACACATAGGGAAAGAAATGGGAAAATAAAGCGACGACTTTTCTACCAACCCGATTTATCATTGGGAAGCTATTTCACCATCTTCTTTTTACTTCTTCCTCTCCTTTGAGAAATCTTTAAGAACGCCTCTCTCAGTGCTGTGTGTGTCCACAATTATGAGCCTAAGAGGCACAGAAAGAGCAGTTATATATTAAATCAGCATGAACAAACCAATTTCTAGATACAGATTGCTCTTTCCAGGTTTGGGGTGGGGGTGAGTGACACTGATATTAAACACAATTTAATAGATTCACCCATGAGGATTATATTGGGTCTGGTATCAGGTTCTGATTAAACAAGGTTTGTGTGCACATGAGAGAGAGAGAGAGAGAGAGAGAGAGTGTGTGTGTGTGTTCACATAAGTTTAGATACAAACTTGAATATCCTGGCTAACAGCTCTAGGACTTTTCTGCTGCCAGGATGGCTTTACCGTTTCTACTGGACTTTTGACTAAAGTCACACCTGAATTGTCAGGAGATACAGGCCACTTTATTTCTGTGGAAAGGAAGGGAGACAAGAAAAAAGAAAAGGCATGTACAGTTGTTAGCCTGGTTGCCATTTAAGATTCAAAGATTATTCAGACTTCTTGTTAAATGTAACGCTGCAAAAAAAAAAAAAAAAATATATATATATATATTTCCCTTAGCACTGATTGACAATTTCACTTTTACTACTGGAGGGGGAAGGTTTTACCTGTGGTTCCAAATTGTATGACATAAATTTCAAAATAACAGGTCTAATTGTGGTTTGTGTTCCATATTTATTTTTATTTTTTTATTACCTAATTTTCCTCCCTAAAGCCTCCTCCCACCCCTACCCCTTCTCTTTCTGAAAGGATGCAACACACAGCCTTTTCCCCAGCCCTCAGCTAATAGCAACACCTTCATTTTATCAAATGCTGGGCTCAGGGAGGAGCCATGGAGCCTGCCCCAAATGATGAATAGCCAAGAGCCGCACCCTCTCGGGGAGGTCCTGACTAATTTCTCTTCATGGCACAGAAAGCTAAGTGGGTGACCTTTCTGCCTGAGCCACGGACAACACACAACATGACTAAATCGAAAGTGGATCACTCTCAGGCAGGCAGGCCAGAGGAAAGGACACTTAGCACTGAGGAATTAATTGTGCCTTCTCAGACCTTCCTGGCCCCGTGACGAAGATAGCTTCTTCCCCTCACCACCTAGCTCGCCCACCGATCCATCCACCTGTTTTTTTGTTTTGTTTTTTTTTCAGGTACAGATTGGGCTAGTCCACTTTCAAAGGATTGAGATAAATCGGAAGGGGCTGGGGGAGAGAAGAAGGAAGACAACAGTGGGGGAACCAGAGGAAGAAAAATGGACTTAAATCTTGCTCTAGGAAAAAGAATCATATATTGTAGAAATCTCCTGAAGAGCAGTATAGGTAGTTAGAGCCAGACTATCATTGCCCCTCCTCCAAGTTGGGTAGGGAGGCAATTTTAGGCTATTTCCACATCAATATTTGCCTTCATCCATGTGAGTTTTTATAAAGGGAGATTATCTTAAAGGCAGTTGAAACTGCAGATATGTTAATTAAATTAATTTATCACTGAAGCTATTTCAAATGCAGCCAAGCCTAATTTCCCAGGGGGTCTGCGGGCTTCCGCGAAATGAGGGACAGTGAGGGGTTGGCACTACCAGGTCCAGCCCCCTGAGACCGAACAGCAGAAATTAGGGGAGACCCAGCAAGCTGATTTTCCCATTTGGGTCTGCTCATTTCTCAGGGTTATAACACCCAGAAGCAGCTTTTCAAAATATCCAAGTGCAGGAGGAAATCAACTTTCTGAAGCTCGAAGAAGCCTCCTCGCATCTCCCTTAAATATTGTTCCCATCTGGCCACTCTGAGTCCGCAAGTCTTCAATCCAAAGACTGTTTATTAGGCACCTCTCCGAAGGGCTATTTTTCTTTCCCAGTCTCTATTTCCAGATCCCTGAAGTGGGGTCTCAAGGATCCTGAGCCTGTTTCCTCTCTGCCTGTCGCCAGCAGACCCAATACACTCCAGAAGGTTTCTGGGGCCCATTAGTGCTGCTTCAGGTGGACAGGAAGAAAATGCAAATGCAAGTTCAGGAGGTCTGATGCTGGGAAATAAATGACCCCAATAATAGTGTGGCAAGAGCATCCTGGCCTCTGCAGGGGACAGCTCCTGCCAGGAGCTCCCTTCCCCACAGGCAAACAAAGGATGTCTTTCCCCTACCTCTCAGCCAACGAGGTCTTGAAGTTGTGACCAAAATGTGACCTCTAATTATGGCCACTAGTTCTCCCCTTCCCTTTTTGAACACCAAAAGGCAAAGTGGGACCAAAAGACATTTTTCTTTCTATTTTTAACACAGTGTATATTAGCAATAAATTAACACTCCCCTTCTAGCACCTTTTAAGCACCAGCAGGGGCCAATTCTTTTTACTATATTGTCTTCGTAAGAGCAGCCGATGGATCACGCTGTCACAGAACGCAACGCAGCAAAATAGCCCCTGAAACTGGCATTCTCACAGTCCCATGCTGCACATCTTCTGGAAGCTACTTTGTGGTGTGATATTGCTGTTCCCCTGTTTGGGGCAGTGGGAGGAGGGGAGATTAACACAAATGATGGTGACTTGCAAGGGAAAACTGCTACATTTTTCTTGACTTTTCAGTATTTAGAAGGAGTGTGAAAGAAGTGATATGACCGAAAAAATCTGAATTAACTCTTCATTTGCCACATCTTTTGTCAGAAATGTCACTCCATGCCCTACTAAATTGCAATCACTGGGTCTCATATCCTTCATTGTGGGTACTGATGATCAAAACTAAAACTTCCTTATCTTTCTCTCACAGGTCCAAGCACCCACACCACTTCTTACAAGACCATTTATTTACATGTCAGCGCCTACTCAGGCTGTTGGGAGAGTTGGAAGTTTTCTCCCTAAATATTTTAATTTCAAAGCCACTAGAGTAAAGAGGAGTTGATGAGATTTCAAAATCAGATGTCTTGAGCATTTCCTGAACAGGCAGAATAATTCCATGTTACCAATCAAGAATACTACAGGGGTTCCAGGTCTGTCCAGACCATTTTAATGCCATTGTGGTTAATGGTCTGGACAGATCTTGAAACCGTAGAATAAATAGTCTTGATCTGCCTGTTCTGGGAATGCTCAAGACATACGATCTCGAAATCTTACCATTTTCCCTTGACTTTAGTGTTGAAATGCAAGCATTATGGAGCCAGACATCTGGATTCAAGTTCCAACTCTGCCAACTATGAAGCTGTGTGACTTTGAGCAAGTGGCCTAACCTCTCTGCTCCTTGGTACTCTCATTTGTAAATGGTGCTATTCATAGTAACTGCCTGTAGGATTGTTATTAAGAGTAACTGAATTAATATGTATAAAGTGCATAAGACAGTGGTGCCACATGTGTCATATAAGAGCCTATGAAACAAATCAATAAATATCAGAGTCTGCACAGCGTCTCTCATTCTCCTTTTCAGGAACTGCTTGAATTTCTAAATCTTGAAGTGCTCACAACGGAAATAATCTTCTGCCCCGATATGGTTTGACTGTGTCCTCACCCAAATCTCATCTTAAATTGTAGCTCCCATAATCCCCATATGTCCTGGGAGGGACCCAGTGGGAGGTAATTGAATCAATGGGGCAGGTTTTTCCATGCTATTCTCATGATAGTGAATAAGTCTCATTAGATCTAATGGTTTTATAAAGGGCAGTTCCCCTGCAGACACTGTCTTGCCTGACACCATGTAAGATGTACCTTTGCTCCTCCTTCACCATCTGCCATGATTGTGAGGCCTCCCCAGTCACGTGGAACTGTAAGTCCATTAAATCTCTTTTTCTTTATAAATTACCCAGTCTTGGGTATTTCTTCGTAGCAGTATAGAAATGGACTAATACATGCCCCTTCCCCAAAGACTTGATGTACCGTCTCAGACCACAGCTGCAAGATAAACCCCATGTGAACAAGAACAGTGTACTTGTTACAGTGGCCCCTGTGCCCAAGGTCTGTGCAAAACTTTCAGATGCTTCTTGTGAAAATGGCCAAATGAGACAGAGCCTATGCAGAAGCCACCTCTATCTCACAATAAAATTCCAGACTGTTGGACTTTAAGCTCCTGTCTCTTTCTCAGCTAGACTGTGGGACTAATAAAGACCTTGACCTTCTTAGATAAGGAGCAGCCATCCAGATGTATTTTTGGTTCTGGGTTAGCTGTTCTAAGAAAAAAACCCTGGTAGACGGTGAACTAAAGTATATAGAATTTCTGAAAGGCAGACAACAAAACACTGACAGGAAAAATATTGCTGCCTCCCACAGGCACTGCAATGGAACAAGGGTTTGTTTAGCCTGGGGGTATTTTCCTCTCTTTTCTTTGTTGTGAAACAATAGGAAAGAAACCACTGGAGGAAGGAAATCTTCCAGAGGTGGAACAACAACCCATTTTTATCTCCAAATCCTGGGCCACAATTCCCACTCCCTCCCTCTCTCGCCTGCCCCAAGGTAAAAATTGGGTGCAACATCAAAAAAAGTAGCAGAGAAAGATTGCCAGGGCTGCGGAAATAAAGAGAAGATTTTAACCAAGAATTCTTCTTTATGGACTTTTATGACATTGGGGAACTCCCCACCCTCTGGTGGCCACATGCCCCTTTGCTCATAGTGGGGTGAGCTCTGCAGACAAGAGAGCAGCTCAGAATATTTATGTGGTTGCTCCAGCCAGCCAGGAGAGGAAGGACAAGAGAGGATGACCACTGGGAAAATGGCAGAAAGGCAACTAGAATTCTTCTGCCTTTTGAGCCAGATATAAATTAGGGAAGCCCCAAAGCCCTCTTAATCCTGCTTCTGATCGGACATCAAGGCCATACATAAACTGCATTCAATCACAAGTGACACAGTTAAAATAACACTACAGGTCTGGTTAAACCTCCAGGAGCTGGAGGATTTAAGAGTTAAGATTCCAAAAGCAAGAGGCTATTGTTCCAAGCACCCTTGAATTTGTGACTGCAGCAAGAATTTCAGCAAAGGTTGATCTTGGAAATTGCAATCTGGGCCTGTGCTAGTCAGCTGTTTCCTCACATCTCACAGGAAAGACTTGGTATGGTCCTCTCTTGTATTGGGAAATAAGTCCCTGACCCAGGCGCCATATGCACCAAGGCCCTGAGCATGTGTTAAGAGTGGAGCATGTGTTAAGAGTGGAGCATCTTCACTGGAAAAAAATCTTCCTTCCTTTAGTGGTGTTGTGGGTTGAATTGTGTTCCTCCAAAAGTAGGATGAACTCTCATCCAAGATGACTGGTGATATGCTTTGGCTCTGTGTCCCCACCCAAATCTCATGTCAAATTGTAATTCCCAATGTTGGGGGAGGGACCTGGTGGGAGGTGATTGGATCATGGGGACAGATTTCCCCTTGCTGTTCTCAAGATAGTGAGTGAGTTCTCAAGAGACCCTGGCAATTTGAAAGTGTTTGGCACTTCCTCTTTCACTCTCTCTCTCTCTCCTGCTCCACCATGTGAAGACTGTACCTGCTTCCCCTTTGCCTTCCACCACGATTGTAAGTTTTCTGAGGCCTCCTAGCCATGCTTCCTGTACAGCCTGCAGAGCTGTGAGACAAATAAACCTCTTTTCTTCATATATTATCCAGTCTCAGGTAGTTCTTTATAGCAATATGAGAATGGACTAATACAATGGGTGTCCTTATATGAAGAGGAAAATTTGGTCACAGACAGAGGAAAGACAGACAACTGAAGACAGAAGCAGAAGTTAGAGTTATGTTGCCACAAAGCCAAGAAATGCCTGGGGCTACCAGAAGCTGAAAGAGACAAGACAGTATCATCCCTAGGGCTTTCGAGGGAGCACAGCCCTCGAACGGGAGGTCCTATTCCTGGGATGATCAGGAGTGGATTCCCACAGGAGGTAACATTTTGTGAAATAATGAGTCAAAATTTGTCAAATAGAAATAACAGTCAGATAGAATGGCATGTACAAAGTCATAGGGGTATGAAACAGCCTGGTGTTTTAGGGAACTCCAGGTCACATAGTATGGCTGTAACAGGATGGACACACACCTTGATGGGAAACCTTGGTTTCGGACTTCTGGCCTCCAGAACTGGGAGAGAATACATTTCTGTTGTTTGAAGCTGCCCAGTTTGTGGTGCTTTATTACAGCAGGCCTAGGAGACTAATAGAATTGGCTTTAACCCTTTCCTCAGCTTACTTGCCTCCTGTCTCCATCTCTAATGACCACAAACCATCAGAGGTGCAGAACTCAAGCAGAAAACCCCCAAAGAGCAAGCTTGGCCTATTAGCATTGAGCAGCAAGAGAGGGGAGAATATAACGTCCTCCTTCCTGATGCCAAATGCTGCCAAACCAAGGCCAGTCTGTCTTCCTGGTCAAATTCCACAGTGGCTGAAACAACTTCCCTGCAGGTCACAGTGACCACAAATTCTGAACCAAGGGTTCCACCCAGGCGATTTCTCCCTCTGTCCCCCACTAGGCCTTAGCCTAAGCCAGCACAGCATTTTAAAGTGAGGGCTTAATCCTCCAGGGCTTAGCAGCCCAGCCTAGCATCTGAGGCCCAGAAGCCACAGTGAAGGAAGGGGAAGCAGGAGGCAGGAAGAGGGGGCCCAGGGCTCCTGTTTTCTCTCATGCTGGCTACACGGCTGCTACGGTGTAGAAGAGAGATTAAAACAAAGCTTGCTGCAGTTGGGGAGTTAAATATTACAAACATTTTAAACAACCCAACTGGACCTCCTAATTGTGTGGCAAAGGCTGCAAGATGTAAAGTTGGGAGTCTTGGCTCAAATGAAAGCCTCTCTCTGAATAACAATTTATTTTAATTTGCGATTTCTCATACTGTCCATATGGTGGGTCTTCATGGGAAAGCAAATGTCTCGCAGTTGACGGGGACATCTGAAGTGTGGTTTTTTGGCGTACAGGGGGATTTTTTTTTTTTCCATTTAAGTCAGTGGCTTGATTGAGAAGCAGAGTTTGAAAACATTTCTCTAATGTTTCCAGCATTTTTACAACTGGAAATTTATCATCTACTCATGGAAGTTACAAACTGAAAACCGTTTCTCAACCAAATTGCCACACTTTTAGGCCAACACCAGTTTGTAATAGTGGAGTTCAGTGGGCATTGATTTGAAAACAGAAAATCCTATTTGGATGCCTTTTTTTAAACAACAACCCAGAAAGCATGTGAAGAATGTTATGACCTAAAGTAGGAGCTGCTTTGCTTAAGTGTCCCAGGCAAATGTTGTGTAGCAACTTCTAGAATAATCTACAATACATCTCTGGGAGAGCGTCAGGATTTCCAGCCAACTCTGGGTAGGATGCTGGTTCCACCACAGATATGGTGACAGTCTTTACTCTTAGAGAGTCTTCAAACCACATGCTAGGCCCCAGGGGTGTGATGGGGAAAAGAAACTTGTTTGTTCTCTTTTCACCTTTCTCCTCTCAGGCTTCTCACCAGCTGCTCCTCTGAGGGAGAGAAAGGAGATTCTAACAGAATCTCAATTTTTCCCAAACTTATGGCTCTGCAGGGAGAAGGGGAATAGGTGAGGTATCATGAAGTCACTAAGCACGCTGATAAAGTCACATTCTTCTACAGAAACCTCAATACTCAAATGCCACATCCTCTGAGAGGTTCTCCCTGACTGTGGCATCAAAGAAAGCATCCCTGAATAAATGAATGAAATCTTCAGAGGCTCCCTTTTACCCACATTTCTAGAATTTACTCCTCTGTGGGTTTCAAAGTTCCCTTCCATTTTGCCCCTACCTCTTCCCCATATCTTTTTGCCTTTTACTACCGTCTTTGTCATCACCCTCACACCAGCTAAAAAAATTTACTGACTTTCTTTATTAGTGATCCCTGATTGTTATTTGTTGGTTGGTTGGGTTTTTGGGTTTTATTTTGTTTGTTTTTTGCTTAAGCTGCTCCCCTGGTCACCTGGGCATTCTGAACTTTTCCTTTTCACATCTTCCCCAGAAAAGCATTTCCTATATGTTTAGCCAAGATTAGGTGCTTATAAGGCACCCAGAACAAGTATATTCATAAAACATCCACTCTTCTTACAATACACTAATAATCCAGTTGAGCAGCTAAGACTAATTGTGGCTTGAAAAAATTATGAACAAGTAAGACAATTATTCAATTAACTGCAAAATTGGGAAGTTAGAAACCATAAAATCTCCAAGCACCAAGGGCTGGTGGAGTCCAGGAAAACACCAAAGAGAAGCAGCAGGCTTTGGGCTATCCCTGACTGATACATAGGGTTCAACTAGAGCAGGCTCTCTCACCTTAGACACTAGTGACATTCGGGGCAGATACTTCTTTGTTGTGAGGGCTGTTCCTGTGCATTGTAGGATACTTAGCAGCACCCCGGTCTCTACCCACTAGATATCAGTAACAACCCCTCCCGAGTTGTCATGACCAAGAATGTCCCCAGACATTGCCAAATGTCCCCTGGGCCAGGGGGGAAGTTGCCCCCAGCTGGAAACCATTCAACTAGATGGAGGAAGAAAAAGGACATCAGAACTTAGAGAGTGCTGAGAAGGACTTGCTCACTTCACTCAGAATCCTAACTAGGTCCACAATGCATCCAGTTACAAATCTGATTTATTTAGAGTGTGCTAGGGAGCTTTCTATGTATGCTTTGTACATGTTCTATTAAGCCTATACCCTGCATTAAATTGGGATTGAAATTGATGTGGTTTCCAAATGCTTTAGTCATAGAACCCTTTGTTCCAAAGAAATCTTATCCAGAAGCACAAATACTAAGGACATAAGCAGAGTGGTTTTGGTTGAAGCTTGAATAGAGAACCTTCACCTCCCAATATGCATCCCAGCCCTGCCCAATGGTCTAATAGCACAGCAATTCCTGGTGTGTTTCATTGTATCGTAACCACGAGAGAGGCAAAGGTGACATCTCACTCTACCATACTAACTGTAATATTGTGGTACCAGAAAAGGAGCAATGGATTAGGAGTTGCAAAACCTGGAACATTTTACTAACTGCCCGTGTGACTCTGGGCATCTTCCTTAACTTCTCTGAACTTGTGTTTCTTCATTATAATCTTTAAGACCCCTTTCAGCTTCAAAATGTTATGAATAAATAAGTACAACTGTATCACATTATCTGTGGGCCCAGGATGATGATGCTGATGATTATAGACAAGCGGATTATTTGTAATGTCCCCTAAAATTCCCTTTTAGGGGCAAAGGGGAATGGGAAAGTGACTGTGATCTCTCAAATTCTCTTTGACTAGCACTTTGGCTCTTGCTTGATTTATTCATGCTTGAAATTCACTCATGCACAGTCTGGCTGGCCTTTCTTCAAACGATCATGCTAAATGGGGTCACAAGTGGAGGTGAAAATGAATATTTTAAAAATTCAGAATGAAAGTGAAAAATCTGGGACACTTGCCAAATCCATGAAGTTAGAATAAGACTCTTAAAAATGAAATGCAATAGATTATGTTATGAACCAGCAAAATCCCAGAATGAAAGTCTAAACATAGCAATAACAAGAAGCACATAAGTTGCGGAGCCTGGAATCATCTCTCTCCAACCTCAGGGGCCCCACTAGCCAGCTCTCAGAATGAGAGGGTCTCACACAACAAGCAGAGGCAGAAGAGACAGAACCTTCTCATCCCCTGCCTTGGAATGACTTTCTGTCTTCTCTTACTGCTGCGCAAGAGATGAATGGGAATGTGTGTCTTTACTTTCTGTTTTTGCTCCTTCTTTGTAAAAGAAGAAATTTAAGCCTCCCTGCAACTATCTAATACCACAGGGAAATAGCACAAAACCACAGTGACCAAACAATGATGCTAAAATCCACAGCTATGTTTCTATTCAGATATGATACCGTATTAACAAATTCCCTATTCAGGGAGTGCTTCTGCTCTCTTTTATTTTAAACATAAATGAGATGTTATGCTAGTCACAGATAAATGATGATTTTAAAATTGGAATGTAAAAATGTTTTCCAATTATCCAGCAACCTGATTCTTAGGAGAACATGACAGACACAAGAACTACTTTAGAAGTTTAAAAAAAAAATGCCAGTAGTGTATGTGTGTCAGGGGTGGGGGGACAGTGGGACCTCTGTGGTCAGTGAGGACAACTCAAAGTTCTCCAAAGCTATTTAATATTGATAACTGTCAGGAGAATGGAAAAGTTTCTTTCACGGAGTTGCTTTTTCCAGAAATGATTTCTCCTCATACTAGAAGTGCTGAAACTTTACTATTATTGCTAATTCCTTGCATTTTTATTTATTCATTTGAATAAACAAAATGTGGACATAGTGAAAAATATTCAAACAATGCAAGGTGGCATACAGTGAAAATTGAGTCAATCTTCTATGTCAGTCTCCCAGTCCCTCTCCCTGTTACCAGATCCTCATGTTTTTGAAGATATTGATTCTATGCAGTGCACATACATATACTTGTTTATTTACATACATATTTTTGTTATATGTGTTGTTTTATATATGTTATTATAGATATATGCATGTATGTATATACATATAAGAACTCCCTTGTTACCTAAATGATAATGTATCCACCCCTTCTGCACTTTTTTCCCTCTGTTTAATAATATGTAATAAAGATGGCTGCAAATTATTTGCCATTACTGCCATTAACAGTTGAAGTCTATTTCCTCTCCTCTTGAATCTAGGCCTGCATGTGACTTGCTTTGACGAATAATATGTGACAGAAGTGACTCAGTGTAACTTCCAAGGAGGAACTTTCTGAGATTTGCAACTTTCATCTACACAGGCTTGGGATATTCCCTCTTGGAACCCAGATGCTATGCTGTGAGAATCCCAAGGTGTAGGGAGAAGGGATCCAAGGTGCTCTAAACAGTAACCCCAGCCAGCACCAACAGCCAGTTATGTGAGGGAGTCATTTTGTATGTTCCAGCCCAGTTGAGCCTTCAGATGACTTCAGCTCCAGCTGACAGTATCTGGGGCAGAAGAATAGCCCAGCTGAGCCTGGTCAACCCTCAGAATCATCAGAAATAATAAAGGATGGTTGTTGTTGTAAGCCACTAAGTTTGGGGGTAATTATTCCATTTCAATAGAGTATATAAGTCTGCTTCATCCTTTTAAATAATATTTAAAACAATAGCTACCATATATCTATATGCTTACTATGTGCCAGGCATTGTTCTAAGTGTCTTATACATGTTGACTCATTTAGTTCCTACTAACTCTAAACATTTTTATAGAGATATATCATCCTCATTTTACACACGAGGAACTGAACTATAGGGAAGTTACATAACTTGCCCAGTATCCAAGTGAGTAATCAACATGACTGGGATTCGAGCTCAGGCCCTTGACTCCACATACTTTCATATAAAGTACTACCCTATACCACCTCAGAAGCTACTTTATTTAACTGGTCCTCAGTTGGTGGACATACCAGTCATTTCTAATCATTTACCTGTAAAAATAAGGTTACAGTATATCCTTGTACATACTTTTCTGAGCATATGCAAGAAGAAGCCATTCTTTTCCAGAAAGTGGAGGGATGAATAGATTCAATTTATTTTGCTGCACAAGTAAGTGTCAGAAGATATATGTCGGGTACAGAATGCCGGGTGCATCCAACTCCAGTCAAGATAGAGTTCCAGCCCATTTGGCCCTTGGCACTCAGTGCCAAAAACTTCATCAGGGCACATGAGGATCTGGCGACCCCAGAGAGAATATGTATCTTACTTTCGTTTGGGTTCCAAGTGGGGCAAGTAATAAACTAACTTTCCTCAAAGTACCCTGTGCCTTAATGTATATTTTTATAGGAATTCTCAGACACCTGAAAAGGATATTTGGAAAGTAACCTATGAACCTTGACCTGTGGCACATACAATAAATCTGCCACCACAATCACTGCCAGTTCTGAGGAATCAATGGCCATATTTATAAGGCACATATGTAAAACTCCATGGCTGTATATCTCCTCGGAACCCACTCTAACATAAGCACCATTGGAAAGAAGACAGATGGACATAACCTTTTTTGACGACTGACTGGCTTTCTCTAACACCTCTGAAGTTAGACTTCTATCTTCTCCAGGCTGGAGACTGAATGGTGCACACCTGCTGCCATCTCAGCAGCCTCTGGGCCCTACCTTCTGAACTGCCAGAAGGGCCAGAGAACCAGCCCCTTCTGGTTATAGGGAAGGGACTAGAACAGCAGGTTTTTGACATCTGAAAGCTAACGAAATCTGTTTCTATACATTAAAATAGAAAATGAATTAATACGGTGTAGCTCTAAATGCTAATAAGATAATTGTTTAACTATCATATTTAAAGGATATTCACTTAAGAGCCTCACTTCTGTTCCTGCATATGGATTCCTTCCCTAATATACAAAGCCTTGGGGAAAAAAAACATGGCAAGGTATGTTGCCCTTGTCTTTAGGACAGAAGGAAGGGGCTTTACAGTATGTTGTTCAATGCCTTCCTTGAATAGAGAAGTAAACTGAGTTCCAGAGAGGAGAGATGATTTGCTGAAGGTACTCATAGTTGGTACATCAGTTAGCTATAACCGAAATGATGTGTGTAACAAACTACCCCAAACCTCAGTGTCTTAAAACATTCACTCTTCTCTGGGTAGGAATTGATTGATTTAGACCAGACTCAGGTGGGCTCAGTACCAAGCTGCTGGTTGATTTCTGGTCTTTTCCATGAGTTTCTCACCCCTTAGACCAGCGGGCTAAGCTAGTCAGAGTGTTGTTGCTTTTTTTCCTCATGGAGAATGTAAGATGTGCAGAACAAACCTAATCACATAAGCATATTTCACACCTCCATTTGCAGTATGTCTGGTAACAGTTTATTGGCCAAAGCAAGTGACATGGCCAACTCCAACATCCACAGGGATGTATTCTCTGCTTCTAGTGGTAGGAACTACAAAGACACACAGAAAAGGGCATGAATGCACGGAGGGGTGAAGAATTGGAGCTATGAAGAAATCTACTACGGGTGGTGAGTGACTGAGTGAGAATCAGAACCCACAGCTCTTGACTCCCAGCTGAGTTCCACAGTTCTGTTTGTAAATAGTTTTTGTTTCTCTGTCTTAGGAGCTGTTTCTTTAAGCTAATGAAGGGTTTGTAAAGTTCCAAATAGAAGTGGGGGGCCAGCAGTGAGAAAAAGTAAAGATGGTTCCACTCTCTAGGATAAAGCCAACGGAGACACTGGGCAATTCCTTTTCCATCTTCTTGGATGCAGAGTCCAAGGCAAGCAGCCAACTTTGTATCCATTTCTGGTAGTACTTAGCTCTGTGCGCAGTGAGTTGGGCTCCCTAATAGCTGGGAGTGATGGGCTGTGAGTTCTGATTCTCACTTGGTCACTCACCAACTGTAGTAGATTTCTTCATAGCTCCAATTCTTCACCCCTACGTGCATTCATGCCCTTTTCCGTGTGTCTTTGTAGTTCCTACCACTAGAAGCAGAGAATACATCCCTGTTGATGTTGGAGTTGGCCATGTGACTTGCTTTGGCCAATAAACTGTTAGCAGGCATATTGCAAATGGAGGTGTGAAATATGCTTGTGTGATTAGGCTTGTTTTCCTGCACATCTTATGAACTGTGTAGACAGTATGGGCTCCAGAATCAGACAGAAATGAGTGTGCACCTGAGCCACCACTGCCTAGTTGTATGACTTAGGACAAGTCACTCTGTCTCTCTGAGCCTCAGGTTCCTTCCATACATCATCATCTATGTTCTTTCCTCTTCCAGCCTAATGCAGACAAGCTCAGTGACTTTGAAAGTCATTCTAAGGAAACATAAAGAAGCTTGCATTCCTGAAGCCCTGCTTGGAATACCCAGTTTTAACTTTATACGGGCAAGTGTTCCATTGTGTGTGAGTCATCATGCCCATCTGGTTTTTTCTTGTTGCAGCATCTACCATCGCCCTAACTGATGCAGTCTTATTATTTTCCCTGCTTTGTACTGATGAGGAACCTGTGGCTTAGGTTAAATAACTTGCCCAATGTCATACAGCTATTAAGTGGTGGCTCTCAGTTATGCATCCAAATAGTCTGGCTCCAGAGCACCTGATCTTAATCACCACACTCTTCTGATTCTCATTAATAATAGTGTCAGTCTCACGGGTTGGATGTATGGAATAAATGAGCTAACATTTATCAAGTCCTCAGCACAATATCTGCCATATAGAATCACACAGTAAGTACAGGCTGTGGATGGAATATGATGTTCCCAGGTAATATGTAATGTAAGATATGTTCCCTTGAGGTCGGGAATAGAATGACAGGAAGCCTCAGAAACACTTCCAATAAATATTTTCTGTTGAGAGTATTTTAGATGATACCAACATAATTTCATTTGATCTTCACAGTCAACCTGTAAGGTGTGTCAAGGGTGTCTCATTGCCCCTAAACCACGGACACAGGTTCTGAGGCTCAGGGGAGATTCACATGGTCAGTGGCAGAGCCTAGATTAGAACCAGTATCTCCCAGTTCCCACTCTCAGGTTCTTAGTCCTAAAAGGACTTGAATCAAGGAACCAGGCCAGGGTGAACCAACATTGTTATGCTCTATCTGTCCAATAGAAATACACAAGCCACAACTGTGAGCCTCATATGCAATTGCACATTTTCTAGTAGCCTCATTTTTAAAAAGCAGGTATCAGGTGAAATTAACTTTAACAATATACTTCATTTAACCCCAAATATTTTAATTTCAACGTGTAATTAATATAAAAAATTTTAGTGAGATACTTTTTTTACTAAGCTTTCAAAGCTGGTATGTATTTTATACTTAGAGCACATCTCAATTTGGACTGGCCGCATTTCAAGTAATAAGCCACAGTGGCCAGTGGCACAGGTCTAGAACAAATTCCTTTCCTGAAATTTTCTTAGGAGGAAGCCCTAGGAAGGCTCCTAAGGAAAATTGTAAAACATACTCTTCGCCCTTTGCTCTTTGAAAGTCTAGTCATATGCCTTTAAATTGGAAATACTGTCTAGGACAGAGCAGTTTGTTTTAGAGCAAGAAAACTTGCCTAAGTTTCAAAGATTGGAAATGTGTTTAGCATTAGGGACCCCTAGATATGGAGTGGTCTCCTTATCTAACCAGAAAATTTGCAGAATTCACATTGGAGAATGATGGCAGGGCAGGATGACTTACATAAATATCAGTTTAGGTGATTTTAATGAATAACGCAGATGAGAGAGAAGCAGAGAAATATACTAAAAACAGAGTCATACAAGGCTTTTACTATGTATTTAGTGTATTCCCACATTCTGTCTACCACCTTTTCTCAGCCACTTTTGGAAATGCACAATTACGCATGAGTTTCTTATATGCCAATAACAGCAGGTGGGAATCACTGTTTTTTGGAGTCAATAAGGAAGCCTTAAGGGGGGTACCCATTATGGAGTTCTGCTTCTCACATTTTCATTTTAAGTATCTGCTAGAATTTATAGTTAAAATAGTCTTGGTTTACTGTGTTTATATGGATATCAAGAAAATAAAAGGCTCAGCTTCAAAGCCCCTTTTGGGGCCACATGACTCACAAGGTCTCTATCTGAGTCATAGCACTGAATTCTCCCAATGTCTGATTTGAAGTTCTTAGACTATGCCTTTACCACCATGCCCCATTTATCCAGCATGGTTGAGGATGAGGCTGTCCATGTATGTGAATTATCCAAAATAACTGAAATATACCGATCAGTTCCAAAATATATATAAGCATTTTAATGGAAATCTTTCTAAAATACAGCCTGCATCTCCCTTTTTTAAAAAAAAATACTTAGAACATATTTAATTCTTACTTCATGATTTAAAGTCATTGTGAACATCCATTTAGACAGGTATGTTCAGAGATTATTGAGTCATATAGCATCCTGAGCACATTTAGTTATTGCAATGTGATAGGTTTGATTGTACATAAGCATTTTGAAAGCATTTCAATTGTTCCGGTCACCTAATGAAGTAGGCATACCCCATTTTGCAGATAAGAAAATTGAGGAATTGAGAAGTGAAAAGACTTATCCATCAAGACTCCAGCTATCACATTTCTACATAGTTCTGGACAAGGATGTATTAATTCTTGTAGCTCTTTTTTTTTTCTTTTCATAACTTAGGCTCCTGCTTTTTGCTAATTTGTGTACATTATTTCTCCTAAGCTCCTGATTTATTTTGCACCTAATTATTTCAGAACAAGCTTGAGGATTTCTCCTCCTCTTCCAGAACCCTGTGACAGCTTTTTGACACTTGAAGGATATTTTCACACACTTGTAGGTCGGCAGTTCTGCTCTGAACATTGAGGCTGTGAAAAATCCTATCACTCACGGGTGGCCCTAAACTCTCTCTCTTCACAGAAGACTCATTTGAACTGAAATATTTCAAGAAATGAAATTTGACCAGAAAGGGTAAAATACCTGACAAAGTGGCAAATAAATGTGTCAGACTAATGGGTTCAGCACCCACATCCAATGACTCAGGCAGCCACACATGCAATGACAAAGCCATAGAAGGAGAATCCTACTGCCTGTCAGCCACTGAGCCACAGGGTGGAACTATGCCAGTAGTACCCATAGGCTGGAGCCCATTCTCCAAGTTTTGATGCTTGTGTTTTCTCTTTATTGAATGAGTTCATTTTGACTTTAGTGATATGGGTTTTTTTCCATATACTACTCTAGAACATACATTAAAAGGTCTGAGCCTGAGGCTTCTGAATTAATCTAACTGAAAATCAGAGATACCCATGCCTTTCCACAATGTATCATCCTCTATGTCAGAAAAAAAAAAAAGCTGATGATACAGCCTTTCATAGAGATGTGCTCCACTGTCATCTCTGAGATTTTCTTCCAAGCCACTGATGCCCATTCTCCAAGTTTTGATGCTTGTGTTTTCTAGATTTTTACCTGAAGGAGACACTGAAAGTTTTCAGCTCAAGTTTGCACATGCACAGACAATGCCCACTGCCTGGCTGATGACAATACTAAGGTACCATCCACCAGATCAGGATGTATCCTGATTTCAGAGGTGTTAAAATGTAGGGGGGAAAAAACTATCTCCTGGATAGTTGATTGATGGATTCAGTAAGTCTGGAATATTTATATCCCTATAGGCTTGTTGTCAATATCTCATTAGAGGAATAAGAGGTATATTTTGCCTTAAAAGTAATAACTAGGTATGATTGGACATGTTTCATGAGGTCTACGTTTGTTTCTTTTATCTCTTTGAAAGCATGTTGAAGCAAGCCTGAGAATTATGTCTTCTCTTGGGAGTAATGAGAAACACGATTCAAACTTGAGGAACTTTACCCCTAAATCACTAAGTAATGCCACCACCATCACACTGTGACATAGCATTTTTCATCTAATTTTACTGTCAGTAGGTATTGCTCTCTCTCATTTTGCCAGGATTCAGCAACACTCTGAATATTTCTGAGATGTGGTGAAAGAAGAAACTGATATTTTAAAACAGCCTATTTTTAAAAGATAGCCTGTGCATCCTCACAAAGTGTTTTCTGAGAACCCAAACTTTGTGATCCCAATATAAAGGCACAGTAACAATTAAAGGTTCAGGGAGGAGGGCTCTGGGCACACAGAAAACATTTTTTCAGTCGAAGTTCCATAAAAATTTATGTCACGTGACCTTGAGACTGTGCATCTGACACCAAACCTTAGCTAAGAGCAAACTGTTTTTCAAGTATCTGGAGCCAGGCTCCCAATAAATATCGAATTGAGTTTTGACTTGTCATTAAACTTTAAAATGATCAGGCTTCTCTCATGGGTATACATGCTTCGTCTTCTGCAAAGAACAAACTGGAAGCACGGGGTGCATAGTAGAGGATGCAGGAAATGAAAGGATCCAATGGTAAACCAAGAACACGCCCTCTCCCTACTGCAAAGGGAGACTATGTTAGTGGGCTGTCGAACTGAACAGCTGATTTAAAGGGATACGAAAGGCTTTAAAGCAAACTCAGACCAGATTTTCCCAGAGCACACATGGTTAATCTTCACTCAGGGATAGAAACTGGGGCAAGGTAGACAGGAGGATCTGCCTCGCCTTTGAAGTGCTGCAGAGCCCAGTATATTACAGTCAGAAGCAAGCACCCCTTCCTTCAGGTGCTGATTGGAGTTTATTAGCTGTGATTTTTATGAGATACTGAAAGAAGCTGAAATACTGCTGCGCAGCCACAGAAATGTGTAGTGTGGGAGCCAAGAGTCATTACCAGTTGCTGAGAAGTTGACAATGGAGTCTTCCTGAAAGATTCTTGCAGTCTGTGTCAAACATTAACATAGAAGCCTTTGTTTTTCTTTTCTAACTAAAAAGCTCTGCCCATATAAGTCAGGAATTATTGCCTGAGATATTGTACATTATCCTTCCCGAGCAGGTTCACAGCTTCCAAAATACCATCAGGAAAAGATGCCATCTAAGGAGGCAGGTTTTAGGGGCATATTTTCTGTCCACTGTGGAAAGAAGGGAGTAGGAGTTTCATGACAAAGAAGATTCATTTTGTCCCATATGCCGTGGACTGAATATCTAATAAGGGAAATCAACCACTTACAGTCTTGGAAGTTTGGAGCCCATGAATCGATTTTGCATCTATTCCCCTTTCTCAACAAGGGCATTTGTATCACAGGTCACATGACAAAGTAGGTCTTTGGATTTCATTCCTAAACACTATTAGGAATGACCTGCAGAGAGTGAACAATGATCATATCATACCCTTTGACACAAACCTAAAATTCACTTCCTCAGGAAAGGAAGGTGTGGGCTTTGGAGTATAACAGACCCAGATTTGAATGCTGTCTCTGCCTCACACTGACTATACTATAGCAATAGTTCTCAAGTGTGGTGGGGCCATGTCAATCAGTTAGTTATAGCTGCATTACAAACCACTCCAAAGCTCAGTGGCTTACAACAATCATTTACTAGCACTCAGACATCTGCAGAGGGACTGGGATGCAACTCTTCTAGGTGGGTCTGCCTCAGGCTGCAATGACTGGGGAGGTGGGCTTGCCACTGCAGATCTATGAGTCATCTGAGGTGGCTCTGTTCCACATCTGTCACTTCCTTTAACCAACAGGCTAGCCAGGATGGATTCTCCACAGATCATTGGCAGAGGAGCGAGAGAACGCGTGGAAACCTGTGGGGCCTCATAAGGCTTAGACTCAGAGCTGACTCACATCACTCCTGTTGGCATTCCATTGGCCATGAGAAGCCACACGTGGCTAAGCCCAAGGTTAAGAGGCCTTCAGAAGAACTACAAAGTCACATGATAAAAGATGCAGATACAGGGGAAGATGAAGACTTGGGGCCAAGAAAGGAAGATAGGAATCTTCCCTGAAGGCCAATCTTCCACTTATTACTCTCCTTTTTTTCAGAATTATCTTATTTTTACTCATTTACTTTTCCACATAAAATTTTAAATTATTGTATTAAATTATCAATAATGTCTCATGGGAATTTTGATTGGGATTGTGTTGAAGATATCAATTAATCTGGGTAGAATCATTATTACTGTTTGTAATATTAAGTCTTTCCATCCAAGAATATCCTATGTCTTCATGATTCATTCAAGTGTGATTTTATATCCACAGTAAAATTGTGTGGTTTAATTCAAATAGGTCTTATATTTTATGAATAAGAATATTTCCAGGTATGGACCAAGTGACTTTACGCTCCTTTCTGGCCATAGAAATTAGTTTCTCGCCATTGAGTTTTTAATATGACCACTACTCAGTGTTTAAAACTCATTGTCTCTCATAACCATTCTAGATGATGAAACTTAGGTTTGTTCTCTTTGAGATGTACACAAACAAATAAGCTTTCTTTATTCAATTGACTACTATCTACTTAACACGAACCAACAATCACCCCATATTAAAAATAGGGATGATGTGAAATTTTAGTTTAATAATACCTTATTTATAGAACTTAGAGTTTACAAAGCACTTTCCATATAGTATCTAATATGTTTCTCATTACAACCCTACAAATGAGACCAAGTGGCTAAATATCTCAGTTTTTCAGGTAGAGGCAGTGAGGTGCAGAGGAATTAAATGATCCCCCCGGGGTCTCCAAGACAGTGATAAAGAGCTTGCTGTTTTGGCTTATAGTCCTATTCTTATCCCTTTACTCCTAGCCTTCATTGAATTCCTCCTTGCCCTTTAATCCTTGGCAGCTGACTCTCCCACTTTGAGGACCTCTCAGAATCTAGGATAAAACCCAACCCTTAGAGCAGGCCTGCACTTTCGGTGTACATGTAGAATTGTGTGGCTCTGAAGCAATTCTTGCTGCGTGTCTGAAAAGGAGACAATGAGTTCCAAGGGAAAGAACTTAGACTTTGGAGCCAGACAGACCTGTTTTGAAATCCTCCTAGTCTACTTGCTACTTAGAAGCTTTGAGACCTTGGGCAAATTGCATTAGCATTTGAACCACAGTTTCTTTATTTTTAAAATGGAATGAAAATACCTACCTTGCAAGAATATAATAAGAAAAGAGTTTATATAAATAAAGCACCCACCAGGCAAGGGGCATTTAGCAATTGTTGTAATGTGGCACAGTAACCGAGTCCATATACACATGGGTATTACCCAGGAATCTCAGTGGCGGGTTTTTTTCAGGGTTTTTTTTTTTTTTTAAGATGAATTTTCCCTCTGTCATTCAGGCTGGAGTGCAGTTGCACAATCACAGCTCACTGCAGCCTTGACTTCCCAGGCTCAAGTGATGCTCCCACCTCAGCCTCCTGAGTAGCTGGGACTATACACATGAACCACCACACCTGGCTAATTTTTTAAAATTTTTTGTAGAGGCAGGATCTTGCCATGTTGCCTAGGCTGGTCTCAAAACCCTGGGCTCAAGTGATCCTCTCACTTCAGCCTCCCAAAGTGCTGGGATTACAGGTGTAAGCCACTGTGCTTGGCCTGTTTTTTTCTTCTTTAAAAGATTTGCACCTTATAGGCCCTAAAGAAAGAAATCTGGACTGTCTCAGATGGTATGGGGAAAAAATGGATTTGCAATGAAATATACTAATCAGGACTCTGAAAAGTTTGCCAGCTTTTCCAAATTCATTTGACTTCAGTTCATTCTTTTCCTGTCCAAAAATTTCATATAAAACAAAATATATATATGCATTTTGCAGACATTACCATGTAATGACAGAATCTTACAATTCTCTCCAATGCTTGACTGTCTTAGATAATGTGATATGCTCCACAGAGAATAGGAGAGCCCATAGGGACAATCGCACCACCATGAGTGGAAGTCTGGACAGAAACAGTTGGGGGTTTCATTGATGTTTGCCTCAAGTCACCTAGTGAGTATGCCGCTACAAAACCTGTTCTTGTAAAGCATGTACCCCCGACCCACCTCATCTCCACAATGCCTTTCTCTTTGCCTGTGTCTACCCAGAAAAAAACCAGGCCAGCAATCTAACTGGCTGCCAAACAGATAAAACATGCACAAGAATGGATGAGTTTTTGGTTGTTACAGTTGGCCAGACACTTCGATATCATGCTGGTGCTGCTTATATCTATATCAGCACTGTCCAAAAAGAAATATATGATGTGAGCCACAAGGAGAATTCAAAATTTTCAAATAACCATGTTATAAAAGGTAAAAAGGAACAAATAAAATTAATCTTAGTGACATATTTTCTTTAACCCAATAGATCTAAAATAGTATCATTTCAACATGTAATCAATATTGATAAATTATTGATGAACTATTATTTTACATTCTTTTCTTCGTACTAAGCCTTTGAAATCCAGCATTTGTTTTACTCTCACAACACATCTCAGTTAGGATTAGCTGTCACATTTCATGTGCTCAATAGCCATATGTGGCTAGTGGCTGCCACATTGGACAGCACACCACCAAATTGTTCATCCCTGCAGAGAGCAAGGTGACACGTAGCATTCATCCAGCCTCCTGTCATAAAGATTCTATACCAAGGTAAACAAGAGTCCAGAACTTCAGCTAGTTTTTTGGACACATAGAACTATCACTTTTTGGTTTTTGTTTGCTTGTTTGAAGAGGGGTGGGGAGAAACCCTAGCTTTCTCAAACTGAAAGTGTGCTATTCCAACATGTTTTTGGATTTTTTATTCTTGCGATGGATTTTTCCCCCATTTGGAAAAAAAAAATTTAATTTAGGGGACAGAATGAGTGTGACACATCTACACATTTTCAACCTACTTAGGTTTGTTCGTATGTCTGAAAAATCCCAACTATTTCCATGACAACAGACATTATAATGACATATACTTCTTGACAGGAAGTGGATTCATAAGCCTTGGATTTATTGCCTATGTATCATTTTTTAGAAATGCATCAGAACGAGACAGGCATACCACACTTTTATGAAATAATTCAAATAGTTGGCTGTCAGTAGAATCAGGCTCTTTGTAAAATACCATGCTTTATATTCATAACACTACTGTCCCACTAACTGTTTCTCACACACAGTGGATTTTGACAAATGAGTAGCAGATATCTGTCACAAATCACATGCCATTTCTCACCTTTACATTGTAGTGGTTTTACCGAATCACTTGTGTCTGGGGCCAGGCAACATAAGTTGCATAGAACTAAAGCAGTCAGTAAAACACCTTGATCAGATAGCCCCCTGCAGGTCACCCATGTACCGTTGTAGAGGTTGTTTACCACGCGAGGGTGGGTGCCTGGTCGATGGGGAAGGAGGGTCTGAAATCCAGCTCTGTAGTCTGCATACCAAGCCATGCACCCTGATACAGGGCTGCTCTGTCTGGAGCAAGCCATGCCTTTTTCTAATTCACACAGA
This sequence comes from Homo sapiens, assembly GCF_000001405.40. Taxonomy (NCBI): domain Eukaryota; kingdom Metazoa; phylum Chordata; class Mammalia; order Primates; family Hominidae; genus Homo; species Homo sapiens. Next base: position 18,048,134 of record NC_000023.11, read on the forward strand.
GACAGCATATGGACTAGGGGCAGCCCTAGCCACTTACCTTGGCCACCTTAGTGGCCTGTTTGGTAAATATAAGAAGTAAGGCATGGAGAAGTCAGAAACATGCAGGTTACTTCCTGCAAAGAAAAATAGGAGGAAATGCTTTTCATATAAATATTTTGAGATGTAAATGAGGAATTGGTTCATAGGAAAGTAAAAATATCATTAAAGTAAGAATCCGTAAGTAGGGCCAGTCCCCCAGCAAAGCAGAAATCCTTTCTGCAGAATCCTTTCCGCAGACTGCCTTGGACACAGTGTTGGGGGAGCACTGTGGGGAAGGAAGCCTTATCTCCTATTTCTGATTGTTGCCCCTTCCCCAGAACATCACTAGAGGGACTTTACCTGTATTTATCACTGTGAAAATGGTGTCTGGCATATAGTAAAGGTTCAGTAAACATTCGTCAGTCAAATAGGCTCTCGTTTCTTAGTGAGGCAGCTTGTGCCATCTGTGTACAGCTGTAAGTGTTCATATCATTAATATTTTAAGGTGCAATCATTGTATTACCATTATTTTTTACAAGAACCCTTATCTTTTAGAGATACATATTTGTAGATGAAGTGATATAATGTCTTGGATTGCTTCAAAATAGTTCAGGAGGCTAGAAGAGGGTGGGAACTGAGATGAAATGAGATTGGCCATGAGTTGCAAATTGCTGAGACTCAGCAATGGGAACATCAGGGTTAGTTATACTATTCTCTCTACTCTTGCTTGAAATTGTCTGTAATAAAAAATAACCATAAAAGAACATATTATTCATTCAGCAGACATATATTGAGCACCTAATATGTACAAGGTGCTAGAGATTTAGGGTGAACATGATAGACAAGTTTTCTGCCCACATGGGACTTATATTTGGATTAAAAAGTCAGATAATTAATAAAAAAATAAATAAATAAATGAAGTAATTATAACTGGTGATTCACGATACAACTAAAATAGGTGGGCACCATGAGAGAAAATAAGTGATGAGTTGTGGATGTTAATTTAGAGTGAGCAGTCAAAGAAGGCCTCCATGTGGAGGTGATGTTGAAGCTGAGCCCAGAACAAGATGGAGCTAGCAATGCAAAAGCTAAATAAGAAACTTCCAGGCAGAGGAAACATAAAGTGCAAAGGCCATGTGGCTGAAAAGAGCCTGGTGTGTTTTAAGCACTCTTAGAATGGTGAGCATGCCTAGAACTCAGAGAGGTAGGAAAGAATGGCATGAAATTTGATTGAAGCAGCAAATTGGGGCCAAACCCTGTAGGGCCTTGTGAGCCATAGTCAGAAGAGGGGCTTTATTCAACTTTTCAGAAAATCTTTCATCATATTTAGTTCAAAACTGCATTCCTGCCATGTGTAGCCACATGATTTGCTTTGGTTGACAGAACGTGAGCAGAATGGGTACATATCATTTTTGGGTAGAAGCTTTAAGAGCAAGTGCATGCTTTACCACATTCTCTTTTCCCTCTGTTACAGCAACTTGCAGTGTTCTACACGGTGACTGCCCCTTCAGCATTGAGTCCAGTGATGACAAGGAATAGAACCTCAGCTGATCCTTGGTGGGCATGGAACATAAATAAGAAATAAAGCCTTGTTATTTGAAGGCAGTGACATTTGAGGGATGTTTGTTATTACAGCATAACCTGTCCTCTCCTGATTAATACACTGGAGTAACTAAAGCTAATCACTCTTTTGAGCCTTTAACTAAAAACTCACTGTAAATATGTATCACTGTAAAAACTCCAAGAGATGGTAGGGTATGCAGTATTTTCCAAACTAATTTGACCACAAAAACCATTTGGAAGAGAATTTTGTGGGACATTGATATGGTTTAGCTGTGTCCCCACCCAAATCTCATCTTGAATTGTAGCTCCCAAAATTCCCACATGTTGTGGAAGGGACCCAGTGGGAGGTATTGTAATCATGGGGGTGGGTTTTTCCCAAACTGTTCTTGTGATAGTGAATACGTCTTACGTGATCTGATGGTTTGATAAAGGGGAGTTCCCCTGTACATGCCCTCTCTTGCCTGCCACCATGTAAGATGTGACTTTGCTCTCCCTTTGCCTTCTGCCATGATTGATTGTGAGGCCTCCTCAGCCATATGAAACTGTGAGTCAATTAAACCTCTTTCCTTCATAAATTACCCAGTCTCGGGAATGTCTATTAGCAGCGTGAGAAGGGACTAATACAGACACTCAAGGAAAAGCTAATATTGAGTCTGAGTGCAGCTTTGTATCCAATCTGAAGAGGGCTGGCTGCCTCCAAAGGGACTTCCAGAGGGGACTTCCTATAATCAGACCCCTTGACCCTTTGTTCTATGCAGCAGTGATGCTCTGATCTTGCCTTGGGATTTCTTAACTTGATCGAGCATTCTCTTCATGCTCTCATTCAGCTAATCCCCAAATGCCTTCTCCAGTCAAGTCCTCTCTCTCCCTGCCAGTTCCTGACTGGTGCCTCCACGTCCCAGCTTCACCACACTCCCTGCCTTAATTGAAATTTTCTCCTGGAAACTGCATATCTCTCTCTTTCTCTCTCTCTCTCCCTGCACCACTCCCTTTGCCCCGATGAAGGACACTTTTAACAAAGCCCTTGTCACGGGGGCTTTCTGTAGGCAATTCATTAGTGACAGTCTTTGGCTACCTCCAACCATCATCTTGCAGCTTATAGTCACAGCCTCCTAGCTGATACCCGTTGTTTCAACCTGCATGCCTGGGATTCCTGAGATCCCTCCCTGTCTCAAGTCAGGTGCAGAAGAGATATACATGCCGTCTACATCTTCAGCCAAAATATTAAAGCAGAAGAGACCCCAGTGGTGAGCACTTTAGCTTCACACTAGTGACTTCCCTGGGGGGTTGATATTTCTTGATTAGGCAACATTCTTAAGCTGTCTTATAGGATAGCAAGGGTTTGTCCTAGTATGGAATTTTTCATCAGAAATATTTATATTGTGCTTCTTTAAATAGGTTAAATTGAAGATATGTTCATTTAACTGTACATAATAAGAAGAATTTTAGATTTATTTTTATAGATTTTGATTGAAACCATCACTTAGAGATTTTTAAAAAAATACACAGAGCATGGAATCCTAATGTTTCAGCCTTTCAAAAACTTGCTTTAAAATTTATTGTCTATCCCAATTGAATAAATAAATACCAACTGGTTAAAATATTGGAATCATTTAATTTTCCTTTATGATTTATAACATTCCCCCTCAAGGGAAAAATAACCAAAGAAATTGAGACATTAATGGTGAGCTGACAAGCCATTCAAAACATGCTGATTGAACACATGAGTAAAGAAATGAGATCTTCAAGAAAATATGTAAAGTGAGATTTGAATGAATTCTCAGCTTAAAGTGCTAACAGCTTAAAGGAAGTGGGACAAAATATCATTTTGAGATCTGATAATGAGGGATTACAGTTAGGACCAAACACAATGGCAGGTACATTGTTGTGGAATTCAGTAGGGAAGAAGTAAAATGGCTATCATATGGGATTGCTGAAAAGCAAGAAGGAAAGGAGGAGAGGTAAATAGTGGTTCCTAAATATTTGTTTCCTAAGGAAATGCACAAGGAAGATAAAGACAGACTGACAGACTATTAATACATTCAGTAAATACTGGAAAGGTAGTTCCTGATTGCTTGCTATTGCCAATCGTATTTAACAGGGCTTTATAATGTGATCTCAGTAAGGTCATTTCTGGCTGAGTTGGAAAATGCTAATGCCTGTCAGAATGCTGAAAGATGAGTAAGGATTTGCTGGCCTGTTGGGAGAGATTGTGACTGAATCTGATGCTGCAAAGAATATTTAACTCCATAGGGAAAGTCAGATGAGACAGAGAGAATTCTGCAAGCAAAAGGCATCAAAAGATTGTTCTGTATTTTAATTCCTCCACAGCACTCAAGTGTCAATAATGTGGCCCTGTCACTTGTCTCATTTGCTGAGATGATTTTAGATGGATTGGGAGAAAAGCTAGGGATTATGGAAATACCAAATTCTTAAATAAGAAGCTGTATTCCTGTTAGATTACATTAAATTCCAACCAGAAATTTCTCAATCTTTAGTTTGTAGGGTTTTTTTTCCTTTTCAACCTTTTTTTTTCGGGGGTGGGGGTGCGTTCAAGGGATACATGTGCAGGTTTGTTACATGGGTAAATTGTATGTTGCTGGGGTTTGGTGTACAAATGATTTCATCACCCAGGTAGTGAGAACAGTACCTAATAGAGCACTATCAACCTTCGTCCTCCTCCCATCCTCCACCCTCAAGGAGGCCTCAGTATTCGTTGTTCCCTTCTTTCTGTACTCAATGTTTAGCTACCACTTACAAGTGAGAACATGCAGTATTTGGTTTTCTGTTTGTGCATTAATTTGCTTAGGATAACAGCCTCCAGGTGCATCCATGTTTCTGCAAAAGACATGATTCATTCTTTTTTATGGCTATGTAGTATTCTATGGTGCATATGTACCACATTTTCTTTATCGAGTACACTCTTGATGGGCATCTAGGTTGATTCCATGTCTTTGCCATTGTAAATAGTGCTGCAATTAACATAGAAGTGTATGTGTCTTTTGGTAGAATGATTTCTATTTCTTTGTATAAGTAATGGAATTGCTGGATCAAATGGCAGTTCTGTTTTAAGTTATTTGAGAAATCTCCAGACTGCTTTCCACAGTGGCTGAACTAATTTACATTCCCACCAGCAGTGTATAAGCATTCCCTTTTCTCCGCAACCTCACCAACATCTGCTATTTTCTGATTTTTTAATAATAGCCATTCCGACTAGTGTGAGATGGTATCTCATTATGGTTTTGATTTGCACTTCTCTAATAATAGTGATGTTGAGCATTTTCTCATAAGCTTGTTGGCCACAGGTTTATCCTCTTTTGTGAAGTGTTTGTTTGTGTCCTTTGCCCATTTTAATGGGGTTGTTTGTTTTTTGCTTGTTGATTTGTTTAAATTCCTTATAGACTCTAGATATTAGACCTTTGTCAGAAGCATACTTTGCAAATATTCTCTCCCATTCTGTAGGTTGTCTGTTTACTGTGTTGATAGTTTATTTTGCTGTGCAGAATGCTTGGTTTAATTAGGTCCCACTTGTCTATTTTTGTTTTTGTTGCAATTGCTTTTGGAGACTTCATCATGAAATCTTTGCCAAGGCTTATGTCCAGAATGGCATTTCCTAGGTTTTCTTCTAGGGTTTTTATAGTTTTAAGACTTATATTTAAGTCTTTAATCCATCTAGGATTGATTTTTATATATTCAGTCTTTTGGTTTTGATCAGGAATTAACAAACTTTTTCTGTAAAAGGCTAGTGTGCTAGGCAGGATAATGCTCCCCAAAGACGTTGATATCCTGATCCCCAGAACCTGTGAATAGGATACCTTCCATGGAAAAAAGGATGTCAAGGATGTGATTAAGTTAAGGATCCTGAGGTGGGATTGTATCCTGGATTATCTAGGTGGGTCCACTGAATGAAACAGTGCATTCATAACAGCACTGTTTGTAGTTGCCCCAAATTGTAAACAACTCACTGATCCATCAAGAATAGAAGGGATAGATTGTAGCATATTCATACAATAGACAAAATAAAAATGAGTGAACTACAGCTACATGCATCAACATGGATACATCTCATCAACAAAATTTGAATAAAACAAGTCAAACACAAAGAGTACAGACAATAATATAATTATGTTTATAAGGAGTTCAAAACCAGGCAAAGCTAAACTAAAGTGTTTAAGGTTACATACACAGAAAATCAAAGTACGAAGAACACAAGGAACAGTATACTATTCAAATTAGGAGAGTTACTTCTCTGGGGGAATGAAGGGGGCACACCAAGGGCTCTCTGGAGTACTGGAAATGCTCTGTTTCTTCACCTGAGCTATGGTTCTTGTGTGTTCATTTCACGGTAATTTATTAAGCTGTGCATTCTTGTGTTGTGTTTCACAATTTAAAAGATTTAAAATAGGCTGGGCATGGTGGCTTACACCTGTAATCCCAGCACTTTGGGAGGCCGAGGCAGGTGGATTGCCTGAACTCAGGAGTTCGAGACCCGCCTGGGCAACACGGTGAAACCCCGTCTCTACCAAAATACAAAAAATTAGCCATGCCTGGCAGCATGCGCCTGTAATCCCAGCTACTCAGGAGGCTGAGACAGGAGAATCGCTTGAACCCTGGAGGCGGAGGCTGCAGTGAGCCGAGATGGCGCCATTGCAGTCCAGCCTGGGTGACAGCCCGAGACTCTGTCTCAAAAAAAAATTTAAAAAAGGTTTAAAATAAAAAGATTAAGGTGTATTCAGTAGAAAGTTCAGCTAGTGCTACCTGGAATTGTCCCATTAGAGAAGATGGTTAAAGCAAGCAGATATGTTACACAGTTTTGAGTGTTGAGCACTTTAAGTACTAATGTTAGGTTTCAAAGTATATTCACTTCCCACTGTACTGTGGGGACACAGGCACTGTCATACATTGCTGGGGGGTGGGGATGGTAAGGGGAGTACACAATGGTACAACTCTGATGGAAAGTAAGTTTATAATGTCTGACAAAATTTCAATACAGGCCAGGTGTGGTGGCTCACACCTGTAATCCCAGCACTTTGAGAGGCCAAGGTGGGAGGATCACTTTAGCTCATGAGTTTGAGACCAGCCTGGGCAACATAGTGAGACTCCGTCTCTACAAAAAAAAAATATATAGATATAGATATAGATATAGATATAGATATAGATATTGATATAGATATAGATATATTAGCCAGGCATGGAGGCACGCGACTGTGGTCTCAGCGATTCGGGAGGCTGAGGTGAGAGGATTGCTTGAGCCCAGGAGTTCGAGGCTGCAGTGAGCTGTGATTATGCCACTGCACTCCAGCCTGGGCAACAGAGCAAGATCCTGTCTCAAAAAAAAAAAAAAAGGTTTTCATATATTTCCCCATTGGCCAAATAGTCTCACTTCTGCAAATTATTTTATGGATACACTTGCACAAACATAAAATGACATATCACAAGTCACTGCAGTATTCTTTATAATAGCAAAAAGATTAGGAACAACCCCATGTCAATCAATAGGGAACTGGTTAAATAAACTATGAGACAGCCATCCAGGAATACTATGGAGATGTAAAAAATAATGAGTAGCACCTTCCAGTGCAGACCAGGTTCTATCTCCAGACTATATGTCTCATTGAAAAAATTAAGATACAGAAGCACACGGTTACTATCCTTTGTGTAAGAAAGAGGAATATAGGAACATATTTTCATACTTGCTTCCATTGTATAAAAGGATATACAAGAAATTATAAAAATTGTTACCCCTACAGGACAGAGGAGTAGGTAACAGAAGGATAGAGGAAGGAATGGGAGTGAGATTTCTCATCATATAACATTTTCAGCTGTTCTGATTTTTGACACATGAATGTATTATCTATTCAAAAAATAAAATTAAATGCTAAAGGACAAAACAAAAGAAAAACATATTTTCCACCAACAAGAGCCCAAGATTAGTTTCAATTAATGTCATTTGAAAGAAAACCCAGAAAAGATTTTTTAGGTTGTTCTAATGGATTGCTAAATAAATGTTTTTGTGTTGATTTAAGTTTTCTTATTTTTTCCATGTTTGTGGACAACTTAGAATCAGAGAGCTTAGGACAGAAGAAGGGGGACAAATGGTACCTAAAATAGAGGTGAGAATAGAAGACTAACTGAAAAAAGTTTGTTTTGTGTCTATATTTGGTGCCAGTTTGTTGAGAAAACCCTATCTAACTTGATGTTATTCAAGCATGCCCAACAGCTTTTAGAAAATTTTTTTCTTCCTAAGAGATGTGCTTAAAGTATTTGTATAAGTGGCTCCCAAAGAACTCAGAGTCCATATGAGATGAGTCATCAAAACAAGGAAATAAAAATAAAACATGTGAACATAAAGAATAAATAAATGTATAACAAACAAAAGACATCCTTGTCTGCCATGCACAGTAATTGCAAATTCGCAGCATCTTCTAGGCTGTAATCATTATTGCAGTCTATTTTCTAATACAGTCTGGATCCATTTCATTGAAAAGTTTGTAAAAATTCGCTTAAAATCAGAAGAGTGTTCCCGTACCTTGACCCCCTTTCTTTATTGCCTCCTAAAGAATATAAAGGAAATAAAAGTTTCTCAGTGCCCACTTGAATCCTGTTGCTTGAAATTCTTGAATTACATACTTTTTAAAAAGACATATTTACTTTGCAAGCTGGGATTTTGCCATTCTCTCCACACTCCCCACTTCATTAACCCACAAGTTTCAAGAGTTAAAAAGCAGAGTGTGTTTAAGAACAAGAGAGAAAACACAGGCATAAAAAGGTTTAGAGGCCTATGATTATAGAGTTCCCCTTCCTTTACTTTTAAATGGTTTCTATTGCCTTTCAATATCAGACCTATTAACACTGATTTTATTACTAGAAAATCCATTATTAACCTTTAATCCACTGAAAGGAGAATTTCTCTTTAAAATTAAGAAAAGAACTATCATCTTTAAACCACACAGATTAAATTTCCTCTAAATGAATGATAAAGGCTATTCCTAGTTATGTTAATGTGCCCATCCATTTCCCTTTTTTGATTTTTGGTAAGGTTTAAGTTATTGATCCTACTAGTTTAAATTATAAAGAGTTTTTTGTAGTTGATGTTTTTGGATTTTGTTGTTTTATAAAGGATGAGGCCACCAGGGCTTCTTGACTTGTAGGCAGAGCAGTCTACTCAGGTTGGGGGCTTCCTATACTTTTCTTCATATACCTTTCCTATTGGTATGCGGTACAATGGATTTTCCTCTCTCAAAATGACAAACCTTCCTCTTGGCAGGCAATTTTTGTTCCCATGAGTTTAATTATAGACCAAGACAAAATGACCACCACACTTGGCCTGAACTGGACTGATTTCAATGTCAGTGGGATTAAAATTTGCAGAAGACCCCTGTTGTCAAAAGCAGTTTGATTTTATTGTTATATTTCATTTGACCTATTTCAGTGATAAGCATCTTAGGTGGGCTCAGGTCGTGGGAAATCCTAAACATCCGTCACAAGAAAGCTGTATTCTAGTCTTTGTAAAGGAATTTACTAAGCTGCTCTCTCAAGTTGGTCTAATTTACCTAACACCATGTCTGGATCCCTCCTATTTCCCTTGCCCTTAAGCTCCTCATCTTGTAATGACCAACTCAAAAAATTCCTTTATAACGTGCTTTGGCCTACTTAGAAGGTAATTCCTGTTATGGACTAAATTGTGTCCTCACCTCCCAAATTCGTACATTGAAGTCCCTACGCTTTGTACCTCAAAATGTGACTGCATTTGGAGATAGGGCCTTTAAAAAGGTGATTAAGTTGAAATGAGATCAATAGATGGGCCCCAAACTAATATGACCAGTGTCATAAGAAGACGCCATTAGGACACAGACCCACACAGACCAGGGACAACCATGTAAGGACACAGCAAGATGGCAGCCATCTGCAAGCCAAGGAGAGAGGCCTCAGGGGAAACCAAACCTACCAACCCATTGATCTTGGACTTCAAGCCTTCAGAACAGTGAGGAAACGAATGTCTGTTGTTTAAGCCACCCAGTCTGTGGCACTTTGTTATAGCAGCCCAAGCCGACTAATGCAATTCCTTTGAGTCATTCTCTCCATGACAGTACTCCATCCCCTTTCTGCTTCCAGCAGATGGCTTTCATGCTTTCAATTCTTCACTCCTCCGTGTACCCATGCCCTTTGCCATCCATATGACTTTGTGGCTCCACTAGAGGTAAAGTACTTGTTCCCACTCCATTGATGTTGGGCTTGGGCATGTGATCTTTTTTGCCAATAAAATGTGGGCAGAAGGGCCAGTGTGCCAGTTCTGAGCCTAAGTCTTAAGGAACATCACATGTTTCTGCTTACTCCCTTACTCTTTCATCAAAAATGGAAAAGCATGCCCCAAGTACCCCACTGATCCAAAGATGGTGAGAGACATGTGGACCAATATTAGAACCAAACTATATCAACGACCCAAGCCCAGCTGGATGTGCAGTCTAAAGCAGTAATTGTCCAGCTGAGCTTGAGCTAGACCAGCTGAACCTCACTCAACTTACACCTTTGTGAGTATGACAAAAAACGCTTATTGCCATCAACTGAGTGCTGGGGTGGTATGTTATACCGCGTAAGAGAATACATAAGAGGGTATTATTGTAGTGATAGCTCATTGATACAAACTCCAAAGTCTTAACACAGGAAAATCCTGCTTTAAGAAAATCTGATAGCACAAAAGTCCAGATCTAAAAACAATACACACATACACACCAAGGAAGATTATTCATATGGCATGAGAACCCTTCAACTACCAAATGCTATTTGCCCATTTACAATAATATTTGATTTTCATATGACGTGGTATTGTTTTGGGTGGGGTTTTTTTGAGGTTTTTATTGAGATAGACGCACATGTGGTAACAGACATTTTTTTGTTTTGCTTTAGACTCACAAGGGTAAGGGTCATTCTGGAGTCAAGCGATCTAACAAAAACAAATGTAGGGAAGAAGTAGGTCAGGAATTGTCATGGTAAACTGACTTCCAAGATAAGTGATGGCGGTAATCTAAACTAGAATGTGGGTGAAGTGGACGGCCCATCCCCTGCTCTGTCACTGTTCTGTCTAAGTGGCTTTGAGAAAGCTCTCCTCTCTCTCTGGGACATAGATGCCTCACACCAGTGGTTGACATCCTTCCCCTTGCATCTCATCTCTCTGAGTTGATGGTGCACGTTGAGGGAGGCCTCGTGGCTTGCACCTCCTGCAGACGCCGCTTTAGTTCTCCCGGTGTGGGCGGCCTGCAGTAAGTAGTTGTTAAACTCACTGCTATCTCCCCTCCCACTTGGGCTTGGTCTCTTACTTCGAAGGAGCTGGAACAGCCACATCTCCTACAAGTATCATGACTGTCAAACACACCTTCCTTTTCGGTGTGGAGGGAGGATGTGGGCAGAGTGGGGTTGGGGTTGGAGTCATGTGACTGTCACTTGAGGCCACCAGGGTTTGCCCAAATCCATGGAGAGCCCTGTACAAGCCACGTGAGAAGCCAGGCTGCATGAGACAGAGTAGGGTCCATGAAGGTCACCAAGGAAGGACCAAAACATGATTATAGCCCCAGTAGAGAGTTGGAGTCAGGGGCATGAAATAATAAAGCAGGGGATGTCAGAGAAGTGAAAAAATACAACCAGATTTGTTTTGGGCAGTGAATTATCTTGTTGGATGGGACACCTGTGCCAACTGTGGCATGAGTGTGGGTGAAACACTGGCACATCACAGACCAGGGGTAGGAGAGTTCAGAGATGACCCCACACAATCCAGCCTTTGCATGCAGAACATGGGGCTCAGAGACATTTGCATAGAAGAATTGGACGCACACGCACATGCACACGCACATCCCCCTTTGTACATGCCAAATCCTCTTCCCTTTCCAGGTGTGAGACTGAAGGCTCACCTTTTCCTCTCTTAGAAGTTCATTCACAAATGAGCCAGATTCATCCCTGAGTAAGAAAGGAAAAATGGGCAAAATTGCCCTGGACTAATAGGGATTAACAATTAGAACACTGCCCAAAACAGATCCTAAAAAGTAACTGCACAGACACTCCAAGGCCAGAGTGTCATTGTTAAAGAGGACAATGGAGTGGCCCATAAATATCCTTGATCGCCCAAATCCATGGGCCCCTTGTGCCTGGCACTGTGGTGAGTGCGAGATCTAGCTCTGCAGTGGTTGCTTGGGAGAAGAGCTAGTGAGGGCTTTCTCAGCCATCCAACCCATAGGCTTTTGATGGGGATTAGTTTCCCCAGAGACAGAATCTGTCTGACCCAGCTCACATGCATTTCATGAACAAATGAGAGTGTGGTAGTCAGTTTCACAAATGGTCTGTGCCACAACCCACATCACATGCTTCTACCACCCTCAGCATGTCCATGGCCTGTTAGGTCTGCTCCGATTCATGCACTGCAAATCTCAGCAATGTAACTGGCGAGGGTTCTGTTACTATAATTTCAAGGGATTAAAAGAGTTGCTAGGTCATTCATTTATTTTAATAAACATTTCTTTGAGACAGGGTCTCACTCTGCTACCCAGGCTACAGTGCAGTGGCACGATCATGGCTCACTGCAGCCTCGACTTCCTGGGCTCCAGTGATCCTCTCACCTCAGCCCACAAAGTGTCTGGGACTACAGGTATGTGCCACTGTGCTCAGCTAATTTTTGTATTTTTTGTGGAGACAGAGTCTCACTGTGTTGCCCAGGCTGGTCTCAAACTACTGGGCTCAAGTGATCCTCCCACCTCAGTCTCCCAAAATGCTAGGATTACAGGCATGAGCCACCATGCCCAGCAATAAATATTTTTTAAAAAATAATTTATAGTGAAATGTGAGAAGAAAGAAACAATTTAAAGACAAAATGTATAATCAAAAGGGAAGCAGAATGTAAACCTTTGGAAAATTATCCTGGCCATGTAAAGAATAAAAAACGTGTTTGGGCCAAGGATGTGGCCCAAGTGAAAAAAAAATAATTTTAGATTTGCAAAAAATTTGCCAAGATAGTACAGAGAATTCTCTGAGAACCCACATCCAGTTTCCCCTACTACTACTACTAACTTCTTACACTACTGTATTTGTCACAACTAATGAAGCAATATCGACACATTATTATTAAAGTCCACACTTTATTTAGATTTCTTTAGTTTTCATCTACATCCCTCTTGGTGTTCCAGGATTCCATCCAGGATGCAACATTACATGGACATCATGTCTCCTTAGGCTCCTTAGCCTGGCAAGTTCTCAGGCTTTCCACTTTCTAAAATAACCTTGACAGTTTGTAGGATTACTGGTCAGGTATCTTACAGAACATTCCTTAGTTTGGGTTTCTGTGATGTTGTTCTTGTAGTTAGACAAGAATTCATGGGTTAGAGAGTAAGAATATAGAGGAAAAGTTTTCTTCTATTCTTCTTACCACCTTTCAGGATTCTTTGGTTGCTTCCCATTACACGGTTTATAGTTGTACCTATCAGGGAAGAGCAGGGAGAAATGGGCCTATATCATCTTGTCTGGACCAGAAGTACACCTTGTTCTGTAGGACTATATATGTTACATAAATTGATAATCCCCATTGTTAAGAAATCTGGTTTTGCTTGAACCGTGGGGATTCGTACCATGCAGGAGGAACGGTGGGTACTCCAATAGCTAGAGGTGTCATGTTGAAATCAGCAATTTTGCCAATTTTTTTCAAGCCCCTCAGTAGGCTAGTTACTGCCTCTTAGTTCTAGGCATAGATGATTGGATGGATGGAAAAATCAACTTAAATGTCATAGGGAAAATGTCACTAATTCAATAAGTCATTCTATTATGAAAACATATGCACGTGTATGTTCATTGCAGCAATATTCACAATAGCAAAGACATGGAATCAACCTAAATGTCCATAAATGGTAGACTGGATAAAGAAAATGTGGTACATATACACTACAGATTAGTATGCACAGCCATAAAAAGGAGCAAGATCATGTTCTTTGCAGGGACATGCATAGAGCTGGAGGCCAATTAACCTTAGCAAACTAACGAGGGAACAGAAAACCAAGTACCGCATGTTTTCACTTATAAGTGGGAGCTGAATGATGAGAACACATGCACACATGGAGAGGAACAACACACATTGGGTCCTGCTGGACAGTGAGGGAGTAGGGGGAAGGAGAACATCAGGAAGAATAGCTAATGGATGCTGGGCTTAATACCTAGGTGATGGGTTGATCTGTGCAGCAAACCACCATAGCATGTTTACCTATGTAACAAACCTGCACATCCTGCACATGTACCCCTGAACTTAAAATAAAAGTTGGAAATTTTAAAAAGTGTCACTAATTCAAATAATCATTTCTGAGAATGAAAGAAGAGTCAAAACTCCACGATCACAACATTCACTTTATTTTGTGCTATGACCCTAGTAGAATGTATCAAGAGTCATTTTTATTTAAGTAGCTCAAGTAATATTCTCTCGAAAGTGGGTTTTAATGCAACATAAACATCCTCTGCTTTTAAGAGGTTCTCTTAAATTCCCAGCAAGCTTTGGAAAATACTCCGTCTAGAAACAACCACGCTTATGTGATATTTGCTGCATTTTGTTTCTCCCTCTTTCCTCACTGTTAAATGGCAAGGAAACAAGCTGGAATGCTTTAATCTCAATATCTTTAACATGCTAGGTAACATTTCTATATGGAGCAATCTGTAGCCACCTCCCATCTCATGAGCATCACTGCATACCTAGGTGTGGTGGGCATAGATGTCCACTGCCCAGATCTCTCTTCAAGAAGACCTCATCCTAGAAATGTGTTTCACTGACAGCCTTGAACTGCTGCACCTTTGAATTCGCCACAGTATTCAAACAAAGGCCATGCTTCCCCTGGGCTGCTAGCAGCTTAGACAGAGCATGGCAGGGATACTGTAATAGCGCTATTTTAGCCCAGTGGAGGATTCCTCTACTGGGCAATACTTGCCCAAGGACCTCCCATCAACCTGCCTGAGATTTTCTCAGGATTGTGCTGCGGTCTGAAGGTCTTCCTACCCAATCCTCCATCTTTCCCTCTCTCCTTTGAAGGGTGTCAGACCGGCATTTTGGCCTAAAGTATATTCCCACTGTCCCATCTCCCTTTATCCTTCAAAGGAATTTCTCCTGATGAATCCCTTGTACATCTAATCCTATCCTAGTACACACTTCTCAGAAGATCCAGCCTGACATATTGAAGTTGAAGAATTTGCAGCTCAAGAAAAGATAAAATTCTCATGGGTGGGTGAAGCAATTAGAAGGAAACTCTATGGTTGGATATTTGGAGTTGGTTTCTCTTGAAATAAATTGCTCTCTGCTCACAGATTAAAACTTTTGTTTTTCTAACTCTTTATTGAGTTAAAACAAATGTGCAGAAAAATGCATGTCATGAGTGTACAATTCAATGGACATTTACAAACTGAACACACGCACATAACTAGCACTCAGATGAAAAAGCAGAACATGACAAGCACCCCTAAAATCTTCCTTGTGTTTCCTCTCAACTACTACACCCCAAAGATAATTATAATGCCTGACTTGTAACACGTAGATTAATTTTACCGCCTTTGGATCTCTCTATTAATGCAATCACATAATATGCATCTTTGTGTCCAGCTTTTTCACTTAACATTATGCTCATGAGATTTATCCATGTTTTCCATGCAGTAATAGTTTATTCATTCTTATGGCCATAGCTCAAAATCTGTCTTAACTCTAAGTCTTGTGAATGTGTCTTCAAGAACTAGATTGGAAATGCCCAGCTGGAGTGTTTTATCATGCTAAATTTTCACTTGACTTTCCATGATTCAGTGAAGACAGTTTCTGTCTCTTCTCTTGAAACACTATTTCACAAGTCCTGACATGTAGAAAATGTTCCTGAGAGTCTGAGTTTTCTTTCCCAAGAATCCTTTTTAGGTTATCTAATTACTCTCCCTGGGACCATTATATTCTTCCAATGATGGAGGACTATTGTTCCCTTTTAGTCATCCTTTGGCTGTAGTGCTTTTCTTTTTACGTTTGTAGAACAACTTCTAAATGTCTTCCCATCTTCTGCCATCATTTGGAAATTCAGGTCCAAACCCATCAGCAAAACTCCAGGGACCATGTATTCTCTTCCCTGGTATTCCCAGGTTAGATCCAGCATTGTCTTATTGAGAACACAAGGCCACCTTTGAGAACAGGATGCTAAGAGAGGAGAAAATCAACTGATCCTTAATGACTGTCTTGGAACTTGAAAACATCTATAGCCACTCTTCAGATCTTTATCAACCACCCCCCCACCACACACCACCCCAGCCAGTTTTCCTACAATTCTTCATATGGGCCAGAGAACAACTGTGCTTTGAATCACTTTTCTTCCATATCTAAAGATGCAATGGCTCCCAGGCAGTTTTTTAAAGGGAATTTTGTTCTGAGCTTTTTCTGGCCACTTTGAATTATTTCTTCAGTTCCATTATTTTTTATCACAACCTTCAATTTGGGCTCAGAACATCAGCCTTTGAGAATTGTTGCCATAACTGAGGATCTACTCCATACAGCATGGTTTATAAACCTTCTCTATAATCTACAAACCTTCAATATATGTATCATGGTTTTGTTTATGGAGACAGGGAAACCAAGGCACAGAGATGTTAAATGCCCTGCCTAAAGTCACACAGCTACCAAATGGCAGACCTGGGGTTCACACTTAAGTCTTTGGCTGCTAAATTCATTCTTGTTTCACTATCCCATTGTACTGTTCTTCCCTCAGGCTCAGTCATCTACCAGTTTCTTCATTTCTCCATCTGCTC
This sequence comes from Homo sapiens, assembly GCF_000001405.40. NCBI lineage: Eukaryota > Metazoa > Chordata > Mammalia > Primates > Hominidae > Homo > Homo sapiens. The sequence goes on from NC_000023.11 coordinate 18,064,502, forward strand.
CCCACATTGCTAACACTTATGTGTGCAAGCATGCACAGGCACACCCCGACACACTGTGCCTCATTCTTTTTTGATACAGTTACTTCCCTCCTCCACTCTTCATGCCCTGAGGTCAAAATTATCTAAGAGGATACCCAGCGTCCCAAAGCATTATGGCCCAGTAAATAAGAACCTAGACTCAGAAATCAGACCATTTGTGGATGAATCCTGATTCCCCCCTTACTAGATGTAAATATCTTAGGCAAGTTACATTATCTCTCTAAGCTTCCATTTTCTCATCTTTAAAGTGGGGATAATAACAGTACCTTTCCCATAGGGCTATTGTGAGGGTTAAATAAGATTATGTAAGTAAACCTCTTAGCACTGTGCACATAGTCAATGATAAACATTTTTCTTCTTATTACTCTGTATCCCATAAAATCAGGAAATAATGATTGGTTAATAGCGGTCAATGTGTGGTTCCCAAACCTGGATTTTGGTCTGAGCCATCTGCTAGGTTTTTTGGGAAAGACTTTTTCCTTGGCCCTTCCCTTAGAAGTTCTGATTCCATAAGATTAGGTTAGAGCCCTAAAATCTGCATTTTAAAAGCTTTTCCATCTGACTCAGATGTTCAGGCAGACTTGGAAACCTCTGTCATAGAGCAGAAGTCCTCAAAGGCAATTATTTCAGAAAGTAAAATTGAGTCATCGCAGAGCAATACCTGGTATCCCAAAATCTCTCCTCTTAGGCTGTATGTCCTCCCTGATGCAGAATAATATCCTGCCCATAAACACAGGACACACACACCACACTCACACACCACAACCTGGATTGAGCCATGGCTAGGGCTGGATTCCAGGAAAAGAAGACCACTATCTCATTGGCGGGCATTCGAGAGGCCCCAGGAAAGTCCTGTATGGTGGTTTTGGGGATGGGAGATCACACCAGAAGGCTGATCACAACCAGCAGCTATCAAGTTATTTCTGAACCTCCATATGACCAAAGACATGCCTAACATACCTGTTTCTCCATCTGTAAGACAGCTCTCAAAACTGGCCCCACCTCTGTAATCAATAGACCGTTAGCAAGGTGAAAATTGGAGGAGAAAGCGTTGAAATTATGGGATTCCAAGGAATTGTCATTTCCACAAATGAACAATAAAATGTCATGTCTTTTCCCCACAAGAAGACTCTGCTCTCCTCGCTTCTCGGTGATGACTCTTCACCTTCCAATGTGTACACAGTCAATTTCCATCTTCATACTTGGTGGGGGCAGGGGGATCCAAGCCCATGAATTGCAGTTTTATTAGGTTGTTGCAAAAGTAATTGCAGTTTTTTCCATTAAAAGTAATGGCAAAACAAACAAACAAACAAAAAACACCGCAATTACTTTTGCACCCATCCAGAAACCTAGGGGAAGTCTGTGAGTTCTGAGGTGATATAAGGAGGAAAGGGCTGTGGGGCCTCCACATTTTCTCAGGAGTAACCCCAAACACTCACTCATTTGAGAGCAAAGGTACTTAGGAAATGTGGGAGTTAACTTTCATTCAAAAACGGCTCCGTTCATTTCAATCAACCTGAAGGGTGAACCAAAGCTTGGAAAAAATAGCTGTTCCATCCCAGCTGATCCGCCAGCCCCAGGTGTTTTGACTCGGATTGCAGCTGGGATTTGTTTTCCTGTGAAGAGGCTGTAGCAACTGCTTTTATCATCTACTCTAAGTACAAATAACAGCAGGAAATCAGGCAGCGCAAGCAAAATTAAGCTCTGTGACAAATGATTTGGTTTCTTTTCGTTAACAATCATGATTTGACCTGAACTGCCTCAATTAAGGGACTGGGGGGAGGTGCCCTTGGTTTATTCTATTATATGCAAGAGAGAGAAAGAGAGACGAAGTGAGACAAAGAAGTAGAGTTGAGAGAGAGAGAGAGAGATGAAACAGAAAATATGACAGGATGTTAATTCAGTGTGGCATATGTAAGTATGATTTAAACTAAGTAGATGGGGTACTGCGTGATTTTAGTCTTTCCACCCCCCATTCCTCACTCTAATATTCCAAGAAAGATCACAAACAGTGTATTTATGAGAGCTCATTATGCCAATGTGTCCATTTGATGAATGGTGTCACTGATTAATGAGGACTTGAAACAACTGGATTCTGACTCAAAAGAAGTACGCAGCTTTTAAGAACAAAAAAGATCAAATAATGGGCAATCCTCCTGCCTTAAATTCTCTATTCCATGTTTCAGCCTTTAAAAAATGTGTCTTTTTACATCATTGGTATGTCCCTGCTCACAGACACATTGCTTACAAGTAATAAAGCTTGTGAAACCAAGGTGGAGGGGCTCTTCTCAATTTTACCCTTTTAGTCTTGAAACATGAAATATCATTTTCTTAGGCTGCCCACGGGACTGAGATGAGCTGCACAAGTTACAACTTGTAGGAATTAAACACAGAATGTGGAAGAAGATAATTATGTACCCTCATCTCGTTCACCGAGCCACTGAGGCACTTGGTAGGGCAATATTATGCTAGCTAGTGGTTATTTTTTGTTTTGTTTTGTTTTCAGGAAGCTTTTTTTTAACTTTGTATTTTGGAATAAGTTTAGACTTACAGAAAAGTTGTAAAAATTGTAGAGAATTTGTGAATACCTTTCACCCAGCTTTGCCTAACATTAACATCTTGTATAAGCATTAAATCATTATCAAAACCAGAAAATTAAAATTAGTTCAGTACTACCAACTGAACTACGGAACTTATTTGGATTTTAACAGTTTTTCTGCTAATTTCCAAGATCTACTCCTCCTTAGGCACCTTCAATCTGTGACAGCTCCTCTATCTTCCCTTGGCTTTTCTGACCTTGAGACTTTCGAAAAGCACTGGTTAGTTATCTTGCAGAATGTTCCTCAATTTGGGTTTGTCTGGTATTTTCTCATATTAGATCGAGGTTATGGATGTTTGGCGAGAATACCATAGAGGCAATACTATGCCCTTCTCAGGGCATCATATCAGAATATCCATGAGGATGACATGCCTGATTATTTTTTTTCTTTTTTTTTTTAACTATGGGCTAAGTTCTAGGGTACATGTGCACAATGTGCAGGTTTGTTACATATGTATACATGTGCCATGTTTGTGTGCTGCACCCATTAACTCGTCATTTACATTGGGTATATCTGCTAATGCTTTCCCTCCCCCCTCCCCCCACCCCACAACAGGCCCCCCTGTGTGGCATTCCCCTTCCTGTGTCCAAGTGTTCTCATCGTTCAATTCCCACCTATGAGTGAGAATATGCAGTGTTTGGTTTTTTGTTCTTGTGATAGTTTGCTGAGAATGATGGTTTCCAGCTTCATCCATGTCCCTACAAAGGACATGAACTCATCATTTTTTATGGCTGCATAGTATTCCATGGTGTATATGTGCCACATTTTCTTAATCCAGTCTATCATTGTTGGACATTTGGGTTGGTTCCAAGTCTTTGCTATTGTGAATAATGCCACAGCAAACATATGTGTGCATGTGTCTTTATAGCAGCATGATTTATAGTCCTTTGGGTATATACCCAGTAATGGGATGGCTGAGTCAAATGGTATTTCTAGTTCTAGATCCTTGAGGAATCGCCACACTGTCTTCCACAATGGTTGAACTAGTTTACAGTCCCACCAACAGGGTAAAAGTGTTCCTATTTTTCCACATCCTCACCAGCACCTGTTGTTTCCTGACTTTTTAATGATCGCCATTCTAAAACTGGTGTGAGATGGTATCTCATTGTGGTTTTGATTTGCATTTCTCTGATGGCCAGTGATGATGAGCATTTTTTCATGTGTCTGTTGGCTGCATAAATGTCTTCTTTTGAGAAGTGTCTGTTCATATCCTTCGCCCACTTGTTGATGGGGTTGTTTGTTTTTTTCTTGTAAATTTGTTGGAGTTCTTTGTAGATTCTGGATATTAGCCCTTTGTCAGATGAGTAGCTTGCAAAAATTTTCTCCCATTCTGTAGGTTGCCTGTTCACTCTGATGGTAGTTTCTTTTGCTGTGCAGAAGCTCTTTAGTTTAATTAGATCCCATTTGTCAATTTTGGCTTTTGTTGCCATAGCTTTTGGTGTTTTAGACATGAAGCCCTTGCCCATGCCTATGTCCTGAATGGTATTGCCTAGGTTTTCTTCTAGGGTTTTTATGGTTTTAGGTCTAACATTTAAGTCTTTAATCCATCTTGAATTAATTTGTGTATAAGGTGTAAGGAAGGGATCCAGTTTCAGCTTTCTACATATGGCTAGCCAGTTTTCCCAGCACCATTTATTAAATAGGGAATCCTTTCCCCATTGCTTGTTTTTCTCAGGTTTGTCAAAGATCAGATAGTTGTAGATATGTGGCATTATTTCTGAGGGCTCTGTTCTGTTCCATTGGTCTATATCTCTGTTTTGGTACCAGTACCATGCTGTTTTGGTTACTGTAGCCTTGTAGTATAGTTTGAAGTCAGGTAGCGTGATGCCTCCAGCTTTGTTCTTTTGGCATAGGATTGTCTTGGCGATGCGGGCTCTTTTTTGGTTCCATATGAACTTTAAAGTAGTTTTTTCCAATTCTGTGAAGAAAGTCATTGGTAGCTTGATGGGGATGGCATTGAATCTGTAAATTACCTTGGGCAGTATGGCCATTTTCATGATATTGATTCTTCCTGCCTATGAGCATGGAATGTTCTTCCATTTGTTTGTATCCTCTTTTATTTCATTGAGCAGTGGTTTGTAGTTCTCCTTGAAGAGGTCTTTCACATCCCTTGTAGGTTGGATTCCTAGGTATTTTATTCTCTTTGAAGCAATTGTGAATGGGATTTCACTCATGATTTGGCTCTCTGTTTGTCTGTTATTGTTGTATAAGAATGCTTCTGATTTTTGCACATTGATTTTGTATCCTGAGACTTTGCTGAAGTTGCTTATCAGCTTAAGGAGATTTTGGGCTGAGACGATGGGGTTTTCTAAGTATATGATCATGTCATCTGCAAACAGGGACAATTTGACTTCCTCTTTTCCTAATTCAATGCCCTTTATTTCTTTCTCCTGCCTGATTGCCCTGGCCAGAACTTCCAACACTATCTTGACTAGGAGTGGTGAGAGAGGGCATCCCTGTCTTGTGCCAGTTTTCAAAGGGAATGCTTCCAGTTTTTGCCCATTCAGTATGATATTGGCTGTGGGTTTGTCATAGATAGCTCTTATTATTTTGAGATACGCCCCATCAATACCTAATTTATTGAGAGTTTTTAGCATGAAGGGCTGTTGAATTTTGTCAAAGGTCTTTTCTGCATCTATTGAGATAATCATGTGGTTTTTGTCTTTGGTTCTGTTTATATGCTGGATTACATTTATTGATTTGCATATGTTGAACCAGCCTTGCATCCCAGGGATGAAGCCCACTTGATCATGGTGGATAAACTTTTTGATGTGCTGCTGGATTCGGTTTGCCAGTATTTTATTGAGGATTTTTGCATCGATGTTCATCAGGGATATTGGTCTAAAATTCTCTTTTTTTGTTGTGTCTCTGCCCGGCTTTGGCATCAGGATGATGCTGGCCTCATAAAATGAGTTAGGGAGGATTCCCTCTTTTTCTATTGATTGGAATAGTTTCAAAAGGAATGGTACCAGCTCCTCCTTGTATCTCTGGTTGAATTCAGCTGTGAATCCATCTGGTCCTGGACTTTTTTTGGTTGGTAGGCTATTAATTATTGCCTCAATTTCAGAGCCTGTTATTGGTCTATTGAGGGATTCAACTTCTTCCTGGTTTAGTCTTTGGAGAGTGTATGTGTCGAGGAATTTATCCATTTCTTCTAGATTTTCTAGTTTATTTGTGTAGAGGTGTTTATAGTATTCTCTGATGGTAGTTTGTATTTCCATGGGATCAGTGGTGATATTCCCTTTATCATTTTTTATTGCGTCTATTCGATTCTTCTCTCTTTTCTTCTTTATTAGTCTTGCTAGCGGTCTATCAATTTTGTTGATCTTTTCAAAAAACCAGCTCCTGGATTCATTGATTTTTTGAAGGGTTTTTTGTGTCTCTATCTCCTTCAGTTCTTCTCCGATCTTAGTTATTTCTTGCCTTCTGCTAGCTTTTGAATGTGTTTGCTCTTGCTTCTCTAGTTCTTTTAATTGTGATGTTAGGGTGTCAATTTTAGATCTCTCCTCCTTTCTCTTGTGGTCATTTAGTGCTGTAAATTTCCCTGTACACACTGCTTTGAATGTGTCCCAGAGATTCTGGTATGTTGTGTCTTTGTTCTCGTTGGTTTCAAAGAACATCTTTATTTCTGCCTTCATTTCATTATTTACCCAGTAGTCATTCAGGAGCAGGTTGTTCAGTTTCCATGTAGTTGAGCGGTTTTGAGTGAGTTTCTTAATCCTGAGTTCTAGTTTGATTGCACTGTGGTCTGAGAGACAGTTTGTTATAATTTCTGTTCTTTTACATTTGCTGAGGAGTGCTTTACTTCCAACTATGTGGTCAATTTTGGAATAAGTGCGATGTGGTGCTGAGAGGAATGTATATTCTGTTGATTTGGGGTGGAGAGGTCTGTAGATGTCTATTAGGTCCACTTGGTGCAGAGCTGAGTTCAATTCCTGGATATCCTTGTTAACTTTCTGTCTCGTTGATCTGTCTAATGTTGACAGTGGGGTGTTAAAGTCTCCCATTATTATTGTGTGGGAGTCTAAGTCTCTTCGTAGATCTCTAAGGACTTGCTTTATGAATCTGGGTGCTCCTGTATTGGGTGCATATATACTTAGGATAGTTAGCTCTTCTTGTTGAATTGATCCCTTTAGCGTTATGTAATGGAAATGCCTGATTATTAATGATGTTAACTTGGTTCAGGTGTATCTGCAGAGCTGTTCCACAGTAAAGTTACTGTTCTTTCCTTTGTAATTAAAAAATACCTTGAGGGTGATAACCTGCTTCTCCTCAAATATTCACCCACTAACTTTCGCCCCCATCAGTAGACTGTGCCTTGCAGGCAGCTTTTAAAGAACCCCACCAGTAGTTGTCCAAAGAGCCTTTAGAAAGAAGACTCTGGAAGGTCGAACACACTCTGGGAATATCAATTAAACAGTTGTATACAGGAGGCAATTCTCTCACTGAACAAATGCAAGCACCAGGCCTTAAGACAGCAGGAATTTGTGTTGTTCTATTTCCTGGCTTGGGATTGGTTGAAGAAGAAGCCTCTAAACCTTTAGAAAACATGGAGAGGCTTAGCTTTTACTGGAGAAAATATACTCGTTCATTTCTCTCCAAACAAGAAATAAAATAACCCATTAAATTTTCCCATATGACTTTGACCTTATCCACACCCCAAATAACTTCCCAATTGGCTTATGTCCTTTGGTTTGCAGGTGACAACCATCCTCACCTCCATTATCACCGCCACCCCCATGTGAGAAAACCTGAATAGTCTTTTCTGTTATCCTTCTAGGACTTAGAGCAGTTCCAAGTACCTTTTTTTCATTTTTTTAAAGAATTCACCAATGTCATTGATGAACTCACTATCACCTATCCCATGAAGAAGAAATAACTAGCTGCCTTGAATGGCTCTTGGCTTTTTCCAGGCATACTAAAGGAACCTCAGCCCCAGAGATGTCCCTGCAAACTATTTCTTAATTGGGAAACAAATTCCTTTGTTAAAATAAACTTATAGAATTAAATCACTGCCAGAATGAAAACGAAGTTCTGACAAGCCCCTGCCTTTGATTGAAAAATTCTCTTCAAATGGAGAGAACACAATTTTGTTGTGTTCCTAGAGGCAGAAATATAGAAGAATTAGACTGGAGTCTACTTAGACCAAGGTCTTCCTCTTTTCACCTGTCATTGAATATGTTTCTGATTTTGGGGACTATTCTGGGTGGTGGCTGTATCCTATACTGTGCAACCTCACATGCAGAGCTGCCCCTTCCAAAACTCCTTCCTAGATGATCCAAGTCACAAATTTCACTCCTCCAACCCCAGAGGCAAAGGTAGTTCAGCGACAGGAGACTGTTCTAGAATAGCTGAGATACTCTCATTCACCTTCAGACGTAGGACTTCCAGTGAACAGCAGTAAACATTTCAGAGCGGATGCTCACCCAAGGGCACCTCCTACAATATGTACTCTTCTTGCAAAGTAAAGATAATGCTGCTGGCCTTTAAGATGTGCCCCAAGTTGCCTTAGGAATAGTGATAGGGAAAGGCCCTCACCCAGCCTCTCAGCTAGCCCCACTTGTAACTATCAGTGCTCACTTGAGATGTGACTGGCTGGACTGGCCTGAGTAGGACTAACTAACAGCAAAGAACATTGTTTCTGCAGGCCGATTCGGAAAGCAAGGCTTTGACTGCCTACCACCAACCAAGTGAGTTTATTGTCCCAAACCGTTTGTCAAACTCCAACATCAGTACTTTATATGCCCGAAGGGAAGCATTGTGAATTACTATTTCCCTTGTGAGTTGTTTTTGAAAGAACTTGAATCCCCAGAAGGTGTTGACCACCTCAGTTCATTTGTTTTGAAAGTCAGCAGTTGAAGACCGTAGGCACACTGGGGAATGGAGAGTGCAGACTTTGTAGAGGAAAAAGGGAAAGGGGTAGGGGAGGGTAAATCACAATCACTGGCACCTGATCTGTGCCAGTTAATTTCACACATGGAAATGTTGAATCTTCACAGCAACTCTACAAGTTAAATCCAGTACTACCAGTTCATTTCAGAAATGAAAACTGAGATCAAGATAGGTAGAGAAACCTGGAATAAACCAGTTTCCAGCACAGGTTGGTTTAACTCCAAAGCTTATTCCTTTTCGATTGCCACATTCTGCCTTTCTGGAGCCCCTTCCACTTTGCCCACGACTTCAACAGCAGTAGACTGGGAGCAAGTTTGACAAACGTCCTTTCTGTACATGCTGACCCTGTTGGGGGTGTCTTTCTAGACATGGCTTCTAGAACCATGGCTCCAGTTGGAGGACGCACTGTTAGAAGTTACCTCTATCTGCTGTGGGCTCCTCTCTCCCTCTCCTTCATGTGGAAGTACAAATGCATCTCCTGGCTGTATTCACGCATTCTCTGAATAGTAAAATGGATTGTCCAGCAGCCTTTCTGGGCCTTCTGTATGCCTCCTGACAGCTCTAGGTGGAGACGAACTCTCTATGAATTGTTCTGAGAGCTGATATTAAAATCAACACCCAGAGAATTGCCCAGCATTGGCTGGGAACTCCGCAGATCTAAACCACTTAAAACCCCATTGAAAAACTGAGAATTTGTGTTTTTCCTTCTCTCCTTTTTACTCCTAACTTTCCTCCTCTCGAGTGAATAAACAAAATCTTTTATGTTCTCATCAAAACACACATCATTAACTGCTAATCAACTCAAGGCTCAGAAATCCCCAAGCAACCTCTCAGTTTTCAGAAATGCCTACAAGAAATAAAGTACTGTTGATAGAGCCTTGGCTAATGGGACCAGGTTAGTCTCAGGGGGCTCCAGGTGCCAGGGACAGTGCCATAAAGTTAGGTCAACAAGTAAGCCTTCTGTTTGTGGGCCGTGAAAGACAGACAGAGCCCTCTGGTTCTTAGGTGTTAATACCTTTCACTCACCAGGGTCACGAGGGCTGGGAATGCCAAGAAAACAGGGTAAGGAGACCAGAGCCCCCCAGTCAAGGGCAAATGGGGGCCAGCGAGTCTGGGAAATGAGACACAGGTGGTCTGAAAAGGGCAAATGAAGTCCCTGGATTGAGCCAGAGGAAGCTGATTGACTGCCTGACTGCAGATATAGAACAGTTTCAGGTCCAGTTCTGGCCTAGTCAGGACTGGCTTCCCAAAACGGAGCACTGTGCTTTCCTTGCCATTAAAGAAGTCAGCAGACTTGGGGGCTATTATGTAGACAGTAGGAGGCCCTCACTATGGCTCTTTGGGCTGGGGCAGGTGGTGGGCTTATGAAAGAAGGTTCCATGAGATGGGCAAGGAGAATGGAGGGGAGAAACTGGGGCCATGCCAAGGCCATCCAACAGGTCTGAAATTATGTGGAGGGCAAGACAGGAGGGCCTGCCCAAACTGCCCATAGAATGCCAAAGGGTCCTGGCAATTCCATTTAATTTAATTCAACAGGTGTGATGGGATTATGCTATGAAAAAGTGCAGGGGATATTAAAGTGGGAGACATGGTGTACCCTTAGCAGCCCTAGATTTATTATTCATATTTTTATCCTAATCATGGCCTCACAATCCACAAAATGTGGAAAGGAGCCATGATGTGAGGGCTGAAATTGAATCATGGCAATTTGAGGCTGGTGTGGAGAGTGACGCATTTGTCTAGTAACTGAGTCTAGCTGGCCTTCAGGTACAGCAGCATCTCTGCTGTCTCTTACTGATGCCAAGAGGCAGTGTGGCGGAGTGGCTAAGAGCATGAACACTGGAATTACACTTCCTGGCTTTATAATCCCAGCTGTGTCTCTTGCTGCTACATAACAATGAGTGGGTTACTTACCCTCACAGCGCCTTTGTTTTCCCATCCTTTAAATGGGATAAATAATGGTACCTACACTTGAGAGTTGTCATGAAGGTTAAATGAGTAAATACAGGATGACCCAAAAGTGTTAGTGCTTTTTTTAAGCTTTAATAACTTCAGAAGTATAAATGCTACAAACTTACAAAAACCATCATTCAGAAGTTAAATTATTCGAATTTATTTTGCACTTCTTTAGTCTTGTGAGTTCATTTTGTGTATTATGGAAAGCACATGGAATTGTGCTGGAAATATAGTAAATGTCTGTTGTTATCCTCACATGCATGCACCCTGGAAAGCTATACTTTACCCTCTTTTATGGGGAAAATGAAAGGTCTGGGGCTCCCTCCTTGGCCAATGTTAAGGATTTGCTCTATTTCTACCAAAGTTAGGATTCCATTTATTGGGAATGAATTTGCACAAGGGATATTTCTGCAGCTCTACAAGGCAGCATCTGTGGTTGAGAGTCACACTATTCAGAGAAGGGGCAGATGGGTTGATCCTGAACAAAACTTTCTCAGGACTAAGAGAGTTCTAAGACCTATCATTTAAAGCCCTAGAAGAAAGGTCTTAGGCAAAATGTAATTTTACAAAATCTTTTTCTACCAGCTTCTAACATCTACAAGTGGTATGATTTGAGTGGCATCAAAACATATGCCCCCCAACAGACACCAAAAAGTATAGCCCCACTAGCCTGTCGCAATGCCTGAAATTTCACCATTAAAGGCTCAGTCTCAGATGCAGACACCCCAGGGAGCGTTAAGTGCTTTTAGTCATCAACACGAGTGTGACTTTGTTTAATCAGCTGCTTTACCCTAACAGCTAGCTGAGTAGCTTGGAGGGAAAGAAATGTGATTCTAATTGTAGCAAAGGAAGAGTGAATTTGCAAACCTGGGGCACTGCACAGTGTTGCTCCAAGGAGCACTCTTGGAAGATTGGGCACCTGTTAGACAAGAGGAGACAGACATTCTGCAGAAGAAGGAAGACCTAGACAGGGAAGAGCTAAAGCCTTGAAACCATACAAGCTGTCTTCCTTTATACCCCGCATAAATTGCAGCAAAAATGCTGAGCATTATAGTCAATGCTTCATGAATGATGAAATTATTAATGACAATATTCTTCTATAAGGGATTTTTTCAAAAGAGTTACAACCGGACAGAAATGTTAAATTTTACCATTGAGTGTTCCTAAATTCTCGTTTGCTTTTCTGTTTGCATCCCAAAAGGATTACTAGTCCCCCACCATAAACTTGCAAAGTAATTTATATTCTTCACAATTAGGTTCCCTTAAGAAGAATCACTCAGTAAAGTAATTAAAAATGAAAACCTTAACTCCTCATCTTGAAAATGCAGTAGTAACATTTCCTGGATAGGATATAACATTTCAAGCTTCTTTTTAATTTTGTCTTATGCGTAAGATGGTGCTTTAGTGGTAGACGTTAATTGCACTAAAATGGTAATACAAAACCACCAGCAACTTGTGGCCATATATCTTATACTTGCTCAGATCAATGCTGTGATTATAATTAAGAATGTATGCTTGTGTCTGGGATAAATCTTCATATTGTGACATGTAAAATAAGATTTAAGGTAATTATTTTCTTTCTAGTCTACCCCTAAATCAAAGAAGAATGTGTGGAGAGACTTTTTATTTATTTATTTATTTATTTATTTATTTATTTATTTATTTATTTATTTTTGGAAACTAAGGATATAGTGACCTGCCCTTAGCCAGAAGTCACTTATCTGGGGCATGTAAACTTGTGGAGGACTGCCAAAAATGTAGAACTGGTGTGGCCAAAATGTACCTATTAAATTGCATGTTTAAGAAAGAGGTTTAAAAAGTGCTTAGGTGCCTGACACTAGGAATTGTGTTCATGAGCACCCCCAAATGTGAGTGTGCAATTAGGTGGAGAGTCCTGGAAGCATTGTGAGACTGGCAGAAATGACCGTCGTGGCCGGTAGGGAGTTGATGTTAGAATCGAAGGTTCTGGCATTGCTTACATTTGTTGCCCCTGGGGCTGAGATTAGAATGGGGGTTGACAAGGCCGGGCGCAGTGGGTCACGCCTGTAATCCCAGCACTTTGGGAGGCTGAGGCGGGCGGATCACGAGGTTAGGAGATCGAGACCATCCTGGCTAACATGGTGAAATCCCGTCTCTACTAAAAATACAAAAAATTAGCTGGGCGTGGTGGTGGGCAACTGTAGTCCCAGCTGCTTGGGAGGCTGAGGCAGGAGAACGGCGTGAACCTGAGAGACAGAGCTTGCAGTGAGCCGAGATTGCGCCACTGCGCTCCAGCCTGGGCGACAGAGCGAGACTCCATTTCAAAAAAAAAAAAAAAAAAAAAAAAAAAGAATGGGGGTTGACAGAAGAAACCTAGAAGGTAGAATTTCTGCTCCTTACCTGAAGAGTCCCTGAAGGAGCAGGACTATGTCTTTTCTCACTGCATCTCCAGGGTCTAGCTAGCACCTGGTGGGTACTCCACAGATATTTGTTGACCAACTGAATGTTTCACTCCCTGCACTTGGGTTCCAAGGCTGAAAGATTTGGGAGATGGGACAGGTACTCCTCTACCAAAGAAGCCTCTAATATCTGGAAACATGACTAGGAAATGGGGTGGGAGGGGTGCATGTCTCTCTCCCATATCTTGAATATCTTCTGAGATATTCAAGTCACAAAAATGAAAAAGGAAAATGGAGTGTTTTCTACCCTCCAAAAATGAGAGAAGGAGGAAGAAACTGGAGGTGTCCAGTTAAACTGGGGTGAGAGGGGGTGGCTCTAGGAGGGATGGGGTAGGGGGAGATTTTAAAGAATGATAATTAAGAATGTATGCTTGTGTCTGGGATAAATCTTCATATTGTGACATGTAAAGTAAGATTTAAGGTAATTATTTCATTTCTAGTCTACCCGTAAATCAAAGGAGAATGTGTGGAGAGACTTTTTTTGGAAACTAAGGATATAGTGACCTACCCTTAGCTGGAAGTCACTTATCTGGCCCATGTAAACTTTAGGGTCAGTTCCCTGGCCTTTAAAGCATAAAGGGGATAATGTCAGAGGCTGAGGTTGTGCAATGCAATTGTGTGGTCTGCAAAAAAGCCAAAAGAGATACGTTTTTGTGCAGGTCCAAGATGGTGAGAGAGAACTGGAGGAATTAGGCAAAGCTCATTTGGAATTTGGAGTCTGTACAGTGAGGTCTGACCACCACACTGAACGTCTGAATTCTTGGTGAAGGCTCTGCTTTGCCTCTTCCCCGTGTGGTTTGGATTATGAAGGGTTGGATCTTTATTTCCTGCTTTCTTTTTAGGGGAAATTAATGAGCAAAGGAAGATGTGCACATGGGCAAGCCTCCCCAGGCTGCTCAGTGAACACAGAATGGTGACATCTTATTTTAGGATTTTTATTGTATATACGTTAATTAGCTTGATTATGGTGATTATTTCACAATGTACACATCTATCAAATCATCAAGATGTACACCTTAAATAAATGCGTCTTACTCTGGCTTTTCCAAAGGGTTGAGAGCAAGCTTTTTCACTTGCTTTGTTCCATGCTTTTGGAAAGTGAGGAACCCAAACAGGAAGCCATACCCCACTGGGAATGGCATTCTTGCCAGTCCTCTGCTCTCTCTCCAGAACTATGACTGGGTTGTATGCCATTTGAAACCCAGCAGGTGCAGTTTTTAAAATCCTCTACCCACTCATCATCAGACTTGGAGTTTAAAAACCAACCTAATTCCTCTGCTTTTAACCCTCCTTTCCACAGAAGTTTCCAGAAAAGCTTAGCCAGGGAACTAAAAGTGGTGAATGTCCACAAGGTTTCCAAACAACAGCAACAATAAATTTAATTTAAAAAAAAAAAAAGCTCACCCAAAGATTTTAAAGTTTAATTCTGCCAGTGTTTTCCCTAGCTTGAGGCAAAAATGACTTTTTTATTACTTGGGGGGAAAGGAGCATGAAATCTCTCAAGCCTTTGCCAAAGCTGAAACTCTCTGAGCATGCTTTGAGAAGGAGCAAGGCGTTGAGCGAGCCATGGAAAGCATGCTGTCTAATTGGAAGTGCATGGGTCTCCTTGGCTCCATCTTTCCAATATTCACCAAGATCTCCCCTGCTTGGTCCCCTTTCACTCCTAGGGGAGAGACCTCTGGCGTCAGCAGAGGTTCTTTTGTGGAGAATGCACAATGAAGAGAGCAGGCTCACCATAGCTGACCAGAAGAGCTCTGACAAAGCAAGCCTTCTGTTTCTTTCCTTGAAATTCCTTCACAACAACTTCTTGTGGATTTTTAGATTATAAGAACTTCTATTTAGGAAACAGACATGTTCCAAACAGAAAAATATTTGGGTTTGGGCTATGGGACCAAGACCATTTGACTTCAAACCCTGGGTCTGACACTTTAACGTAATTAGGTCTGCTTACTGTAACTTCTTGATCTATAGGATGGAGCTAAGAAGGCCTAGGCTGCAGAGGGGTTGGAAGATTAGAGGGGACGTACATGAAGTATTGGCTGATCAAATACTGCCTTCCTGTTAACTTCAATGATAAATTCAGATATTGTGCCATAAGAAGGGTCCCCTCCTTCATGAATTGAATCATTTGATGATAACAAAGTCATTCAGATAAGACTCAGCCCCTCCAAATTTCAGGGAGACTTGAACTTTTTGAAATTTCAAGAGTTCAACTAACCAAGACCTACTTAACTCCTGACTTTATACATTCCGTAAGTACAAATTGTCACATATTGCCTGTCCTTAATAACACATAACATACTTGTTTGGTAGCCAAATTCCTCAACTTCCACAGGAGATAGGTCAAAAGCTGGGAGTCAGTATAGAAAGATCCATGGGATATTGGTTCAACACATATTGGCCATACAATCTGGGATGTTAAGTCCCTGTCAGGTAGCGAGCAAAATAACCCAATTTTTCCATTTATTTTTCATGTAATTACAACTGGTAGAGCAGGAAACTTCCCAGGCATCTCCTTCGTGCACTATGTTGACAAGCACTTTGGGGTGGATTAAGGTCTGTGACCCAACAAAGAGACAGGCACCTATTGAAGTAGAAACACCACTCGCCCCTGTACTTGCTCTCAGACACTGAATATTGATGTTACACTGTTGATGTTCACTTTCCCTCAGAGGGTCCTTATCATTTTAAACAATCACATTAATATGACTTGCAGGCAAATTAAGGTGCATTGAATTAGATAAATAAATAATAAATTTGGAGAAAAATGAGCAGGAATGATGTCCATTATTAATGTCCATTTGAAGCATGCAAAGAGATGTTTGCTGCTGGGTCCTTTAAAAAGTAACATCCTTTTCTCCTATAATGAGATTTGGCTTTCTCAGCAGTGAGACTCTTAGAAGGGAATGGGCAATGCTGGGCTGTGAGGCAGAGTTAACAATTGGACACACAGAGGTTAAGAGCATAGATCTTTTAGAAACATAAATATTAATCCATCTACTCTAATTGACTTTGAGCAAATTTCATACACCTCAGTTTTATCATCTGCAAAATGGGACTAATAGGCACTTCCTTCCTGCAGTGGTTGTGAAGATGACCTGGGATAATGCATGCAATTTGGCACATAGTGGGCACTCAATATTACATTTGTTATTATCATGTGACTTTTGGGAAAACAGGAAAGGCTTGGAAAACTCATCGTTTTGACACCTATGGTGGGGCCCTAGATGACCATAGGAATTAGTTGGTCAGTATATCAAGTTCTGAGACATCTGGGACATCACCTGAGACTGTAAGGAGCAGTCAGTGGCCTGGACTAGGTGGGCATAGTCCTGAAACTGACATGTCAGAGGGATTTGGCAAAGTCTGAGTATTCCTCGCCCCAATTTATATGGCCTGAGAAATTCAGGTGATCCAGGACCAGCTCCAGCTACACATTTAGCAGAAAATATTGCTGGTTTGAAAAGGAATTGAGATTCCTCAATGGAAAATGTTCTATTAGCTACTGTGAGGGACAAGATCCAATAATAATACCACCACCTTCTATTTGTGTAATCGTTTACAAAGTATTTTTGCAAATGTTACCGCATTTAATCCTTTCATCTGTAAAATGGGGCCAAGAATGCTTATCTTATTACCCCCATTGACAGAGAAGGTTATAGAGAAGATGAGAGGTTAAGTGACTTGCCCAAGGGTAAATAGCAGGTAAGACAAAAGTCAAAGTTATTGATGGGACAGAGTATTTATGACTACTGTAACAGACATCAAAATCTCAGTGACTTAACACATAGGAGACATTTATTTCTTGGTTCTGGAATAATCCAATACGTGGGTCCCTATTCATTGGGGGGAAATTGGGGGTCCACATGGTGACTCACAAAGACAGGTACATGGCATCTTGTGGCTCCATCATTAACACGTGGTTTGTCTGCATGAAGCAAAAGTGGCAGGACACATGTGGCAGGTTTCTGTGAGGCAGGCCTAGAAGCGATAGATATTTGTGCTTAGATTCTGTTGGCCAGAACTCAGTGACATGGCCACACCTAGCCACAAGAGAGCCTGGAAAATGGTGTCTAGCTGTGTGCCCAAGAATAGAACACAGGAGTGGGGAATATTAGCCAATCTCACCCACATCACCCGAATCCAAGTCCACCGTGATTTCTATTATACTATGTTCACACTGCAACGGATTTTTAATGAATTAACAGATGTACATGGCACAATCAAAGCCCATGACCCCTTACAGACCTTAATATGGAAAGGGATTGAAAACCATTGAAAGTTGTAAGAATGCAGGCTTAAAAGGTTGATAGCAGGTTGAAGACACCATAATGGCATGTACTATTGTGGAAAAAGTACTTCTTAGCTCTTGGGGAGGCTCAGGGACACACCTATATATGATGACAGCCACTTTGAGCCAACGGTCTGAAGCAGGAGTCACAACATTACCAAGTGGATTCTGCCTTATCACCACCTAAACTAGGACAAAATGTGAAGTGATGCCATTAAGCAAGAAGAAAATGTTGGCTCTGGCTTTTGGGTCCAAATCTCAGGTTCTAATAAATGCTCCTTGAGGTCAAGGACTAGGCCTTTAATCCCCGAAACCCCCGTACTTAGCACAGCGCCTGATATAAAGTAGTTTCTCAATAGCATTTTGCTGGATGAAAGAAGAAAGGAAGAGATACATATTTAAGCTTATTTTGTCTCCACATCTCATTTTCTGAGGCTTAGCACTTCACATTTGAATCACTGAAAGTGCTTGAATTCTCACTAATGTTAGGGAGAGGGTAGCATCCATGTCCATTTAATGAATAATTGAGAATTAGCAACAATCCAAGTCAACGATGCTATATCACAAAGTGAACTTGACATGTTTTGATAGGTGCAGCTTAATGTGAACTATTTATTATATTTTGTGATGTGTTTTGCAAAAGTAATAAAGATTTAGTAACGTGAGCCACCTCCAGCTTTCTGCTGGTAAATGTCATTCCAAGTCTTCACACTCCTTCCATTGCTGACTTTCAGATGCTTTACTGAGGGACAGCAGTGTGGTGAGGCAAAAGGAAAATACTGGAGCACAAAGGCTCTCCATGGACAGACTGGCAACATGGGAAGGAACCAACCCACCAGGAGGACTGTTTGTTTTGTTGACTTCTCCAAATTAGCTCCCTTTGAAGTGATTTTCATAATCTGTGTTCCCAAGGGGGTGGGGGAAAAATTCCACTAACATGGGTCTCCTTGGAACCCATGCTTGATATTTAGCTGCAGGAGAATTTTTTAATAATGACTATACTATTTGAAAGCCACATTCTTAATTAACAAGAATAAAAATTAAAATCCAAGTAAAGTTCCGGCCCACAATGCATAACCTGAATCCAATCTTAAGGAAGTATTAGACAAACCCAAAACAAGGAACATTCTATGAAATAATGAGACTATACTCTTCAAGATAAATCAATGTCATGAAAAACAAAGACAGACCGAGGAGCTGTTCCAGAGTAAAGAGGACTAAAAACATTACAACTGAATGCAATGCTTTATCCTAGGTTGGGACATGGATAGTTTTTTCATTGCTCTAAAGGATAGTATTGAAACAATCAGCAAAATTTCAATATGGATGTGCTACTAGTTAATGGTAGTGTATCAATGCTCAATTTCCAGAATTGGATAATTGCACTGTGGGTTTGTAAAAGTATGCCATTACATACTGAAATATTTAGAGGTAAAAAGTCATGATGTCTGCAAGTTAACCTCAAATGGTTCTGTAAATAATAATAATAATAATACACAACAATGTGCATACACATAGAGTGAGATTCAGGAGTCTGTTAGACTAACCAATACCCTGTCTCACTTATTACTTTGACTCATAATTGTCTTATCTTCTGAAAAATGTTAATAGGTACATCTAGGTGAAAGCTTATGGAAGTTCATGATACTGTTCCTGCCATTTTTCTATGAGTTTGAAATTTTATTTTCAAAAATAAGGATTAAAAAAACACACACTGACCCCACCCAAATCTCATCTTACATTTTAGCTCCCATAACCCCCACGTGTTGTGGGAGGGACCTGGTGGGAGGTAATTGAATCATGGGGGTGAGTTTTTCCCGTGCTGTTCTTGTGTTAGTGAATACGTCTCATGAGATCTTATGGTTTTGTAAAGGGCAGTTCCCCTGCACACGAACTTTCCTGCTGAGAGGTGACAGTGTGATGGCAGTCCTCAGAGCCCTCGCTTGCTCTGGGCAACTCCCCTGCCTGGGCTCCCACTTTGGTGGCATTTGAGGAGCCCTTCAGCCCCCCACTGCACTGTGGGAGCCCCTTTCTGGGCTGGCCAAGGCCGGAACCCACTCCCTCAGCTTGCAGGGAGGTGTGGAGGGAGAGGCACGAGCGGGAACCGGGGCTGCGTGCGGCGCTTGCGGGCCAGCTGGAGTTCCGGGTGGGCGTGGGCTTGGCGGGCACCGCACTCGGAGCAGCCAGCCAGCCCTGCTGGCCCCGGGCAATGGGGGACTTAGCACCCGGGCCAGTGGCTGCGGAGGGTGTACTGAGTCCCCCAGCAGTGCTGGCCCACCGGCGCTGTGCTCGATTTCTCGCCGGGCCTTAGCTGCCTTCCCACGGGGCAGGGCTCGGGACCTGCAGCCCGCCATGCCTGAGCCTCCCACCGCCTCCATGGGCTCCTGTGCGGCCCGAGCCTCCCTGACGAGCACCACCCCCTGCTCCACGGCGCTCAGTCCCATCGACCACCCAAGGGCTGAGGAATGCGAGCACACAGCGCAGGACTGGCAGGCAGCTCCACCTGCAGCCCCAGTGTGGGATCCACTAGGTGAAGCCAGCTGGGCTCCTGAGTCTGGTGGGGACGTGGAGAGTCTTTATATCTAGCTCAGGGATTGTAAATACACCAATCAGCACCCTGTGTTTAGCTCAAGGTTTGTGAGTGCACCAATCGACACTCTGTATCTAGCTGCTCTGGTGAGGACGTGGAGAGTCTTTACCTCTAGCTCAAGGATTGTAAATACACCAATCAGCACTCTGTATCTAGCTCAAGGTTTGTAAACACACCAATCAGCACCCTGG
The DNA here is from genome assembly GCF_000001405.40 of Homo sapiens. NCBI lineage: Eukaryota > Metazoa > Chordata > Mammalia > Primates > Hominidae > Homo > Homo sapiens. The sequence goes on from NC_000023.11 coordinate 18,084,499, forward strand.
TTTAGCTCAAGGTTTGTGAGTGCACCGGTCGACACTCTGTATCTAGCTGCTCTGGTGGGCCTTGGAGAACCTGTGTGTCGAAACTCTGTATCTAACTAATCTGTTGGGGACATGGAGAACCTTTGTATCTAGCTCTGGGATTGTAAATGCACCAATCAGCGCCATGACAAAACAGGCCACTCGGCTCTACCAATCAGCAGGATGTGGGTGGGGCCAGATAAGAGAATAAAAGCAGGCTGCCCGAGCCAGCATTGGCAACCCACTTGGGTCCCCTTCCACACTGTGGAAGCTTTGTTGTTTCGCTCTTTGCAATAAATCTTGCTACTGCTCACTCTTTGGGTCCACGCTGCTTTTATGAGTTGTAACACTCACGGCGAAGATCTGCAGCTTCACTCCTGAGCCCAACGAGACCACGAGCCCACCGGGAGGAACGAACAACTCCAGACGCACTGCCTTAAGAGCTGTAACACTCACCGCGAAGGTCTGCAGCTTCACTCCTGAGCCAGCGAGACCACGAACCCACCAGAAGGAAGAAACTCCAAACACATCTGAACATCAGAAGGGGCAGACTCCAGACGCGCCACCTTAAGAGCTGTAACACTCACCACGAGGGTCCGCGGCTTCATTCTTGAAGTCAGTGAGACCAAGAACCCACCAATTCCGGACACACTGCCGCCATGTAAGACGTGCCTTTGCTCTTCCTTCACCTTCTGCCATGATTGTGAGGCTTCCCCAGCTATGTGGAACTGTGAATCTATTAAACCTCTTTTTCTTTATAAATTACCCAGTCTTGGGTATTTCTTCATAGCAGTATGAAAATGGACTAATACACACACTGATAAGGACCATATGCCTACTCACTATTGGCAAGTGTTAAGAAGCAGAATAGGTCTTTAACATTCCTAAGGTATTTAACCATCAGACCTTCTTGAATTTCCAAATTGGTTAATTTCCCTGGAACATAGCATCCTTCATCAAATGCAGCAAAATATAACTTCCTGAGCAAGAACATGTATGTGACAAGCAAAGAAAACAAAGCCACCTTGAGAAAAAAATGCTAGCAGTCGGCTGGACTTCCCTTAGTAAGAGGCTTGCTGTGGTGCCTGAAATTCATGCCCCACCAAAAATAGAAATGACTGTCAGGGTCACTCACAAAGAGTTGGAATGGTAGTTGTTGAATCTTCAGATGCCCAGAATCCACCATATTTGTCGAGCAATAGGGTTTCCTTTTTTGAGCTCCAGATATTCGGGGTTAAAGTGTTTTGTTTGAGAAGTTAGGTGGGTGGATTGGGAGTCTCAATGAGCTTTTCTGGATGAAGGGATTGGAATTTTTGTGGAGGAGATGGTAAAGGGAGTCAAGGAATAGTTGGGGATTGATAGCTACAGAGAAAAATTAAATGGAGTTCAGCTACAGTTCAACTCAGCCTCCTCTTCCTGCCTGTGGTATAACAGCAGTTACCTTCCCTATAGAAAGAGATCGTTATAAGCACAGGGAACAAAGAATTTATTGCACTGGGTTATCCATCGTACATAAGTTATTTTGACTAGATAAAAAGAGTATGGTGTTTCTGAGCCATCTGCCTAGAAATAGCTTTGTAGTAAGCAGTCTTTATAATGGTGTTTATTGTAATGGGATTTTGTTTTTATCATTGGCCAGAGGTCAGGTGATCTACCATGTTTCCTATTAAATTTTGGATTTCTCCTTCTATAAGTCATTTTTTCCTAAAGAGATTGGACAACTGGGATATGTTTAGTAGCTGACTTGTGCCCAGCAAGTTGAAAAAAAAATTATGAATTTGGGAAAATAGTTATGCCACTCCTAAGCCATTCTGTTTTCTTTTTACCTGCAGTGTTTAGCTTAAAGTCCTTAAAATGCCATTTAGGGCCTTGTGAAATCTCACCCCGAAATATATTTCCAGTTCATACCCTCCCAACCCTGCTACCACCCAAACCTATGCCCACTCTATAATAGTTGGATATTTAAAGTTCTCCAAATACATACTCTTGTGACTAGGTCCATGCTATTTCCTATTTCATCTACTAAAAATATTCTCCCTGCCATCGCTACCTAGTGAACTCCTATCTATCCTTCAAAGCCCAGCTCAAATATCACATTTTTTGGACTATCTTCCATGACTCTTGCTCCCTCCTTGTCCCCAGGTACAATGAATCACTTCCTTTTCTGTCCCCCAATGGTACTTTTTTCAACCGTCTGTCAGAGTCATTGACACAGTCTTCTAGAATTAACTTCCCAACTAATTTTTAACAACTTGAGGATAGAGACACTGTTTCGTGCATCTTTGCATTCTCTGCACCCAGAAATATTGTTGCTACAAAGTAGACATTTTTAAATGTGGGTTGAGGAAATGCCTCAATCAACGAATTAATCAATAGGATGGAAAATCTGCAACTATGTGCTCTTTGTGGCTTACAAGTTAAACACTCAACACATGTCAGCACAGCATAATAACAGCCTGTTTACTGAGTGCCTACTTTCTTCTGGCACAATGCATACATTTTATCTCACATCAATTCTACTACATAATTATTATTACCATGTTTATTTTTTAAATAAATAAACCAAGTTATGTGTATAGCCCTTGTGGCTGGGGTCCAGTCCTTTGTGTTCCATTGAAGGATATCCATTGCCACCTTTAGGGCAAGATGGATGGAATAAAGAGGAAATCTGGCCTATAGCACCCCTCAGTCTATTTCTATGTCATCCTTCCTGTGTCTTTCTGCTGACCAGTGGCCATCATTGGTTAAACTGAAGATAGTTTTAACACAAAAAAACAATGGTGGCTGGGCCCAGTGGCACATGCCTATAATCCCAGCACTTTGGGAGGCTGAGGCTGGCAGATCACTTGAGCCCAGGAATTCGAGACTAGCCTAGGCAACATGGTGAAACCTTGTTGAAACCTCATGGTCTCAGGTACTTGGGAGGCTGAGGGGGGAGGATCACCTGAGCCCAGGGAGGTCAAGGCTGCAGTGAGCTGTGATCGCACTACTGCATTCCAGCCTGGGTGACCGAGTGAGACTATGTCTCAAAAAAGAAGAAGAAGAAAACAAAACAACAGCAACAACATAAAAAATAACAACAATGGTAGCAGTAGCATCCTCCTGGTAGCAGTAGCTCTTGGAATCATGATCCCTCCCCCTACCACAAGAATGGTCCCTCCCCTACGCCTGAGTTGGCCAGATTTCACAGAAATATTGCTAGAATATGCCACTGGCCATTCTGGAAGGGCTAGCCATCAGACCTCAGGGTCCAGCTCAGAGGTAAACTCTGTGGTGATTCTCCACAAGCACTAGGGAGTGGTTTGGGCTTTTCAGTAATACAGGCTTTCCGGCCGAGCCTATCAGGGCCATACTTTGAAGCTCTAGGAAACATGTTGGCTCCCATTCCTCACCCCCTTCTCCATTATCTCTAATGCCATTAGCTCGATGTGCCATCCCACTAATGATCTACTGCTACTTGGTAGTCAGAAATTTATTTTTACTCACTACATGCCATCTATATTCCTCATCCAAGATAGTGGTAGGGTCCTTCTTAGTGGCATCATTTGTTAATCAGACTCACACAAATGAAAATAAAGGAAAACAATGGCATAAATTTAAAAACAACAGAAATCTCCATTTTCTAAAATACACACGTATCTTAATAACAGCTAAATAAATCCAACCTTAGCTTCGTGATTGTTTTTTACAGAAGATTAACTTTCTTTAAAATAGGAAAAGGAAAAATATAATTCACAGAAAAAAAACAAATCAAGCATGTATTTTAAAGAATGCACCTTTTCTCTAGTTCAGGAGTTTATAGAATTGCTCCTTAATCCTCAGGTGAAAAGGTTGAAAGTGGCCGATGCAGGAGTGTGTTAGCCTCCTGGAAACCCTGGTCTACCGCCAGTCTCAGGGACTCCAGCTCACCTTGGAGATAGTCCTCCTGCCTGAGTACCCAAGGGCAGAATAAGGTGGTAGCCACATGATATCTACTATTAAACCCAAAATTTTATATATTTGGGTAGACATTTCAGCAAAGAAGATACATGAATGGCAAATAAGCACATTTCAAAAGATGCTCAACATCATTAGTCATCAGGAAAATGCATATTGACACCACAATGAGATAGTATTTCACATCCCACTAAAATGGCTATAATTTAAAAAAAAAAAGACAATGACAAATGTTGGTGAGAATATGGAGAAACTGGAACCCTCATATGTTACTGGTGAGAATGTGAAATGGAAAACAGTTCATTAGTTTATTTAAACTTGAAACCTAAATTTACCTTATGACCCAGCAATTCCTCTCCTAGGAATCTACCCAAGAGAAATGAAAACATATGTCCACACAAAGATTTGCATGTAAATGTTCATAGCACCATTATTCACGATAGCCAAAAATGTGGAAACAACCCAAATATCCAACTGGTGAATGGATAGACAAAATGTGGTACAGCTGTAACAACAGAAAGCTATTCAATAATAGGAGGGAATAAAATGATACATGCTAGAGAACATGAATGAATTTCAGAAATAACATTATGCTGAGTGAAAGAAGCCAGATCCAAAAGACCACATATTGTATGACTCCATTTCTATTAAACGTCCAGAATAGGCAAATCTACAGAGACAGAAGGTAGATTGGTGATTGCCTCAGGCTGGGAGTGGGAAAATAGGTTAAATTGTAAACAGGCATGAGAGATCTTCTGTGGGTGCTGGAAATGGTCTAAAACTGGATTATAATGATGGTTGCACAACTTGGTAAATGTTTTTTAAATCACTAAGTTGTGCTCTTAAAATGGGTGATTTTTGTGTGTAAAATATGCCTCAATACAATTGTTTTTAAAAAAATAGAAATTTTAACAGAGCTGCATTTTATACAGCACCAGCCCCTCATTCCTCCAGCTCCTCTGATGGGAGTCCCTTGTGATCTTAACCCCCATGAGGTCCCCAGAATCCACTAAGTCCCCTGGAGAAATGGCAGAGCTACCTTCAGCTGCACTGGCCAGGTTTCTACATTCTTAAGTCTGAATGGACCTTTTGCAGAGATGCCAGTTCCTCCAGGAGACAATTTCCACCAAATGCTGAATCACACCATGGCAGACAGAAAATTCTTACACACCTCCAGGTTGCACTGGGAGAGGCCCCTTGGGAGTGGGGATAGGGGTTCCTGTGGGAAGGGGGGTGTTCTCTAGACCTCTGGCAGTTAACAACCTCTTCTTATTCATCCCTGTTTGCTCCATTTTCTTTCTCAAATAAAAGATACTTTCTGAATAGTCACTGCATGTACCAAGCATGATAGATAGACAGATAGATTAGATAGATAGATGGATAGATAGATAGATAGATGATAGATAAATAAATAGATAGAGGCACATAGATATATAATTTAACAAACACTTATATGGCACTTGTTGCCTGACACTCTTCTAAGTGCTTTACAAACGTTGTTAACTCATTTCACCCTTGCAACCATACGAGATACGTATGCTGTTATTACCCCTCACTTTAACAGATAACAAAGGAGTGATTTGTCCATCTAATAACTGAGAGCCAGTATTTGAAGCCAGACTGTTCTCTAGAATCTGTGCTCTTAACCACTGTTATGTTGCCTCTCAAAAACAGCATTGTGTTTAATTCTGCAAATTACTTAGTGAAGTCAGTGCTCTCATCTCCATTTTATGAACAAGGAGACAGCTAGGACTGGACTGTAGATTTTCCAATTTCCAGCTGAAGGCTTTTATTCCATTATGTTGTTAATTGCCTCTTCCCAAGCTTTTTCTTCCACACCAGTGTTTCTTAAATTTCAGCACACATCAGAATCCCCTGGAGAAATCCCAAGACCCCTCCACCTCAACCCTAGAGTTTCTGATTCAGTGGGTCTGGGGTGGAGCCTGATAATCAGCAATTTCAGTAAGTTCCCAGTGATGCTGTTGCTGCTGGTTCAGGGACCACAATTTGAGAGCCCCTGCTTGACACGTATCCACTCAGACTAACTTCATCCCAGGAGATTCTGTAAAGTTATACTAATATTAGAACACAAGGGTTTATTATTAGCTATTGGCTGCTCAGGCCAATTCCAGGAGCTAAAGAGATTGGGCTTTCACATTCTTTGCTTTTCCTCGTGTGTTTTTGGGTAGGAACGGATCATCCCTAGAAGATTCATTTGCACATTCAAGCTTGACATACATTGCTCTAGTTGCCTTCTTAGAGCCCAGATTTCCTTTTGCAAATCCAAATTTCCATTTGGCTTCTACTCACTGTTATATATTTAATAAAATTAAAAACACCTGAATTTGTATCACCTGCTATGAGGCTTAGTGCAGAAAGGTCACGGATTTGGGGTCACACAGACTTTGGTGAAATCTCAGATCCTTTCATTGACACTTGAGACTAAGTCATCATCGATAAATATGGGGTGATTAGTCTACCTCAGGACTTTAGTGCATTGTGATCTCAAACTTGTAGAAGTGTCTAACACATATAGGCATTCAGAAAAGATTATAACATGACTACAACCCTATTGGGGAAGAAATGACTTCAGTTGCATCCAAAACAGGGTCCAAAGGACAGTGGCCTAAACAAGACAGATGTTTATTTCTGATTCACATAAAAGTCCAAATTGGTGTGATGGCTCCACTTAATGAAGTCATCAAGGGCCTAGGCTTCATCTCTTTGGTGACTCCTCCCTAGGCCCACATCCCTGCAAGTGGGAAGAAGGATACATCTTTTTTACTCATATCCCATAGGCCGGAACTTAGTTATATGGCCACACCTAGTGTCATGGAATGCTATTAGAATATGTCTTCCAAAGTTCATTTGTTGGAAACTTAATCTCCAATGCAACAATGTGGAGAGGTGGGAACTATAAGAGGTGATCAATAATGGATTAATGTCATTATCTTGGGAATGAGTTAGTCATCACAAAAGTGGGTTTGTTAGAGAAGTGAATGTGGCCCCCTCCCATTCTTTCACTCTCACACTCTGCCCTTCCAGTTTCCACCATGGGATGACAGCACAAAGGCCCTCACCAGTTGCTGACACCATGACTCTTGGACTTCCCAGCCTCCAAAACCATGAGCCAAATAAACTTCTATTTATTATAAATTATCCAGTCTTGAGTATTCTGCTATAGCAGAACAAAATGGACTAAGACACAGAATACCTAACTAAAAATCAGGAGCTTTATGGTTTCAGAAGAAAGGGAGAGTGGCTATTGGGGGACAATTTGCAGTTTCTGTACATATATTTCTTTATTTGATCTAAATAGGGTGCCATGCCAGGGAAGGGAGTGAAGAAACTGGGAAGACAAATACAAACAAAGTAGAGCTCCAGTCCTAAGAGGCAGCAGAAATCCTGAGCAGGATTCAGCATACTGGGAGAGGAAACTAGGCCAAAAACCAGACAAAGGACACCAGGTCAAGTCTAGATGGCAAGCTGTAAGGCTAACCTGCCACTCAGCCATAGAGCATGGATAGACAGGCCCTTAAGAAGCTTCTGGCCTTGATGGGCTGAGCCATCCCCTGGGGTTCACCTAATCTGCAGGGAAGAGGGAGGTAAGGTAGAGCCTGGATTTGGACAAGTCCCTGACCTTTCCATGATCCAGATCTCCTTGGCCACTATCCTAACCCAGTCACATCATCGCATCCCCACCGATAGTATATGAGTTCTCTTTTCTCTACATCTTTGCTGGTATTTGTTATTTTTTGTCTTTGATAGTAGCCATTCTAACTGGGGTGACATAGTATCTCATTGTGATTTTGATTTACATTTCCATAAAAATTAGTGATACTGAGCATTTTTTCATATACTTCTTGGCCATTTGTATGTCTTCTTTTGAGAAATATCTATTCAGATCATTTGCCCATTTTTTAATTGCATTATTTGTTTTTCCACTGTTGAATTGTTTTAGCTCCTTGCATATTCTGGATATTAATTCCTTGTCAGATGAATATCTTGCAAATATTTTCTCCCATTCAAGGAGTTGTCTCTTCACTCTGTTGTTTTCTTTGCTGTACAGAAACTTTTTAGTTTGATATAATCCTATTTGCCTATTTTTGCTTTTGCTGCCTGTGCTTTTAAAGTCTTAGCCATAAAAATCTTTGCCCAGACCAATGTCCTGAAGCATTTCCCCTATGTTTTCTTCTAGTAGTTTTATAGTTTTGGGACTTACATTTAAGTCTTTAGTCTATTTTGAATTGATTTTTGTATATGGTTAGAGATAGGGTCCTAGTTTCATTCTTCTGTATATGAATATCCAGTTTTCCCAGCACTACTTATTGAAGAGACTGTCCTTTCCCCAACATATGTTCTTGGTGCCTTTATTGAAAATCAGTTGGCTGTATATGGGGGATTTATTTCTGGACTCTCTATACTGTTCCATGGGTCTATATCTGTTTTTATACCATGATGTTTTGGTTACTATAGCTTTGTAGTATATTTTGAAGTCAGGCAGTGTGATGCCTCCAGCTTTCTTCTTTTTGCTCAGGGTTGCTTTGGGTAATCAGGGTCTTTTGTGGTTCTATACAAATTTTAAGATGTTTTTTCTATTTCTGTGAAAAACGACCTCAGTATTTTGATAGAGATTACATTGAATCTGTAGATCATTTTGGGCAGTATGATTGTTTTGACGATATTCATTCTTCCAATCCATGAACATGGAGTGTATTTCCATTTTTTGTGTCCTTTTCAATTTCTTTGTGTGAGTGTGTTAGGATGACATTGTGGCTCCAGGGATGTGAAGATGCAGGAGCTATTGGGACCCCAAGCACTCCAGCAGTGACTCCATCCTCAAAATGGCATTGTGCTTACAGCAGCCTGGGTCCTGGGGAGTGGGGTGGGGAGGGGCCCCAGTGTGAATTCCCTTTCTGGAGTAATGCAGCCGCATGGACTCCAGGCAGCCCCTACACTGGGCTCAGGGCCTGTGAGGATTGTGGGGCTCTCCTAAAGCTGGGATTGCAGGTGTATGTGGAGGGAATGTGGACTACTGGAGATCTCCCACTTACTTTTTCCCTGCAATGGGGAGTCCCTCTTGGCTCAGAGCAGATGCTAGCCAGGTGCTTCACTTTCCTCTCTATGCTGCCATCCCAAGTTTCCATGCCTCAGAGGGTCTTTGTCATTTCCTTGTTGAATTCCATTGTTCTCCCCTAGATGCTGTATTCCATATGTGATTATCTACTTGTTCTTTTCGTCCTTCTTTGTGGAAAGGGTGAATGTTGGGCACCCCTACTCAGCCATCTTGATGATGTCTCTCCCAAATCTTTTATGACAGTAGTGGTGGTGGGCTTCCAACTGATTCTAATCAGGTTCCCCTTGCTTTGGAGTAAAGGCTTCCCCTTCACGCCTCATTGTCACCAACAACCACAACCTGCCATTTTGAGGACAAGAGCCCAGGACACTTGGTCAGTGGGTTGCTGGGGGGCATTCACATTTGAGGAATGCTTAGCAATGAGCCCTCTCCACTGAACTCCTGATCCTCAAGATGCAGGATCCTTTTCCTGCTGGCCACTTTGAGGTCTCTGGAACTCTCACTTCCCCCTTTCAACAGAGATACCCCTCTGCTGCCTTCTCTTCCCTCTTACTCTAGATCCCAGGTTTTCAACAGGCTGTACATTGGAATCACTTGAGGAGCATTTAAAAATGCTGATGCCTGGGCCCCACTCCAGATCAACTGAACTGATTGAATTGATCCAAGGTGGGGTTTGGTCATCTGTATTTTAAGAAGCTCTTCAAGTTACTTTCATGAGCAGCCAAAGTAAAGAACCACTGCCCTATAAGAAAATAAGTCACTCTCTAGAGCCAGGTAATAGACTTAGAGTTCCATAAACAGGAAATTGTTGGCAGAGCAGATTTCAAATTCAGATGTCCAGGATCTCTGTGTGCTAAGCAATAAGCTGGTACTTCTCTAAATTTAAAGTGCAAAGGAATAACCATAACCCAAGGTTCCAGTTAAAAATGCAGATTATGATGCACTAGGTCTGGGGTGGGACCTGAGATTTTGCACTACTGACAACCAGATGATGCTGGTGTTGCTGGTCCTCAACCATTCTTTCAGTAGCAAGGTGATATGCTATGTAGCTTTCAGAAATGGAGAAGAAAAACAGTGTGACCAGGAGTGACATTGATGTCATCCCTAGTGCATAATTATCTTTCTAATTTCAGTACCCATGAAGTTTTATTCCCTCCCAGGAATTTGGTACCTTCCGGCACTTTAAGGGTGTAGGACCTTTGATGCAGGTAGGCCAATAACTCGGGCTTTTGTCCATTTGCTTCTGGGCTCCCCTGTAACTTCTGTAGCTTCCTCTAATTGTCTCCGACACTGGGTTTCCTGAACCCAGTGATGGCAAGCAGATTTCTTCCAGATGCAGGCAGTATTTCTTCCTGCCTTTGGCCCTGCTCACGCTAGACTGGGGTTCAGTGAGCCCCACATGCAAGGCTTTTGGCCTATCTTCCTTTACCTTGTTTTCAACGCTGTGTGACCTCCTGTTTTCATGCCTCTGTTTCTACCCAACTCCACCAAGCTCACCCTTCTCCTGGTTTTTCGACCTGGCATCAACCTTGGCACATCAAACCCAGATTCTCTGGTCCTACACCCACCTTGTTTAATAGAATGACTCAATCAGGTTCAGACTTCTGTGCCTTTAAGGCCATCAGAGACCTTTCAGAACCCTGAGCCTTCAAAAGGGAATCCATGTAAACAAAAACTGTCCACCAATATTTACCAACATAACCTTATCAATTCCCTTTCTACTCTCTCTGCTTATGGCAAACGTTGATTCTGGATTTGTCCCAAAAACCTTGTTTCTCACATTCAAAGCTCCTCATTTGTGCTTACCTAGAGTCCGATGACTTAGCTTTGCCTTACTGTCTTTCTAGCATCTCGTGCCTGACCTTAGCCATTTCCTGTTTCCAGGCCCATGACTCCTTTCTCAGTATTGACCATTTGAAGCCCCACTATAAACAAGGCCCACGAAGGGACAACTGCACAGTACCAGCAACTGTCACTCAGCTCTACTGCCTCTCCCTTGCATCTGGCAACGCCACTTCATTTACTTACAGAATCCTGCCAGGTAAAACAAAACTAGTGACCTGTAACCGAGATCAGCACCACCTGATGTTCAGACTTTAATGTGCATAGAAACCACCTGGGGAATTTATTAAAAATGCAGATTCTGAGTCAGTAGGGCAGGTACAGGGTCTGGGACCCTGCATTTTCTAACAAGCTTCCAGAGGACGCCAATGCTGCTCACGGATCTTCCCTTGAGTAGCAAGGTCCAAGAACATACTTTTGTAATGAAATATTCCAGCCAGCCAAAAGTTAATGTTACCAGGAAGGGGTCCCGATCCGGACCCCAAGAGAGGGTTCTTGGATCTCATGCAAGAAAGAATTCAGGATGAGTTCATAGAGTAAAGTGAAAGCAAGTTTATTAGGAAAGTAAAGGAATAAAGAATGGCTACTCCATAGACAGAGCAGCCCTGAGGTCTGCTGGTTGCCCATTTTTATGGTTATTTCTTGATGATATGCTAAACAAGGAGTGGATTATTCATGTCTCCTCTTTTTAGACCATATAGAGTAACTTCCTGTAGCAGTGAGGACGACCAGAGGACACTCTCGTTGTCATCTTGATTTTGGTGGGTTTGAGCCAGCTTCTTTACTGCAACCTGTTTTATCAGCAAGGTCTTTATGACTTGTGTTTTGTGCCAAACTCCTATCTCATCCTGTGACTTAGAATGGCTTAACTGTCTGGGAATGCAGCCCAGTAGGTATCAGCCTCATTTTACCCAGCCCCTATTCAAGAAGGAGTTGCTCTGGTTCAAACCCCTCTGACATTAACATCCTTAAAAATACATTAGACACTCTTTTCAAACATCCCTAGCTGGAAGCAGTTACTATATAAATATATCCTATTTTCCACGGTTTTTCTCTATCATCAAATATAATAGTTCTTTACACTTGCCCTGAAATCTTACAGTAAGGTCATATATCTCCTTAGGATGGCCCTGAGTCCATCTCTCTGAACCACAGGTGGCCTAGACCTCTCCCTGGCTGTTCAGGCCCAACAAATGGGTTTTCTTGACACTCCCTTGGGCTGTGGCCATAGCAATAAGGGTCTGCATTCCAATAGCCTAGGCCCTTGTGACTGCTATTTCCTAACCAGAAATTCCCCGGCAGCCTATTCTTTTGGGAAAAGGGTCTATGCACCTGTATTAGTCAGCACAGGCTGCCATAACAAAATACTATAGACCATATGGCTTAAACAACAGACATTAATTTTCTCACAGTTCTGGAGAGTAGAAATCCATGATTAAAGTGCCAGCAAATTCAGTTTCTGATGAGAGCTCTCTTCCTGTCTTATAGACGACCGCCTTCTTGTGCGCTCACATGGCCTTTCCTCTGTGCATAGAGGAAAGTGGAGAGAGAGCTCTGGTGTCTCTTCCTTTTCTTATAAGGACACCAGTCGTAATGGCCCCACCCTTATGACCTTGTTTAACTTCCATCACCTCCTCAAAAGCACTATCTCCAAATGCAGTCACATTCGGGGTTAGGGCATCAGCCTATGGATTTAGAGAGGGAGGGAACACAACTTGGTCCATAACAGCCTTCTTCTGCACGAATTGAGGCACTACCCAAGTGACTAACCCCTAATTGAGGGGCCAGACTCAGGCTCAGCTTCCTTCTACAGCCGGCTGGGCATGGGTAGTCAGAATCAGGGGTGAAGCTCCAGGAAGGGCCAGGACCAGCTTTAAGCTTCAGATCTGGCAACTCAGAAACAAGTGAAAAAGGCCCCGAAAAAGGACTGCAAACAGCTTTTGATTTGTCTTTATCTACAAGTGAGTGATGGGTATACTGGGTGGGAGAAAAGAGCCAGAGGCAGAACAGACACTCACTGACCCTCGACTTCCCTATCTTTTTTTTTTTTAAATAGGCATTGTCTCACTCTGTCACCCAGGCTGGAGTGCAGTGATGCGATCTTAGACCGCAGCCACAAACTCCCCCTCTCAAGCAATTCTCCCACCTCAGCCTCCTAAGGGGCTTGGATTACAGGCATGAGCCACTGCACCCAGCCAACTTTTCTAACTTATTCATAGATTTTGTGTGAACTCAAATGTGCATTCAGCGCCCCCATAAGAATCTATTCCTGTGGCAAATTGCTACTGGCATAAACTTTAGAATTAAAAATAATCTGTTTCTACTGGAATATTTTTAAGGAGCCAAATCCACAGCAACTATTTATAAACTACTTTTGACTAGAGACTGAAAGAGAACATTTAAAGGTAATCCCGCAGCAATCATAAACACAGAATCCACTTACATATATATGTTAAAAGTAATGTTTACTTAGTAACCTCTCATTTTTACTACCATGTCTGAAAGAAAGAACTTGGAATTAAAGCACAGCCAACTCATTTTAAGCTTTTGAGACACAAATCCCCCGCAATTACAAGACATCAGTGAACACTAGATGGTGACATAAAGAACTGAACTTACAAATGAACTAAACCATTGGCAGATCTAGCACTGAAAAGGTGGGAAAACCAATTCTGAAAGTTCTGAAATGAAAATTAGAAAATAAAAACAAAACACAAAAGGATGAAGACAATCCCGGATCAGGCTCCTCTTAGCAGTTTACTTGAGGTTAATAAATATCATACTGGATCCCAAGTTAGCAACAATTTGAAGTGGAGAAAATGGAGCTTTCAGAAAATTAACACTTAAAACACCAAATCACCCCAAATGCCCAAAGTAAAATAAAAAGCTAGAATTACAAAATAGCTTGATCTGGAAACATCAGCTTAACAAAGAGATTTAGGTAGCAACTGACTGGAGTTTGAGACTTAGCCTGGCCACACAGACGACTTTTATAAACATGTTTACATTTTCCCACATTGCACCATTCTGTGAATTTCTGTCAAACTTTAAGGCCCTGGGGAAAAGAGGGGCAAAACTTCCCCCTTCCCCTGATTCAATGCTAGTGAAAGACCCCAGCACAGAGCCAAGCACCAGCTCTTGCTGAATTGCCCCCCTCACCTCCTCCCCAATATAGCACCTTTCAGATCTCCAGAGGCCAAAAATTTGGGGTCTCTGCTATTGGAAAACTCACTTCAGAAACCCATCAGAAGAAAAACAACTATAATGAAAATACAGCTTCTTTATCCTTGCTGGTTTTCAACTTTTACAAGAGTTTGTTTATAGTGGGGTATAAATTAGCCCAAGAAATTGAAATCAGATATAGCTCGGGCCTCTAAATGCAACCCAAGTGGGTGGTGATCTAGGAAGGCCCCCTCTGCCTTGTCAGAGTTCGTGGTTGCAGGGGGTAGGGGGCGGGCCGCTGTTCATTGCCGGGACAGCAGCAGCCTCCCGCCCTCCTCCCTGGTGCCTCCCCATTGCTGCTGGCATTCCCACACTGTTCCCGCGGCCACCAGCCTGGATGAAAGCATGCAGGCTGCCCGGGAACTCTGACAGCAACTCCCGCGGCGTCCACTGCCAACCCTCCTGCCCCCAGTCCACTTTCAGCTGCTGAAATCGGAACGACTCTTTGGAATTGCTAATGCCAAACTTTTCACTTCACAGAGAGACGGAGTTCAGAGTCTGCCACAGGCAAAATTGCCAAGTACACACAATTTGTCTCTTTGGAACCCCTCTCCCTCTTTTCTAGATAACATTTGCTTTTTAATAGCTACTTCCGAGGCTGCGGCCCCTCCCTGACCTCCTCTCACCCCAGAAGAAGGCTACCTCCTCAGCCTCCATGTGGGGCCAGCCCTGGAGAACTGAGGGTTGATTGCTGCGAACGCCTTGCTTTATATTCTGCAGGGAAGCCCCGCTGAGAGAAAATCTATTTCATGTACTTTCTCAAATGGGCAGCAGCTCTCTGAAATGAAATCCTCCTGCATGATCAACTGAAGCCCCAGAATGCGAAAGCAAAATAAATTTGGCTAGATAGAATGGATGCAAGCTATTTGATCAATCCCAGAAGCTCTTCCAAGAGATACCAGCGAAAGTTAACAGGTAACAAATTACCGCTGCAACTTCTCATCTTAACAGGGTGGTGGAGAAGCAAAGAAGCCCAAGCAAGCCTATTTAGGAATGAGGAAATCTTTAAACCCTTTAACTGAAGCTTACTGTATCTATTTCAACCCTTGAAGCTGAGGATGTTAAACTTGTTCCTTTTTCTTTCCTCCAGTATTGTTGAGGGTCTTCTATTTGCCAGGTACTATGCTGGTTCTGGGAATGAAGTTACCAACAAGTTAGACTAGGTCTAACACTAGTGCCTGCCTACATGTAGGTCACAGTCATGCAGAAAAGACAAGCAAGAGAGCTAAGCCTAAAGCGAAATAATACAGGGTGCCAGTGTCAGAGGCGTTTGAACCAGAGCAACTCCGTCTTGATTAGGGTCTGGGTAAAATGAGGCTGAGACCTGCTGGGCTGCATTCCCAAGAGGTTAGGCATTCTTAGTCACAAGATGACATAGGAAGTCAGCACAAGATACAGGTCACAAAGATCCTGCTGATAAAACAGGATGCCATAAAGAAGAGGAATATAAATCATTCTACCATAAAGACAGGAACGTGGATGGAGCTGGAGGCTATTATCCTTAGCAAACTAACGCAGAAACAGAAAAGCAAATACTGCATGTTCTCACGTACAAGTGAGAGCTAAATGATGAGAACACATGGACACAAAGAAGGGAACAACACACACTGGGGTCTACTTGAGGGTGGAAGGTGGGAGGAGGGAGAGGAGCAGAAACAATAACTACTGGGTTAATACCTGGGTGATGAAATAATCTGTACAACAAACCCCCGTGATATGAGTTTACCTATCTAACAAACCTACATGTGTACCCCCAAACCTAAAATAAAAGTTAAAAATTTAAATTTTAATTTTAAAAATAGTTATTTTTGTTTTGAGATGGAGTCTTGCTTTATTGCCCAGGCTAGAGTGCAGTGGTGCGATCCCTGCTCACTGCAACCTCCACCTCCCTGGTTCAAGTGATTCTCCTGCCTCAGCTTCCTGAGTAGCTGGTACTACAGGCACGCGCCACTACACCTGGCTAATTTTTGTATTTTTAGTAGAGATGGGGTTTCACCATGTTGGCCAGGCTGGTCTCAAACTCCTGACCTCAGGTGATCCACCCGCCTCAGCCTCCCAAAGTGCTGGGATTACAGGCTTGAGCCTGTAATTTTTAAATGAAATAAAATAAAATTATCTCAGTTAAATAAAACAGGAAGAAGAAAGAAGAAGAAGAAGAGGAAGAGGAAGAGGAAGAAGAGGAAGAGGAAGAAGAAGATGAAGAAGAAGAAGAAAGAAGAAGAAGAAGAAGAAGAAGAAGAAGAAGAAGAAGAAGAAGAAGAAGAAGAAGAAGAAGAAGACGACGACAGCTAAAACCCACCAAAACCAAGATGGTGACAAAAGTGAGGTCTGGTGGTCCTCACTGCTCATTATACTCTAATTAAAAGGCATTAGCGTGCTAAAACACCCTCCCACCAGTGCCATGACAGTTTTGAAATGCTATGGCAACATCCAGAAATTACCGTAAATGGTTTAAAAGGTGGAGAAACCCTCAGTTCCAGGAATTCCCTGTTCCTTTCCCAGAAAACTCATGAATAATCTACCCCTTGTTTAGCATATAATCAAGAAATAACCGTAAGTATACTAAGTCAAGCAGCCCATACCACTGCTCTGCCTATGAAGTAGCCATTCTTTTGTCTCTTTACTTCTCTAATAACCTTGCTTACACCTTACTCTATGGACTCGCCCCGAATTCTTTCTTGCGCAAGATCCAGGAACCCTCTCTTAGGGTCTGAATCAGGACCCCTTTCCAGTAACACCAGGAGTCCCAACCCAGAATCATAAACTCTTGAGGTGGGCCCAGCATCTGTTTTAACAAGCCCTTTGGGGATGCTGATGCATGTTCAAGTTTGAGAACCACTGCTCTAGGCAGAAGAGTTGACGGCTTTCCAATCTCTGAGTCCCTTAGTTTCTTATCATGGTGACATGGGTTTTACACACGTGATTTCATTGTATAGCCCCAGGGGATAATAATACCCTGCAAGACAGATGTATTGCTAGCTGCTGAAATGAATAAGCCTAAGTTTTCAGTAGCTTAACACAATAGAAATGTATTTCTAGCTCATAGAGCCTAACGCAGGAGTCTGCGTTAAATGGACTCTGCTTCACACAGTTATTCAGAGACACAAGCTGATGAAAGCTTTTTCATCTTCCTCATTAGGCTTCCAAAGTCACCCGGGAGTTAGTATGGAGCCAAAAGATGGGAGAAGAGAGCATAAAGAATACACACCTACTTCATAGGTACTTTAGCCCAGCAGTGATCACTTCCAGCCACATATGATGAGTGAGAACCAGTCTCATTTGGGCCCTACCTAGAGGCAAATGATACTAAGAAATGTACTGCCTGCCTGGAAAAGTTGCTCCCTAGCCACAACTGTATACTACAGAAGGGGGTGTAAATTTTTGACAAACAGCTGTCATTTCCACCACAGTTTTGCAGACAAGCAAAGGGATTACAGTTTTGCAGATGAATAAAGTTTTAGCCAGATTAAATAATTCTCTGCAAGTCACACAGCTTGTTAAAGCTGGAGTGGGAAGTCAAACCACGGTCTGTCTAACTCCAAAGCCTTGCTCTTTAAAATACCTCATCATGCCCATAGTCACCCCGTGTGGTAGAATAAATAATCCCCCCATCCACCACCCCCACCAAAGATGCCCATGTCCTACTCCGGAGAACCTATAAATATGTTACCATATATGGCAAAGAGACTTTGCAGACGTGATTAAGTTAAGGATGTTGAGATAATCCTGGATTCTTTGGGTGGGCCCAACGTAGTCACAAGGGTAGACATAAGAGGGAGCAACAGAATTAAGGTCAGAGAGAAAAAGGATACGTGACAATGGAACCAGAGGGTGGAGTTGTGTTTTAAAGATGGAGGAACGACCACAAGCCAAGAGATGTGAGTGTCTTCTAGAAGCTGAAAAAGGCAAGGCAATAGATTCTCCCCCCGAAGACTCCAGAAGGAACACATTCCTGCCAACACCATGATTTTAGACTTTTGACCACCAGAACTGTAATAGAATGAATTTATGTTGTTTTAAGCCACTAAGTTTGTGGTAATTTGTTACAGCAACAACAGGAAACTAATAACCCTTACAGTACCATGTTTTTCGTTGAGTAACTTGGTAACAGAGTCCATTTGGCAGGACCCTAAGATCTCTCCTCTCCATTTTTCCTTAGTCCCATCCAACAAGAAGTCCTACTCTCATCTGTGTCTTCCCAGCACACCCCAGGGATAGAGCTGACCAGGGAAATGATGTGCCCTCATACTCTCAGAACTTCACACAGAGCCAAGATGTCAACCAAGCATCACTTTCAAAGTACCGAAAAAAAAATAATTAACATTTGAAAGTTCTACATATTGATAATTTTTATTTTATTTTATTTTTTTGAGACAGGGCCTCCCTCTGTCATTCTGGCTGGGGTACAATGGCACGATCAGGGCTCACTGCAACCTCGACCTCCTGGACTCAGGTATTCCTCCCGCCTCAGCCTCCAGAGTAGCTGAGACCACAGGTGTGTGCCACCACACCTAGCTAATATTTTTTTTTTTTGTAGAGACAGGGTTTCACCATGTTGCCCAGGGTGCATTCATGATTTTTTAGAGTGCTCAGAAAACTAGGAACAGAGGAAAATGTCCTCAATTTGATAAAGAGTTACAGCTAAAATCATACTTGACGGTGAAGGACTGAATGCTTTTCCTCTAAGATTAGGAACAAAGAAGGGATGTTCACTCTTACCACATAATGCTGTGCTGAAAAGCACAATAAAGCAAGAAAAGGAAATAGGATATAGACAGATTGACAAGAAAAAGAAAAACAATCCCTATTTGCAGATGGCATAATTGTCTAAATAGAAAATCCTAAAGAATCTACTCCTAAAAATTCCAGAACTAATAAGTTAATTCAACAAGGTCACAGATGCAACATAAACATATAAAGATAATCACATTCATATATACTAACAATAAGCATATAAAAACTAAAATTTTGAAGCACAATAACTTTACACTTACTCTAAAGAAAATGAAACACTTCAGTATAATCTTTTTCTAAATATGTATAGCATTTGTATCCTGTAAATTACAAAATGCTACTAAGAGAAATCAAAGACCTAAATAAATGGAGAGACAAACCATGATCATGCACTAAAAGATTCAACATAGTAAAGATGTCAATTCTCCCCAAATTGAAAAGTATAGGTTCAATGCAATGACTATCAAAATTCCAGTAAGGATTTTTATAGTACAGACAAAGTTATTCTAAAATTTATATGAAAAACCAAAGGACCTAGAATAGCTAAAAGAAACAATTTTAAAAAAGAGTAAAATGGGAGGAATCACTCTACAGATATTATGACATTCTATACAGCTACAGTAACCAAGACAGTGTAATAGTAACAGAGGGATAAACACATAGATCTATGAAACAGAATAGAGAATATAGAAATACACACACACAAATATGCCCAATTGATTTTTTAACAAATATGCAAAAGTAATTCAATAGGAAAAACAGCCTTTCCAACACATGGTATTGGAACAATTAAACATCCATATGCAGAAAAAAATAAATCTCAACCTAGTTCTACACTTGATCTTAGCCAAAAGGCCAAGAAAAAAAAAATCCCCTCAACCGAATTCTCACATCTTAGAGAAAATTAATTAGAAATGTATCATGCACCTAAATGTGAAACATTTTTTTAAAAAATCTTTGGGATCGAGAGGAGCCAAGATGGCCGAATAGGAACAGCTCCCGTCTACAGCTCCCAGCGTGAGCGACGCAGAAGACAGGTGATTTCTGCATTTCCACCTGAGGTACCGGGTACATCTCACTTGGGAGTGCCAGACAGTGGGTGCAGGTCAGTGGGTGCACGCACCGTGCGCGAGCCGAAGCAGGGCGAGGCATTGCCTCACTTGGGAAGCGCAAGGGGTCAGGGAGTTCCCTTTCCTAGTCAAAGAAAGGGGTGACAGACGCACCTGGAAAATCGGGTCACTCCCACCCGAATACTGCGCTTTTCTGACGGGCTTGAAAAATGGCGCACCACGAGATTATATCCCACACCTGGCTCGGAGGGTCCTACTCCCACGGAGTCTCGCTGATTGCTAGCACAGCAGTCTGAGATCAAACTGCAAGGCGGCAGCGAGGCTGGGGGAGGGGCGCCCGCCATTGCCCAGGCTTGCTTAGGTAAACAAAGCAGCCGGGAAGCTCCAACTGGGTGGAGCCCACCACAGCTCAAGGAGGCCTGCCTGCCTCTGTAGGCTCCACCTCTGGGGGCAGGGCACAGACAAACAAAAAGACAGCAGTAACCTCTGCAGACTTAAATGTCCCTGTCTGACAGCTTTAAAGAGAGCAGTGTGGAAGTCAGTGTGGCGATTCCTCAGGGATCTAGAACTAGAAATACCATTTGACCCAGCCATCCCATTACTGGGTATATACCCAAAGGACTATAAATCATGCTGCTATAAAGACACATGCACACGTATGTTTATTGCGGCATTATTCACAATAGCAAAGACTTGGAACCAACCCAAATGTCCAACAATGATAGACTGGATTAAGAAAATGTGGCACATATACACCATGGAATACTATGCAGCCATAAAAAATGATGAGTTCATGTCTTTTGTAGGGACATGGATGAAATTGGAAATCATCATTCTCAGTAAACTATCACAAGAACAAAAAACCAAACACCGCATATTCTCACTCATAGGTGGGAATTGAACAATGAGATCACATGGACACAGGAAGGGGAATATCAAACTCTGGGGACTGTGGTGGGGTGGGGGGAGTGGGGAGGGATAGCATTGGGAGATATACCTAATGCTAGATGACGAGTTGGTGGGTGCAGCGCACCAGCATGGCACATCTATACATATGTAACTAACCTGCACAATGGGCACATGTACCCTAAAACTTAAAGTATAATAATTAAAAAAAAAAAAAAGAGAGCAGTGGTTCTCCCAGCACACAGCTGGAGATCTGAGAACGGGCAGACTGCCTCCTCAAGTGGGTCCCTGACCCCCGAGCAGCCTAACTGGGAGGCACCCCCCAGCAAGGGCACACTGACACCTCACACGGCCGGGTACTCCAACAGACCTGCAGTTGAGGGTCCTGTCTGTTAGAAGGAAAACTAACAAACAGAAAGGACATCCACACCAAAAACCCATCTGTACATCACCATCATCAAAGACCAAAAGTAGATAAAACCACAAAGATGGGGAAAAAACAGAACAGAAAAACTGGAAACTCTAAAAAGCAGAGCGCCTCTCCTCCTCCAAAGGAACGCAGTTCCTCATCAGCAACGGAACAAAGCTGGATGGAGAATGACTTCGACGAGCTGAGAGAAGAAGGCTTCAGACGATCAAATTACTCCGAGCTACAGGAGGAAATTCAAACCAAAGGCAAAGAAGTTGAAAATTTTGAAAAAAATTTAGAAGAATGTATAACTAGAATAACCAATACAGAGAAGTGCTTAAAGGAGCTGATGGAGCAGAAAACCAAGGCTCAAGAACTACGTGAAGAATGCAGAAGCCTCAGGAGCCGATGCGATCAACTGGAAGAAAGGGTATCAGCAATGGAAGATGAAATGAATGAAATGAAGTGAGAAGGGAACTTTAGAGAAAAAAGAATAAAAAGAAATGAGCAAAGCCTCCAAGAAATATGGGACTATGTGAAAAGACCAAATCTACGTCTGATTGGTGTACCTGAAAGTGATGGGGAGAATGGAACCAAGTTGGAAAACACTCTGTAGGATATTATCCAGGAGAACTTCCCCAATCTAGCAAGGCAGGCCAACGTTCAGATTCAGGAAATACAGAGAACGCCACAAAGATACTCGTCTAGGAGAGCAACTCCGAGACACATAATTGTCAGATTCACCAAAGTTGAAATGAAGGAAAAAATGTTAAGGGCAGCCAGAGAGAAAGGTCGGGTTACCCTCAAAGGGAAGCCCATCAGACTAACAGTGGATCTCTCGGCAGAAACCCTACAAGCCAGAAGAGAGTGGGGGCCAATATTCAACATTCTTAAAGAAAAGAATTTTCAACCCAGAATTTCATATCCAGCCAAACTAAGCTTCATAAGCGAAGGAGAAATAAAATACTTTACAGACAAGCAAATGCTGAGAGATTTTGTCACCACCAGGCCTGCCTTACAAGAGCTCCTGAAGGAAGCACTAAACATGGAAAGGAACAACCAGTACCAGCCGCTGCAAAATCATGCCAAAATGTAAAGACCATCGAGACTAGGAAGAAACTGCATCAACTAACGAGCAAAAGAACCAGTTAACATCATAATGACAGGATCAAATTCACACATAACAATATTAACTTTAAATGTAAATGGACTAAATGCTCCAATTAAAAGACACAGACTGGCAAATTGGATAAAGAGTCAAGACCCATCAGTGTGCTGTATTCAGGAAACCCATCTCACATGCAGAGACACACATAGGCTCAAAATAAAAGGATGGAGGAAGATCTACCAAGCAAATGGAAAACAAAAAAAGGCAGGGGTTGCAATCCTAGTCTCTGATAAAACAGACTTTAAACCAACAAAGATCAAAAGAGACAAAGAAGGCCATTACATAATGGTAAAGGGATCAATTCAACAAGAAGAGCTAACTACCCTAAATATACATGCACCCAATACGGGAGCACCCAGATTCATAAAGCAAGTCCTGAGTGACCTACAAAGAGACTTAGACTCCCATACATTAATAATGGGAGACTTTAGCACCCCACTGTCAACATTAGACAGATCAACGAGACAGAAAGTCAACAAGGATACCCAGGAATTGAACTCAGCTCTGCACCAAGCGGACCTAATAGACATCTACAGAACTCTCCACCCCAAATCAACAGAATATACATTTTTTTCAGCACTGCACCACACCTATTCCAAAATTGACCACATACTTGGAAGTAAAGCTCTCCTCAGCAAATGTAAAAGAACAGAAATTATAACAAACTATCTCTCAGACCACAGTGCGATCAAACTAGAACTCAGGATTAAGAATCTCACTCAAAACCGCTCAACTACATGGAAACTGAACAACCTGCTCCTGAATGACTACTGGGTACGTAACGAAATGAAGGCAGAAATAAAGATGTTCTTTGAAACCAACGAGAACAAAGACACAACATACCAGAATCTCTGGGACGCATGCAAAGCAGTGTGTAGAGGGAAATTTATAGCACTAAATGCCCACAAGAGAAAGCAGGAAACATCCAAAATTGACACCCTAACATCACAATTAAAAGAACTAGAAAAGCAAGAGCAAACACATTCAAAAGCTAGCAGAAGGCAAGAAATAACTAAAATCAGAGCAGAACTGAAGGAAATAGAGACACAAAAAACCCTTCAAAAAATTAATGAATCCAGGAGCTGGTGTTTTGAAAGGATCAACAAAATTGATAGACTGCTAGCAAGACTAATAAAGAAAAAAAGAGAGAAGAATCAAATAGACACAATAAAAAGTTATGAAGGGGATATCACCACTGATCACACAGAAATACAAACTACCATCAGAGAATACTACAAACACCTCTACACAAATAAACTAGAAAATCTAGAAGAAATGGATAAATTCCTCGACATATACACTCTCCCAAGACTAAACCAGGAAGAAGTTGAATCTCTGAATAGACCAATAACAGGAGCTGAAATTGTGGCAATAATCAATAGCTTACCAACCAAAAAGAGTCCAGGACCAGATGGATTCACAGCCGAATTCTACCAGAGGTACGAGGAGGAGCTGGTACCATTCCTTCTGAAACTATTCGAATCAATAGAAAAAGAGGGAATCCTCCCTAACTCATTTTATGAGGCCAGCATCATTCTGATACCAAAGCCGGGCAGAGACACAACCAAAAAAGAGAATTTTAGACCAATATCCTTGATGAACATTGATGCAAAAATCCTCAATAAAATACTGGCAAAACGAATCCAGCAGCACATCAAAAAGCTTATCCACCATGATCAAGTGGGCTTCATCCCTGGGATGCAAGGCTGGTTCAACATATGCAAATCAATAAATGTAATCCAGCATATAAACAGAGCCAAAGACAAAAACCACATGATTCTCTCAATAGATGGAGAAAAAGCCTTTGACAAAATTCAACAACCCTTCATGCTAAAAACTCTCAATAAATTAGGTATTGATGGGACGTATTTCAAAATAATAAGAGCTATCTATGACAAACCCACAGCCAATATCATACTGGATGGGCAAAAACTGGAAGCATTCCCTTTGAAAACTGGCACAAGACAGGGATGTGCTCTCTCACCACTCCTATTCAACATAGTGTTGGAAGTTCTGGCCAGGGCAATTAGGCAGGAGAAGGAAATAAAGGGTATTCAATTAGGAAAAGAGGAAGTCAAATTGTCCCTGTTTGCAGACGACATGATTTTATATCTAGAAAACCCCATTGTCTCAGCCCAAAATCTCCTTAAGCTGATAAGCAACTTCAGCAAAGTCTCAGGATACAAAATCAATGTACAAAAATCACAAGCATTCTTATACACCAACAACAGACAAACAGAGTGCCAAATCATGAGTGAAATCCCATTCACAATTGCTTCAAAGAGAATAAAATACCTAGGAATCCAACTTACAAGGGATGTGAAGGACCTCTTCAAGGAGAACTACAAACCACTGCTCAAGGAAATAAAAGAGAATACAAACAAATGGAAGAACATTCCATGCTCATGGGTAGGAAGAATCAATATCGTGAAAATGGCCATACTGCCCAAGGTAATTTACAGATTCAATGCCATCCCCATCAAGCTGCCAATGACTTTCTTCACAGAATTGGAAAAAACTACTTTAAAGTTCATATGGAACCAAAAAAGAGCCCGCATCGCCAAGTCAATCCTAAGCCAAAAGAACAAAGCTGGAGGCATCACACTACCTGACTTCAAACTATACTACAAGGCTACAGTAACCAAAAGAGCATGGTACTGGTACCAAAACAGAGATATAGATCAATGGAACAGAACAGAGCCCTCAGAAATAACGCCGCATATCTACAACTATCTGATCTTTGACAAACCTGACAAAAACAAGCAATGGGGAAAGGATTTCCTATTTAATAAATGGTGCTGGGAAAACTGGTTAGCCATGTGTAGAAAGCTGAAACTGGATCCCTTCCTTACACCTTATACAAAAATCAATTCAAGATGGATTAAAGACTTAAACGTTAGACCTAAAACCATAAAAACCCTAGAAGAAAACCTAGGCATTACCATTCAGGACATAGGCATGGGCAAGGACTTCATGTCTAAAACACCAAAAGCAATGGCAACAAAAGACAAAATTGACAAATGGGATCTAATTAAACTAAAGAGCTTCTGCACAGCAAAAGAAACTACCATCAGAGTGAACAGGCAACCTACAGAATGGGAGAAAATTTTTGCAAGCTACTCATCTGACAAAGGGCTAATATCCAGAATCTACAATGAACTCAAACAAATTTACAAGAAAAAAACAAACAACCCCATCAAAAAGTGGGCAAAGGACATGAACAGACACTTCTCAAAAGAAGACATTTATGCAGCCAAAAAACACATGAAAAAATGCTCATCATCACTGGCCATCAGAGAAATGCAAATCAAAACCACAATGAGATACCATCTCACACCAGTTAGAATGGCAATCATTAAAAAGTCAGGAAACAACAGGTGCTGGAGAGGATGTGGAGAAATAGGAACACTTTTACACTGTTGGTGGGACTGTCAACTAGTTCAACCATTGTGGAAGTCAGTGTGGCGATTCCTCAGGGATCTAGAACTAGAAATACCATTTGACCCAGCCATCCCATTACTGGGTATATACCCAAAGGACTATAAATCATGCTGCTATAAAGACACATGCACACGTATGTTTATTGCGGCATTATTCACAATAGCAAAGACTTGGAACCAACCCAAATGTCCAACAATGATAGACTGGATTAAGAAAGTGTGGCACATATACACCATGGAATACTATGCAGCCATAAAAAATGATGAGTTCATGTCCTTTGTAGGGACATGGATGAAATTGGAAATCATCATTCTCAGTAAACTATCACAAGAACAAAAAACAAAACACCGCATATTCTCACTCATAGGTGGGAATTGAACAATGAGATCACATGGACACAGGAAGGGGAATATCACACCCTGGGGACTGTTGTGGGGTGGGAGGAGGGGGGAGGGATAGCATTGGGAGATATACCTAATGCTAGATGACGAGTTAGTGGGTGCAGCGCACCAGCATGGCACATGTATACATATGTAACTAACCTACACAATGTGCACATGTACCCTAAAACTTAAAGTATAATAAAAAAATTAAATTAAATTAAATTAAATTAAAAACAAACAAACAAACAAACAAAAAATCTTTGGGATCTAGTCCTAGGCAAAGAGTTTATAGACTTGATAACAAAGCACAATCCCTAAAAGAAGAAACTGATGAATTCCACCTCATAAAATTTTAAAACCTTTGCTCTGGGAAAGATTCTGTTAGGAGGATGAAAAGACAAACTACATACTGGGAGAAAATATTTGCAAACCACACATCAAACAAAAGGCTTGTATCTAAAATATATTTTGGACACAGGAAGAGGAACATCACACTCTGGGGACTGTTGTGGGGTGGGGGGTGGGGGGAGGGATAGCATTAGGAGATATACGTAATGCTAAATGACGAGTTAATGGGTGCAGCACACCAGCATGGCACATGTATACATATGTAACTAACCTGCACATTGTGCACATGTACCCTAAAACTTAAGGTATAATAATAATAAAATAAAATAAAATAAAAAAATTTTAAATTCAACATTGAAAAATACAAACAGCCCAATTATAAAAGGGACAAAATATATGAACAGACATTTCACTGAAGAGTACATATAGATAGCAAATAAGCACATGTAAAGATATCCTGCATCGTTAGCCATTAAGGAAATGTGGGTTAAAACCACAGTGAGAGATCACTACACACCTATCAGAACGTGTAAAACAAAAAATAATGATAACACTAAGTGTTGACGAGGTTGCAGAAAAAACTGAGCACTCATGCATTACTGCTGGAAATGTAAAATGGTACAGCCAGTATGGAGGAATTTCCTTATAAAACTGTATGCTTGCATTTACCAGACAACCCAGAATTGCTCATATCCCCCCAAAAATGGAAACAGGTTGACTCAAAAACCTATACATGAACATTCATAGCAGTTCTATTCATAATAGCCCAAAATGTGAAACAGCCCAAATGCCAATGGTTAAGCAAACTTTGGTCCATCCATACCATGGAATACTACTCAGCGATAAAAAGGGACAAACTACTGATACATGCAATAACTTGGATGGCCCCCAATGGAATGATGCTAAGTGAAAAAGCCAATCTCAAAAGGCTACATACTATTATTTCACATATGTAACATCCTTGAAATAACAAAACTATAGAGATAGAACAGATTCATGGTTGCCAGGGATTGGAGATTGTGAGGAAGGAGTATGTGAATATAAAGAAGTAGCATAAGTAATGATGGAGAAGCTCTGTGTAGTGATTGTTATGTAATTACACGAAGCTACCTACACGTCATAAAATTTCATGGACCTACACACACACACACACACACAAATGAGTACCTGTATAACTAGTGAAATCTGAATAAGCTCTGTAGGTTGTATCAACGTCAATTTCCTGGTTTTGATATAGTTAAGCAAGATGTCAACATTGATAAAGGTGGGGTGTAGGGTGCACAGGACCTTCTTGTACATATCTTTGCAACTTCATGTAAATCTAGAATTATTTTTTAAATAGTTTAAATTTTTTTAATAAAAATAAAGCGCTCTTGACAGTTTACAAAATGATGTCACGAGCATTATTTGATTCAAGATAAGCCTCCCTAGGAGGCTAACCCCTTGGCCTAGGAGGTTGCATAAAGGAGATTTGCGCCCCATTTTACAGATGGACAATGAGATGCAGATGAACAGCTGCCCAAGGTCACGCAGTTGCTAAGTGATTGTGAAGACAGGTAGTTAACCTCACCTTTGATGATCCCCCAATCCAATGCTCTCTCTTCCTTCTTCCTTCTTTCCATATAGCAGGCATGAACCTTAATGGCAGGAATTTAACTGTACCAGAAATTTCCCCATTTCATTGTATTCTTTGGACCAAAGTACATAAGGCTCTAAACACTCATTCTTTCATGCTTGTATAAAATTCAATTTTTGACACTATTGAGTTCCCTCCCCTGCCCTGGAGTCACACAAAACACTGGGAGGCTTCTATGATGCCTAGGAAATAGGCAAAATGCATCTTCAAGTCCCCCCTAAGCTGCCATCATCATTGTCTTAGTACACATGGTATATAGAAGACCAGGTGCCCAAGGTTCCAACTATACCATGGTGCATTGCCCTAGGGTGTAAAAACCTCCAAGACGCTAAATGACATTTTCAAGATACCAGTGTTGGCCAAGTCTCCATTAATGGAGAGATCACAACTACCATCCCCACTCCATTCATTTTATTAAGAGCTTCTTTTTGAATAAAATATTACTTCTTATATTTTATACTGGTTTATTATTTGTGGTTATAAGAAAAAAATTTAAGCAAATTGGTATACATGTTTTGTTGCTGAGATACATGGTAGACAAGAAAAGATTTTCAGGCATAAAAATACACTACATCAATATAAAATTCTCTGGGGAAAGTGAAATGGAAATATAATTTCAAGGAGTAAAGAGAATGATGTAAAATTTCTGACTGTCAAAGAGCTTGTCATATACTTTTAAAATAGATAATGGTGGCTGTCATATCATAATATTTTGATTCCAGTAGGTATGATATAAGAGTTTTATTTTTAAATGTCAATATTTACAATATACTGACTATCACATCCTTTGGAACCACAGTATTTAAACTTATAAAGTATTTTAGGTTTCAACTCTGTAAGTGTGAGGGAGTATGTAGTTTTGCAAAATTCTTTTAGGGGATATGCAAGCAAAAAAGACTTGGAAGATCCTTCACTGAGATGAAAGTTTCCTGCAGCGTGGTATGTGGGCAATTCTTCTCTTGGAAAACAAAATGATTTTATGTGGCACAATGATGGTCCATCAACTTCACTTGTCCAACATTTACCCCTGCCTGTTTCTCCTCCACCATCTGCCATTCACTGTGTCCTACTGTGAAGCTCTTCAACACTCACTCTGCACACCCTCCAAAACAACCTTCTATCCTCTACCCCTTCCAGGGCCCTCTCCTAGTCCCTGATGCTGCCCTCTCCCCCAACAGTGACTTCCTTCTCCGAACTCTACTTTACTACTCCACTGTAATTCCTGCTCTGCTCTCTGCCTCCTCCAGCCTTCCCTCTTCTCCCCTCTATAGTTCCTTCCAAGACTCTTCTCTGAGCATGCCACAGTCCTTTATGAGTCACAGCCTCCACCTGCCTGCAATCACTCACCCTTAGACTCTGTTCCCTACTTTCACATGGAAATGGACAAACATTATAAAAATGGTCCAGAAGTGACTGAATCTCAAATAACACTGCTTTATACATAGGGCTTGTGGATATTCAACAAGTTGCCTGACCAAGCCACTCATCATATCGACATGGACAAAATATAGACACGTGCTTACATAAAAATACAGTGAAGTGGGTCCACTTATCTGGTGATATTAGGAACTAGGTCACTACAACTGTGATGGCATATGATCAGAACTAAAGGGAAATGTAGGCAAGAAATGAGGATGGTAGAGGATGAAGAGATCTCGGTGGGCTTGGCCATTTAGGGAAGCCTGCCTGGAGCAGAGCTGTGTTCCATCTGTCTCCAAATGTCACCCAGACTCATTGCATTGACCCATCATGCCTCAGAACCTGCACATGCCAGTCTGTGATTTGTAGGTGCTCTCTTGATGTTTTTCATTGCAACATCTGGAAATAATAAACCCCTTGCTATTCAGAGACAGTCATTGTATCAGTTGGCTATTGCTGTGTAATAACAATCACTAAAATGTCAGTGTTTGCAATAAGAATTTATTTATCACAAACGAGTAGTTTGCCGGGGACTCACATGAACCAGCTTGGCTTCAGCTAGATGGCCCTCCTTCAAGCTGTAGTTCCAGCTGGGATTGGTTTCCTGGTAGGGTCTAAGATCTAGTCTCTTCCACATGGATTAATTCTGGGGCCTGGGCTGAATGAGCAGTAGCTATCCATGGGAAGATATTCTCATGAAGATAAAGACATGAGAGAGGGAAAATAAGAACACATAAGAAATCCCTGGGCCTTGGCTCAAAACTAAACTTGTGCTGCTTCTTCCCACATTCCATTGTCCAAAGTAAATCACAAGGCCAAGCTCAAAATCAAGTGATAGAGAAGCCTGTTTTGCCTTTTGTAAGATAAGATGCAAAGTTACAAGGCAAAGGGCATGGATAAAGAGAGGGGTGTCAAATTAGGACCGATAAACCCTTTTCCTACAATCCCCCTCTGCCTCCTCAGGTCCAGAGAGCCCGTCTAATCATCTGGTTTCATTCTGCCTGGGTTTTGTCAGAACTCGATGATTCTCCTTATGCCTTCCCCCATTCCACAGCTCTTTTTATGCCAGGGAAATTAGCTGCCAGAGACCTGAGCCCCTCACTAGCTCTTTCCAAGGACTATATATCTTTGTTTCTGATCCCCTCAATTATGCTGTCTGCACCTAACACTGAATGTAATGCTGTCCCGTACCCCAAAAGGCAAGTCCCTTCCCTGGCCAGACTATGGTCATCTTACCTCCCTGCAAGTTGCTAAAAATCAGACCAGGTACTATTCTGTGATGGATTCTATCTTCTCTCTTCCCTAGAAAGACTCCACCATATGTTGCATTTATTTATTTATTTATTTTTTGGCTCAGACCCTGCTGGGACTCAGCCATCCCCAGCCAGGCCCCATGAGTGCTCAAAGGCCAGTGCTATTTCCTAAGGTATGTGTGTTGGATGTGGTCTGTTGGCATTTAACATCCATTCCCACCTCGTTCCATTGTGTCTTCCCGTATACAAAAACTAGAAAGCTAAATGCCCTATTTCTCTGACTCCCTTGCAGCTAGGCTTTTGCACATGAGCAGGTTTTACCAATGGGAATTCATACATAAGGCAAAGACCATGTTCCTACTGCTTTTCTGCCTTTAAACAGAGATGTGTAGTGTTTCCGAGGCTGATTTCCAATGTTTAATTTGCACTACAGGGATGTCATATGTTCTTGCTTTGTGGCTTCTATTTCTTTATTTCCTTCTTCCCAATCAGCTTCCCCCTTCTTTGTATTCTGAATACAAACCCCAGACTGGAGTGTGCAGGTTCTGAAGAATGGTGAGGTAACTCAATGTGTCTGGGTGACCTTTGGAGACACATGGGGGATTGTAGGAGAGGGACATCAATGGGGACTTCCTGGTCCCTGGATGGTGTGTTTCAGTGGTAGCCTCCTCTGAGTCTTCACCTTCTCAATTGTATCCGGGGCAGGATTTCTTCGGGTCAATAAGTTCTGTGATGTTTGGGCAACAAACATCTTCAAACAATTGTCTAGCCCTTCAAACAATATGGGAAGCACCTGCTTCTCTGAATTCAAGACTTTTCTGTTTAGATACTCAAAGGGGTTTCTGTTTCCAGCACTGAAACCCAATAAATCCACCATGGTGCCTTGTGGGCTTGAACTACATTAGCACCTGGGTAAGTAGTGCAGGTTTTCCAAGAAGAACAATATCTGATGTTTTCCCCGTCAGCAGAGGTTTTCCAATGAATGCTGCCCAGACTGCATTCTTTACTAAACTAATCAGGCAGCAAAGAAGCAAGAAGGCATCACCAGGAGACCTAAGGGAGTCAGCCTCAGGCTGGTCCCAGCCCAATGTCTTCGTTCCCTTCTGCTTGGCTGCACCTTGCCATGGGGCCTCCTCTGATGTCCTTGAACTCTCCAGGCTGATGCTAGGAGACTATTCCCCCATCAGTCAGACCACATGGACAATGCCAAAGGTTAGTCACCACCCAGAGATACTCCTCAGAATTTGTAAGAACAGCTTGTCTGTAACAAAGACAGGGGAAAGATACGAGGGTGGAGAATGATTAATGGCCCCTTCATAGCTGATGGAAAGCAAGTGTGATCTGCATTTGGGGTGTTGATACTTTCTCACACCACAACATTCCCACATGGTAGCAACCTGGGGGACAAAAACAACAGCCTTGTCTAGGGGAAAGAAGGGGGTGTCTGTGTTCTTCAGTTGCTTTGGAAGAGAGCATGCATTTCGGAAAGTGTTGCCATAGGGGGCTGTTGGGTTCCTGTGGAGTTTGGCAAAGTTGACGTCTCTGGAAAGTCCAAAGGTGATATATTTAATAGGCGGCTTGTTTTCTTTCTTCTTCGTGGTAAGTGTCTAATCCCAAGGGCAGTTCTTAAAGCAACACACAGCAGGTAAGGACAGACGAAGTCCCCATCGGGCTTCTACTGAAACCAAGTGGGATTCTGCTTCTGTAAGAGGAATACAAAGAAACACAATGAAGGGGAAGTTGATGGGGAGGCAAGAAACAAAGAAATAGAAGCCACAAAGCAAGAATGTATGAGTGGATGTGGACAAGGGACCCATCTCCATGAGATGCCTGTGGGCAGAAGGGAGCTGAAGCTCTGGAAGGGGGAAGGGGGAAGGAGGACCCTGGGGGAAAGCATCTCAAAGTGCACCCTCTCAACAGTCGCACTGGCTGGAAGGCTTCAGGACATTGTGAGTCTATTTCTAAACAGTACGGTTGTTTTACCAAGAGTCAGACACACAAACGTCCACTGGACACTTTCCCAGCACTAATCAAAATGCCTAGAGGTAAAAATTAGGCCAAAAATTTTAGATACTTTTTTCTCTGGTTATAAAGGTAACATATGGTCCATTGTGGAAAATACAACTAGGTAAGAAAGAACAAAGGTTTCATACAGTCCCACCGCCGAAGTCCCACTGGCAACTTCAGTGGGGTTCCAAAAATCTGCCTAGAGATATAACCTAAACTCACTTTCATTCAACAACTTTACAAAGGTCAGGCGAATAAAACAATGCTTTTGGAAGATTTCCACATTACCATAATAGAAAATAGATATAATCATTGCTTTGCTGTATTTTCTTCTTTCTGTGGATCTTTCTAGAAAAAAAAAAGAGACCTTTCAATATATGAAGTTGTATATCCTCATTTCTTCACTAATTATTATATTCTATTTTTCTATATAACTAAATATTATTTGAAAACACGCTTTTTGAATGACTGAATTAGTGTTCATTGTTTATAAATCTTCATTGTTTATAAATCTTTCACAATTTTCCAATTATTTTCTCAGGATAGATCCCTAAAAGCTGAATTACTATGTCAATGGGAACGTTTACTTCTAAAGCTTTTAACACTTTTTGTCAATTGTCTTACAGAAAGTTTGCACCAATTTACACTCCCACCACAATGTTTAAGAGT
Organism: Homo sapiens; assembly: GCF_000001405.40. Taxonomy (NCBI): domain Eukaryota; kingdom Metazoa; phylum Chordata; class Mammalia; order Primates; family Hominidae; genus Homo; species Homo sapiens. The sequence goes on from NC_000023.11 coordinate 18,118,037, forward strand.
GCATTCAAAATACTTTTTGTATTTTGCTTTAGAAAACAGCCAGTCTCAGTCAATGTGATGCTATTGTGGAAATATATGAAAAAACCTGATATTTTCAGTCTTGTTTCTGCTGTGTATCTTTGGGAAAATTAGTTCACCTTTTCATGACTTAGCTGTCTTAGGAACACCTCAAGCTCTAATATTTTTGAAATTGTGTTTTTTTAACTGAGAAAGATTTTTAAACGTAAAGACCATATTTTATTCAATTAGTACAATGTCAAAGACATAATAGTATTAAATGAATGTATATACTATTGAAAGTCTGTTCAGCACTTGTGATTGGTAGAACTTAATACTCCTGCAAACAGTCACTAGAATAAGTTATTAAGAGAGAGATTTGCATCTATTTTGTTCGTTACTGTATTGCCATGCCAAAATGCATGCTGGGAACATATGGGGTGTTTTATAAATATATGTTCAATGCAAGAATGAATTCATGGGGAAAATTTTATTAACTGGATGTAGCCAACACTGTTGGTGCTCCACCAATATCCCCTTGGTGCACCTGCTGGTCACCTCCAGCTTTGGTGGCCAGATCACCCACACTGGCAGATTCCTGCTTCTAACACCTGGGTCTCTCTGCCTAAGACTTTATCTGGCCACAGTAGCATTCTCGGTCCATACAGGGCAAGCCAGCAGTGGTGGGGACCTAACACTTCCAGAAGCAATTCTCAAACAAGGAGGGATGGGATTTGGTGGATAAATATCCCAGCTTCCTCACCCCTTTGTGGGACATTTTTGAGTTATGTTTTACACAATCTCTCAGAGAATCCTTAGTAGGAATAAGCTCAGATGACCACAGCAGTAATCTGCTCATTCACACACCTTCTTTCCCATACTCCCTCGCCATGCTTCTTGGGATCACTTTGCAAATAAACTACTTGCACCCAAATCTTCACCTCAGAGTCTACTTTTGCAGGAACTCAAATGCTGGAATTGATGTTCGCAAAATTATTTAGGTCCATGACTTGAAAATGTATCCCCTTTTTTTTACAAGGAACACATTCTCCATCATGGTAATTCTGAGAGAGGGAAGAAAGCTGGTAAACTCACTTGGCGACAGTGACAAAACCCCACATTTAAGTGGGGTTTTGTAACTGTGTGTGTGTATGCGTGTGTGTGTCCAGAACAACTTTGGTCTCAAGGTTGATTTGAGAATAGTTGCCAAGAAAGAGGGGAGATGGCCAGGCGTGGTGGCTCACGCCTGTAATCCCAGCAATTTGGGAGGCCAAGGTGGACAGATCACCTGAGGTCAGGAGTTTGAGATCAGCCTGGCCAACATGGCAAAACCCCGTCTCTACTAAAAATACAAAAATTAGCCGGGCATGGTGGCAGTGCCTATAATCCCAGCTGCTGGGGAGGCTGAGGCATGAGAATTGCTTGAACCCAGGAGGCGGAGGTTGCAGTGAGCGGAGATTGCGCCACTGCACTCCAGCCTGAGTGACAGAGCAAGACTCTGTCTCAAAAGAAAAAAAAAAAAGGAAAAGACGGCAGGCAGTTTATTATACTAGAGAATTCAAATTGAAGAGTTAAATGTAGCTCAAAGCTGGAGAGGAGTCAGAATCTGTTCTCTCCCCTGGAGAAGACTTTGGCACCAGGATGCCAATCACCACACATCAATGGTGTGAGTTACTGGAGCAAGGCAACCAAGGTTCATATTTTTCTGAATCCCTCCAGCTGTTATCACAGTGCAGAATACAAGGCAGGTCTTTAAGCAAGAGTTGTTCACTGCTTGAAGCATCTTTTGTGTACTTGGGGACTAATAAACAAGTATAGAAAACTGTATATATCAGTCAGGATTTTAATTGCAGACAGCAGAATCCATTCTAACTAAGAAAAAATTTGAAGGCTAGAGAAGCTCTCAAAAGCCAGAGAATGAGTTTAGAGGCTGTGTGGTAAGGAACAAGGCTCACAAATCTCACCAAAGGACTGGTCCAAGAGAGACACCTCTGCCACCTTCTGGGCACCATCACAACAGCTGGCACCACCCACCCATTGATGCTGAACCTTGCTGCCTCTGGAGGTTGGTGCTGCCACACTCACCCTGATGGATTCCATGCAGTAACACTGGCTCCTTCCAAGTCAAATGCTGACCTGCGTGTATTTGATTGGCTGAGCCCTGGTCTCTAGCCGCAAAGGAGGTCAGGAAAGTGAGACTCTTTCTTCCATTGTGGGAGATAGTACTTAAAAGATGGGGCACTCTGCAAATGAAAGAAAGATATTCAAAGGTGCTAGGTCAAAAAGGACATCCACTATACCTCACCCATCACTCTCCAGTGCCCTCCCCCACTGCCGTAATGCTTACCATCCCTGAATACCTGTTAGCCCTGAGTTATGCCAGCCTAGTTAGTGGCATCTTTGTAAGGCTACATGCTGAACACCCAGCCAGAGAGGCAGAGGTTAGAGGAAGAGCCTCAATGGGTGATTGGAGCCACTGCCCAAGTTCAAGGACATATACCCTCATACCACCTAAACCAGTATCGTCCAGTAGAAATATAGTATGAACCACAAACACAAGCCACATATGCACTTTAGAATTGTCTAGTAGCCACATTTTAAAAAGAAACAGAAACAGATGAAGTTCATTTTAGTAATATCGTTTTTGTAGCCTAATATATCCAAAATATTAACATTTCAATAGGTCATCAGTATAAAAGTGAATTTTGAATAAGCTATATGATCCTTTTTTTTTTTCATACCAAGTCTTTGAAACCCAGTGTGAACCTTACACCCGTTGGACTAACCACATTTTTAGTGCTCAAGAGCCACATGTGGCAATTGGATCCCATGCGGGACAGTAAAGACACTCCTTTCAGGATGGCAGTACCCCTGCTGTGCCCTCCTCCTATTCAGCTGTGAGCCACCTGTCACACTTGTAGTGGGGCAGCCATTTAGAGAAGCCATATTTCTATAATATAATGTAGTGAAGAATTGTTGCTTTATTGTCTTTAGGAGTTGAGCTGAGTTACAAAGTTTCTCACTGCTAGTCCTCAGTCCCCCTGGCTCCCTGGGAAGTCTATGATCATGTTCCCACTTTACTGCTGCCCTGCTGCTAATCCCTCCATGACTTCACCTTCCCCAGGGCTAAGGATCAGGCACTCACCTCAGATGCAAACTTTAAAGGGATGCCAAAAACTCAGTCATCGAGATAAATATTTTAATGCAATATTTTTAAAAATTAAAATCAATGCAAAAATCCATGATGAAGATAATATCAAATTTTTTAATGACAACAAGGCCCAACCAGGGCTGGTTTTAGGGCAAGGCAAGTGAGTTGGGTGGTGGGAGAACAGGGACTGGCCTTCCCTTCCCATTTCCTCAAGTGTCTCTAGACAATGGGACCACTTTCCTAGCACACAGTAAGTGCACAATATGTATTACTGGGGAAATGAATAAACGAATGACAAAAAAAGTCATTTCTGTCTGGTTCTTCATTATTTAGTGTCAAATTCAGTTTTAATGAAATGCAGTAATATATTGGTTTGATACAATTGCAATCAAAATCCCACTGGATTTGTTTTAACTTGACAGATTGGCTCTCAAATTTACATTGAAGAATGAGTAGGTGAGAACAGTGAACAAGAACATGCAAGAAAAAGAGTTCTTTTAGTAAGCAAGAAAAAAATCTTCAAGAATGGTAGCCCTGTTTGGTTTCTGCTCCTTGTCTACACAACCCCCTGCCCCAGCTCCTGCACAGCCATGCCCCTGCAGCAGTTCTCCCACGTGGGGCAAATCATACTGCCAGGGACCCCCTTCTCCGCCCAAGCTGATCTTGGCAGGTAAGACATGGTTAAACAGACAACAAGGGGCTTGAAGGGGGAAAGAAGGAAAAGAATTCTCCCAAAGTGCGGCTTATGATCTGAGGAGTTTCTGAAATTGGGGAAGTAAGTTCCAGAGGTCCCAGTCCTACAGACCTTTAACCCCACTCTCCCACCCCTAGACAGCCCCCAGGTCCTGGCCACCTTGGTCCAGCCCTCTGGTAGCCTTGCCTTGCCCATCTCTCCTTTCTAGCAGCATCTGTTGGGTGACTCCTTTGTCTCCCACTTCCTGACCACCTCTAGCTGCCCGCACAGAGTGGATCTCAAAACCCAAGACAAGGACAGAGCTCTGCTTGGTCCAACTCTATCACTCACGCTTCTCTCTACCCTTAGTACTCTGTCCTCTCCCTCAACACACACATACACACACACAAGTAGATGCACACGCACATGCACAAAAACACTCACACAAGTGTCCCCACTCCCCTCTTTCTTGGTCTGTCTGTCCCAGCCAGTCTAGCTAGTTGTTCCTCTTTCTCTCTATCCCATCACCCATGATACATTTGCATTCAGGAGCATGCACTTGACAAAACTCTATACTGCAGGGTTCCCTTTCTGCAGAGGGAAGCCTGGAATGGTGGGATCTGAGGTCGAGAGTCACCTAGCAAGCAGCAAGTTTAAGAGGTCCAGCCGGTGAGCTGGACTACTTAGGGAGGGACGGGGAGGGCTGTGTCAGAACAGAAGCCTGTAGCAGGGAGTTGGACCTCTCAGCCACGAGGACCATATGCACCCTTGGGTTGTGTGTGAGGGGTGTTGGTGCTGCTAAGCTGCCTCATCAAAGAATGTGAGTGGCAGAAAAGGATCAATCCAGCAGAATTTTGACATTGAAAATCCACTAACACCTCTCTCAGCACATGTCCCAGCGTCCCAATGTCATATCATACCCTCATTTACTCCAGCACCAGAGGTAGAAATGGGATAGGAGACAAAGGGCTAGACTCCTTCCTCTAGGCTGGAGTACTCATTTCCTTCCTTTCTTCCCTTGAGGTGAGGAGGCTTCTCCTTGGGATGTCCTCTGGCTTCCAGCTTCTTGGCTGTTCAAGGTGTGCCCCGCCATATACAAAAGTTCATGGTTGTGGCTTGGGCCTTCCCTGGCCGAAGTGACTGGGACCCTGGGAGTGAAGCCCTGTGTATGGAACCAGGCTCTCTGAAACCACACTCATGAGTCCTGAGAATGCCCCAAGGCCTCTGCCATGCTGCCTCCTCCCACGCCCCTTCATCTTCTTTCCCCTTCCTCCCCCACTCCCCTTCTCCTTGTACCAGACAGCACGGCACAGTCCTGAGGAACCTGGGTGCCCTCCTGCATCATCTACATCCAAGGCAATGTTGGCGAAAGAAAAACTGACCCAAGAACAATTGCCAGCTAATATATTACTGTGATTATTGAAGTCATTCTGTACTTTCTGGAAAGAAAACATCACTAACTTGTTAAATGGGTCTTCTTTCTTGGTCTGACAGGATTAGTCTTCCATCATCTTCCTTCCTACAAAGACAACTGGAACTTTCCAGAGCCAAGACCTTTCCGTCCCCTTTGCCAGTCTTTCTCTGTTCCATCGAAGCTTCCCTATCATGTGTTCACATTGTCAGGATTTTACCTGGTGTCTTATCAGCTGATTAATAAAGCAGTGATTTTCAAACTGATCTGTATAAAGATTTAATATGAATTTCTTGCCTATATATAAAATGCTTGCATTATTTTTAAAACTATAATTTTTAAAAGCCAACACATTCCAATAACTGCAAACAAAATGGCACCACCATGAATATGCAGGTGGGCATATTTTGCCAAACTTTGGAATAAAGTGTCTCCTACTATCTCTAAAAGTACCTTTGAGCTTCTTGTGAATTAGCCCTTTATCAGAAAGAAATGCTTAGTGTGAGTCTTGAAAAATATCCAGGCCTGCACACATCTGTTCACATACACTAGCCCGGGGTGCCCAGACCTGAGCCTGGGTGCTCTGCACTTAAGAGTCTGTCACAAAAGTACAGCTACACACCAGGAATCAAGACAGCATGTTATGAAAATAGTCACTGGAAATGATCACCTTGGGGCTTTTCTTTTTTGCACTGTCTTGTATGTGACTTTCGCCTGAACAGTCACGGGCATCCACATGGCCTTGAGGATCGTTGGAGGCAAAATGCGAAGAGAGGATATTCCAATTTTACTGTTCAAATTAAGATCTTGAAGCCCACAGGAAAAGAAAATCATTTTGAAAGCGAGAGCAAGATTGCTTAAGAGGAAAATCTCTTGATAGAGAGAGAAGTACAGTTTCTACTGTAATAATTAACTGGAAAGAAAATTGTACTCACAATAAAATGAATGAGATGAATGTATTCTCCTAAGATAGTGCACACACCCCAGTTTCCTAGTTCATGTAATTTTTCATGTAATATTTCATGCAATATTGCCTTTGCTGTCGTGTTTCTCTCTCCCAGCACCAATGGCAACATTAGAAATAAGGGACACATGTGGCTGCTAGAATTTTTGCTCATGCTCTTAGCACGAATCGCAGTTTGGGGAAAAGTATTCACTCATGCTAATTGAAGCTTAAAGAATGGGAATTTTAGTGGGTGAGCTTCTATGCTCTGATATTGGTTATGCCTCCTCTTAGGCATCATCTCCAGCTCTTCCTAAGATATATACCGCAACTAACTGTAGTGGTGAGTTCACCACTCTCTCTTGTCCATAAAGGACTCGAACTCGAAGATGATGGGTTGCAAGATGAAAATGACCCAGATCCCAGTAAGTGTTGAATTAGAACCGCCAAGGAGAACTCACAGACCTGCATCAGATTGTGAGCAAAAACCAAACTTTTGTTGTGTAAATCACTGAGCTATTGGGGTTATTTGTTGCTGCAGTATGGTCTATCCTATCTTGACTCATATAATATCTGGTGATAGAGATTAATGGAAGAAGAAGTAAAATGTCTATAAGTGTGGCCCAAAGAAAGCAACCCCTAAAGTGATGAGGTAGGTTTTCCAAGAGTATGGCCCCAGCTCAAAGTCCAGCACCTCAATTTATGAAGTTTCAGGCAGAGGAACTTGGCCAATGCAAAGGAAAAAAGATATCCTTCCTTTCAGGCTTTTTTTGTGGCTGAAGATTGAAATTTATCTATAATTTGTCATTTAACATCCCTTTGCATGATTTAAATAAAAAGTAAGTTTGATTCCAAAGCACAAAACCAAGAAAAGCCAAAGCATAAAACCAATCTTTTTTTAAAGAATTTTATATCAGATGGGAAAAACTTCATAAAACCCTAGAGCTATCCCTTTGTGCATATCATGAGTCTACTCATTTTTTTCTTCAAGAATGAATTTTCCTTGCTTTGAGTCAATCCAGGCAGTCAAAAACACTGTAAAAGACCATATAGTTTTCCTGATCAAATGTGCATGGATTATAGACTGTGCCAGCTATGGAATGCACTTTGTTTGAACTTTAAACTCATTTCAGTCCCCAGTTTTACTATCAGGTGGTCTTTTTTTTTTTTCCATACAATTTTCTCTAAGTTTCTACTCTGTTCAGGGAACAATTGAAAAGGTGGTATGCAGTTAAAATTAAAACCTGCCACTTCCCACATAAAATATGTAAATAGTGCAAGGCAGTTTGCATTTCTAAAGGCAGCAACTTCAAATTATCTTAAGGAGTATCAGAAAAACCATGGATTAATTTACCCAATGTCCTCCAACCCTTCACTTTCCACAGGATTTTTATTCTAATTAATGGGAAGCATTAAACATCTGCCATTTTGTAGAGTTAGTTTATTATCTGCATATGGCTGAGTGGATCCCTTAATCACATTCTTCAACTTATATGAAAAGCAACCAAAATGGAAAATTTCTTATGGCTCCTGCCTTGGAAAAGAATACACTAGTCAATATGAAAAGATTCAGGCTATGGGGAGATCTGGTGTGCTTATAGCTACCTTGAGTCTTAGGTGTCTAACTGAGACACTAGAGCCTCAGGGAGACTATGCAGAACTGAACATTGTTGAAAAGCACCTGTGGAGGTCACAGCCAAAAGGCATAGGCTCATTGAAAGACTGACACCTAATCACAGGACTACAGAACACTTCCCCTCTTCCCAAACTTTACCACCACATCACTAGGGCTCCCATATAACAGCAAAGAAATACAACTGAAATAACTGCATGTCTCAGACCTTATTAAAGAAGCCTCTAAGAAAACACAAAGACAACAGGGGAGACAAAAACAAGAACACGAGAGAAAATTTTAGCCTTTAACACCTACTGCTACAGCAAACCATAAAGACAGCCTAAGTCCCAGCCAGATAAACATAAAACCTTACATTAAAGGCCTATTTACCTTGGTTGTTTTCACCAGTACATCATGTGTGGCTTTCAACAAAAAACTACAAGCCATACTAAAACACAAAAAACCACAGTCTGAAGAGACAAACCAAGCATCAGAACCAGATGCAGATACAGCAGAAATTTTGAATTATCAAACCAGAAATTGGAAACAATTATAATTAATTTGTTTAGGGCTCTGATGGAAAAAGTCACCAACACATAAGAACAGATGATTGAGGCCGGGCGTTGTGGCTCACACCTGTCATCCCAGCACTTTGGGAGGCCAAGGTGGGCAGATCACCTGTGGTCAGGAGTTTGAGACCAGCCTGGCCAACATAGCGAAACCCTATTCCACCAAAACTACAAAAATTAGATGGGCATGGTAGTGCGTGCCTGTAGTCCCAGCTACTCAGGAGGCTGAGGCATGAGAATCACTTGAACCCAGGAGGCGGAGGTTGCAGCGAGCTGAGATTGTGCCACTGCACTCCAGCCTGGGTGACAGAGCGAGACTCCATCTCAAAAAAAAAAACAAACAAAAAGAACAGATGGGCCAGGCGCAGTGGCTCACACCTTTAATCCCAGCACTTTGGGCGGATCACCTGAGGTCGGGAGTTCAAGACCAGCCTGACTGACATGGAGAAACCGCATCTCTACTAAAAATACAAAATTACCCAGGAGTGGTGGCGCATGCCTGTAATCCCAGCTACTCAGGAGGCTGAGGCAGGAGAATCACTTGAACCTGGGAGGCGGAGGTTGTGGTGAGCCAAGATCACACCATTGCACTCTAGCATGGGCAACAAGAGTGAAACTCCATCTCAAAAGCAAAAAAAAAAGAACAGATGAGTGATGTAAGAAGAGAGATGGAAACTCTAAGAAACAACCAAAAGGAAATGCTAAAAATCAAGAACACTGTAACAGAAATGAAGAATGCATTTGCATGTTGGTTTTGGCAATAGACTGGACACAGCTGAGAATCAGTAAGCTTGAAGATATGCCAATAGAAACTTCCAAAACTGAAATTCAAAGAGAAAAAAGAAACAGACACAACAAAATATCTAGGCACTGTGAGACAATTACAAAAGATGTCACATATACATAATGGAAATACTAGAAAAAAAAAAGAGAGAAGAGAGCAGAAGGAATATTTGAAATAATAGCAACTGAGAATTTTCCAAAATTAATGGTAGACACCAAACCACAGATCCAGGAAGCTCAGGTAACACCAAGTAGGTTATATACCAAAAGGTCCACATCTAGGCATGTCATATTCAAACTGTAGAAAATCAAAGACAAAGAGAACAAATGGAAAGAAAAAAAGAAATACCTTACCTATAGAAAAGCAAGAAGACTACGAACAAGTAAATAGATTTATCTCGGATTTCTCTTCAGAAACCATACTAGCAAGAAGAAAGTAGAGGAAAACATTTAAAGTGTTGAAAGAAAAAAAAAACCACCACCCTCAAATACTGTATCCAGTAAAATTAACCTTCAAGAGTAAAGGAAAAATAAAGACTGTCTCGGACAAACAAAAATTGAGGAAATTTGTCACTTGTAGGCATTCATTACCTGTGGGGTTGTTCAATACACTCTCCTAGGGCAACTGGTTGACTAAATCAGAAAAAGAAGCCCAAAACTTAGAATCTTACCTCACACCAATTCCACAAAATAAGTTCTTGATGTGTTAATGGTTAAACACAATTTTAAACAAATGCTTAAATCATATTGACATAGTAACAAACTTTCTAAGTATAAAAGCAGAGAGTGACATAAATATGATCATCTAAAAACACCAGAAATAAAAGTAAAAGGCAAATGACCAACCAGAGAAAATTTTTGCACTATATTTGATATTTTTCATCTATGTATTTTTAAAATTAGTTTCTTTTAAAAAATGCAATCCTAATGGGAAAAAATAGTTGAAGAATATGATAGACACTTGACAACAAAAGAAATACAAATGGTTAATAAATGTGTGAGAGAGAATGTTCAACTTCCAACTAAGAAAGGAATGCAAATGAAAACAATACTGTTTTCGCCTTTCAAGTTGATAATCACGTTTAGAAATTAGACTACTCTGTTTTGACAAATATTGTGATATGAATAGTCTTATTACTTTCACCAAACACTATAAATTGGTAAGATTTCCTGAAGGACAATTTGGCAATATGGATCAGTGGCCTTAGGAAATCGTCATGAACTTGGTGGGGCACGGTGACTCATGCCTGTAATCCCAGCACATTGGGAGGCCGAGGCAGGTAGATTGCTTGAGCTCACAAGTTCAAGACCAGCCAAAGAAACATTGCGAGTCCCTAGCTCTACTAAAAATACAAAAAATTATCCGGGTGTGGTGGCATGGGCCTGTGGTCCCAGCTACTTGGGAGGCTAAGGTGGGAGGATCGCTTGACCCCAGGAGGCAGAGGTTGCAGTGAGCTGAGACCACACCACTGCACTCCAGCCTGGGCGAGACCCTGTCTCAAAAAATAAAAATAAAAAAAGAAAAGAAAATCATCATGAACTTGACCCAATAATTCTAACTCTAGGAATTATCATCAGAATAATCATCAGAAACTTGTGAATGATGAACATACAAGGTTGTCTATGATGGAAAAACTTGGGAATAACCTAGAGGCATGGCTAAATAAGTGGCACATTTATTTAATAAAACCTTAAGCATCTATGAAAGAACATATTTTCAAGGAATATTTAACCATATGAGAAAATGCTTTAGAATATAAAGGGAAAAGCAAGATATAAAACTGTATATTTCATATCCTAATTTTATAGTAAAATGCATGAGGAAAGCAATGAAGAAATGTTAATGGCAGTCTCGGTAGTGAAATTATGGGTGGTTTCTAGTTTATTCCTTATTCTTTTCAGTGTTTTCCCCCACATTTTCTATAATAAAAAGTTTTTACCTTTATAATCAGGAAAAAAGTAAATGAAATGTTATAAACCTTTTCAGCTTAATCATATTGCTAGAGGGAAATTCTATTCTACCTTGATTATTTGTAAAGTTGAAAGGGTGTTTGTCAGACCTGGTAGAACCTGTGTGCATTAAGGACTGACTCCAGGTCAGCTATTCGGATGGGCCCTAGAAACTCCCACTTTTTTACTCAGGCAACTTCCGAGCTCATTGTTTTCCATACCAGTCCTGCCTGTGCACAACTTGAAAGGGTGAAAAAAATTTTTTTTTGAGACAGAGTCTTGCTAATGTTGCCCAGGCTGATCTCGAGCTCCTGAGCTCAGGCAATCTTCCTGCCTCAGCCTCCCAAGTAGCTAGGACTACAGGCACGCACCACCATGCCCAGTGGCCTGAAGTGTGGAATTTTTAAACAACTCAGGTGAGATTTCTCAGAAAATGTATTTGGTTGGCAGCTGCGTACTCAGTGAAGAAGTGAAAGTAACGGGGAATAAAGGTGGGGGATTCCTTGAAAAGCATTCATTTCAGTTCCAATTATTTAGAAAGAAAAGGAAAGGAGGAGAGTACTCCTTGGATCTAAAAAAAGAAATCGGTGCAGTGTCCATTGAGGGTCACTGTTCCCGTTGCATAATACTGTGTAACAAATCACTCCAAAGCTTAATGGCTCAAAGCAATACTCATTTACCCTCTCTCGTGGCTTTCTGAAGCTTAGCTAGGTGGTTCCGGCTTAGGGTCTCTCACGAGGTTGCAGTTAAGGTGTCAGTCAGAGCTTCAGTCATCTGAGGCTCGCCTGGCACTGGCGTCACTACAAAAAATCAGTTCCAAGATGACTCACGCATATGGCTGGCAAGTTGGTGCAAGCTGTTGTCTCTAGGTCTCAGTTCCTATGTGGGACCCCATACAGAGCTGCAGAGGTGTGCTCATAGCATGGTGGCTGGCTTCCCCCAGAAGGAGCAATCCAAGGCAGAAGCTGCAATGCTTTTTATAACCTAACTTTGGAAGTCACACACTGTCATTTCAGCAATATATGATTGGTGACATTTCAGCCCTATTCAATGTGGGAGAGGTGGGAATACCAGGATGCAGGAATCATTGGAGGCCATCATGGAAGCTGATGGCCCTTTTGTTTAGGCATGGTTCCCACCTCCCCCAGTGTGAAAGGAAGCTGACCCATCCTCAACATCACTGGTGGGTTTCATTGGACTAAATGTAATAATGGCCCCTTTAACAATAATAGGATCAACACCCCAAGACTAAGCCAATTAGCACATGGCATTCTCCCAGCTTCCAGGATCATTCAGGGGTTGGCATATGACAAGATTCAGACCAAAGAGGCATAAAAGGACACTTTCAAGGAGGTTATTAACGTAGAGCCACCAGGTTCAGTTGATTTTTGACATAGGTGCCAAGAATGCGGAAATGACAGTTTCTTTAATAAATAGTGTTGGGAAAACTGGATATTCACAGGCAGAAGGATGAAAATGGACCTTTACCTCACCCTTTATACAAGAATCAACTCGAAATGGGTTAAAGACTTAAATGTAAGGACCAAAACTGTAAGATTACTAGAAGAAAACACGGGGAAATCTTCTTGACATTGGTCTGGGCAGTGATTTCCTGGGTATAGCCCCAAAAGCACGGGAAACAAAAGCAAAAATAGACAAATGGGATTACACCAAACTAAAAAGCTTCTGCATAGTTAACGAAACAATTAACACAGTGAAGAGACAACGGGCAGATTGGGAGAAAATATTTGCAAATCATACATTGGTTAAGGGGCTAATATTCAAAATCTATGAGGAACTCAAACTACTCAATAAGAAGAAAACAAATAACCTCATTTAAAAATGGTCAAAGGACCTGAATAGACATTTTTCAAAAGAAAACATTCAAATGGCCGACAGGTATTTGAAAAAAATGCTCGACATCACTAATCATCAGAGAAATGCAAATTAAAACCACACTGAGATATCACTTCACACCTGTAAGAATGGCTATTATCAAGAAGATGAAAGGTAACAAGTGTTGGTGAGGATGTGGAGAAAAGGGAACCCTTGTACACTGTTGGTATTGTAAATTAATACAGCCATTTTGGAAAACAGTATGGAAGTTCTTCAAAAAACTAAAAATACTGATTTAATATACCCACTTCTGGGTATATATCCAAAGGATATGAAATAATTATGTCAAAGAGATGATAGCACTCCCATGTTTCTTGCAGCATTATTCACAATAGCCAAGACACAGAAACAACAGACAAGTGGATTTTTAAAATGTGGTGTATATATACACAATGCAATGCTATTCAACCTTTAAAAAGCAGGAAATTCTGCCATCTGTGACAACATAGATGAACCTAGAAGACATTGTGCTAAGTGAAATAAGCCAGGCACAGAGAGACAAATACCACATGATCTCACTGATATGTGGTATCTAAAAAAGTCGAACTTATAGAACTAAGAGGCCGAGGGTGTGGAACAGGAAAGGTCAAAGGGTACAAAGTTTCAGTTAGGAGGAATAAGTTCTGGTGATCTATTGCACCTCATGGTAACTTCATTAATAATAATGTTTATTTCACAATAGCTAAGAGAATGGATTTTAAATGTCACTGCAAAGAAATGATAAGTATTTGAGGTGATGGATTTGTTCATTAACATGATTTGATCATTCCATAATGTATACATGTATCAGAAACACATTGTACTGCATAAATATATATAATTATTAACTGTCAATTAAAAATAAAAGGAAGGGCAGTCATGGTGGCTCACACCTGTGATCCCAGAACTTTAAGAGGCCGAAGTGGGAAAATTGTTTGAGCCTAGGAGTTCAAGACCAGCCTGGGAAACATAGCGAGACCTCATCGCTACAAAAAAATACAAAAATCAGCCAGGAGTGGTGGCACACACCTGTAGTCACAGCTACTCAGGAGGCTGAAGTGGGAAGATGGTTTGAGCCTCGATGGTGGAGGTTGCAGTGAGCCAATATGGTGGCACTGCACTCCAGTCTAGGTGACAGGGCAAGACTCTGTCTCAAAAAAAGAAAAAAAAAATTAAAATAAAATGAAACTTCAAAAACATAGAGCCACTAGAAAAGATGGTTCCTGTGTTCCTCAGGTGTTTTGGGTTGTGGCTCTGAACCCAGGTGTGCTGCAGTGCCCTCTATCAGCCTGAGAATCAAGCCATTCATGGGGAAGAAGAGTCAAGAGAATCTCAAGGGAAAAGAAGTCAGAGTCTTCACAAAACCACAGCTGATCACTGCCCTACCACTGGGCTCTTCCTTTATCTGGGCCCATAAACCTCCCATATTTTCGAACCCACTTGAAGATAGGTTTTCTAGTACACGCAACCATGCCTAATTTTTTTTCCACTTGCAAAATGGAGATAAAAGAAATGAAGACAAATGCCTTGAAAACTAAAAGAAAGCTTACTCTTTAACATTTGGGATAGTTATACCTACTTGAACCAAACCCAAATTTGGGACAGCTGCCTGGATATGTGGACAAGAGTACTACCAAGCAGGTCTGGCCTCCAGCGTTTTCTGAACCCATAATGGCTATGCTAATAAGCCAGACAGACAACAGCTCTGAAGGTACAATTTTGGGAGGGGTGTGGTGGTATGGGTGTAGGATCCCAGCTGGAGGAACAGCTCAAGATTTCTGAGCTGTGGTGAGGGACACCAGAAGGGTCCACACAAAATAGGCATCAAAGCTGGGCGCGGTGGCTCATGCGTATAATCCTAGTACTTTGGGAGGCCAAGCCTCCCAAAAACCCTCACTTGAGCCCAGGAGTTGAGCCGGAGAAACATGGTAAAACCCTGTGTCTACAAAAAAAAAAATACCAAAATTAGTGAGGCATGGTAGTGATGCTTGTAGTCTCAGCTACTTGGGAGGCTGAGGTGGAGGATCACCTGGGCTCGGGGAGATCGAGGCTGCAGTGAGCCATGATCATACCATTGCACTCCAGCCTGAGCAACAGAGCGAGACCTTGTCTCAATAAAAGTGGGCACCAAGTAGCACAAAGAGGTCCATCACTTCTAGTCAGTGCCTGGAATGCCACTAGAGCCCCTTGATTTAAAGTGGAGGAGGAACGTGATGAAAGTCATCCACCCCAGCATCTCACCGTGCATTGGTTCTTCAGTCCCTCATAAGATTGGTGTAAAAGATTTGTGCAGAATGAGAGACCAATGAGGGGACCACGAAAAGGGTGGGGGCCCCCATGCCACTGAAGTGAGGGGAAGAGAAAGAGGTCCAGGAACTTTGAGGGCATTGGAGACAAACTGCTGAATCACACTTTTGCCAATGGCAGAAAAACTTGGCTGATTCAGTTTTGCCAAGAGGAGGTCAGGTATGTTATATCTAGGAAATGTATCAATAGACTTGACGTATCCCAGGCACTGTTCTGAGTGCCCTACAAACAATTACTTATTTAATTCCCTCAGCAACTCTGTGAAGTAGGTATTCTTGTTGCAGATTACGAAACTGATCTGCAACAAGATCTGCAAGAAGAGACACTCGCCCAAGGTCACACAGTTAGAAATTGAGGCACAGAGAGGTTAGCAAACTTGTCCGTGGTCACACAGCTGGTAAGTGGCAGATTCAGTATTTGAATGCAGACTTTGCTGGTAGGGCCTATGTTCCTAACCACCATGCTCTGCTGCCTCTGCTACCAGCTTTCAGTTTCTTTGCAGACTTGCTGTGAAATGTATCCTGGTGGGGCTGTTCCTCTCTGCATGACGGTTCACTCTAGAGCCTTGGTGAAGTCAGAGCAGATCTAAGTATATGTGGTAGCTGAAGGTGTTTTTTTCTGCCAGGCCTGGCCCTCACTCCTGGGACCTTGGGTTGCCGCAAACGCTGTCGTTTTCATCCAGCCTGATGAACCAGCCATAACGTTGGGCTTGTTAAAAATGCAGCTGATCATGAAGGACTCCGGCCAACTGTTTCCCTCTTTGCCCAAGCTTCCTGATCATTCCAGGCCTCTGCCCATCACACACCCTCCTTCTTAAATACTATCATCAGTGTTGGGGTCGTTAGGGAGAAAACCGATGAAGAGGAAATGATTATGAAAGTTACATCTGCTGTTCAGGCAGCTGTTCTCTTTCCTCATTAGGAGAATCAATCATTTTTCAAACATCATTTTTGTTACTAGGAAAAGGCTTCATTTATTCTAAGACTAAAGAGCAGGAATGAGGGAATTAAATCCCACAGGTCTTTAGCTAGTAGGATTTTTTTTTTTAATATTCTGTCCTCACCAATGACCTAATTAAGCTTTCAGAGAATGATAAACTCTCCACTCCTCTGTCTCATTTCCATCTGTGCATGTACAAATCAGGAGTTACTGGCCTCCCTCTCGGCCTTTCTCTTCCTTCTCGTCTTCATAGATTAAGGCCAGCTTTCTCTTTCTGTGAGGGCTTCTTGGAAATGTGTCTTCATCTCTGAAACCATACAGCCAAGCCTCAGATGGTCATGGAGGCACTCCGTCATATTTCTATGGAACCACAGAGGCCAAGGGCAAGAAAATCACCCCTCATAATGATTATGAGTCTTAACCATGGGGACAGACTGCCCAGGTTCAAAGAGCAATTTTGCCCCTTACTAGCTATTTGACCTTGGGTACATGACTTAGCCTCTTTGTGCCTCGGTATCCTCGTCTGTCAAATGGAGAATACCTGACTCACAAGGTTGTAGTGAGAATTAAGTTAATTAACAGTATATGTAAAGCACTTAACAGTGAGTGCCTGGCACACAGTAAACGCAAAATTATGATCATCGCTGCTGCTGCCATTGCTATTTTCTAGTTCACTACCTCTGATGCTTGTGTGCCCTCTTAAACATCTTTCTCTACAAACCCCCAAGGTTGGTTCAGCCTTCTCCATTGCTGTGTCCTGGCTGTTGAGAGCTTTGGGGGAAAATCAAGCAAGCGTGTGGATTGCAAATTCATGGATTGCAAATGGTATCCAATCTAAGCCTGCTCCTCTGAGACTCTGTTGTGTGTCCCTCCTGGTATCAGTCAGAGACCAGACAGAAAGAGAGAGCGCAGCAGTTGTTTCACCAGAAATGAGCAGGGCATTTGAGGCTAGCTTGCTTAAAGTGTGTTGGAGGACTAAAAAGGTAGACCAAGGGGATGCTGAGATGCCACAGAGTTAGGAGCTTTAGAGACCAGTGACTGCCTCTGGGATCTGGGGAAAAAAAGAGAGGAGGTGGGGATTATCAGAACCTAAAAGCCTGGAGGAGGTACCCTATAGGTCTCTAACCCAGATCCCTGAGGACGGGATGCCACCCAGGTTGTGCTGGTATCTCTGAGGAGTCACAATGAGGTTGGTTCTTGGAATGTTGGGGAAACTGCCAACCGGGAACAAATTACCACTGCTGGGATAGCGCTCACAGCAACAGGAAATAGACACAAAGCCACAGGGAGCAAACAGGAAGGAGCATCAACCTGTTCTGGGTACCATAGCCAGACGGATGTTTCTAGAAAGCAAATGCAGCTGGGTCACAGCTCTTCGTAAAGCCCTCCTGTGGTTCTCTATGCATCTTGAGGTGGAGTCTGGAGTGCAGCTTGGCAGACAGGCCCTCCCTGAGGTGACTGTGACACTGGCCCACCTGCCAGCACTTTTGCCACATTCAACACTCTCTTCCTTGCCACTCTCATGTGCCAGCTATGTTGAACTTATTGCATTCTTCCAAATGTTCTGTGCCTCGTTCCTACTGGGAAAGTTCTTCTCTATGAAGTCTTTGTTGATCACCCAAGCAGGCAGTCCTAACACTGTCTGGCATGGTTGATGTCTCGCACAAACGCCGGAAGAGCTTTGTTGAAAGCTCTTCTCTATGAAGTCTTTGTTGACTAATCCTCTCCTTGTCCCCCCACTGTAAAGTCAACACACTTCTTTTAGCAGATACTGCTGGCACCCTACCCTCATTTTCTTGGAATTCACCTCTACAGGGAAGGCAGCTTGCTATGAACATCCGTGGCTCCACCTGGGGGCTTGACATCTGCTCACTAGAGCACATTTGGCCCAAGTAGGGGCCCAACTGTACATGCTAGGGAGTTAATGCCCCTTGAGGCAGCCTTCAAACAATGAAGACGGATCTGATGGATAACCACTCCAGCTTTGTGACCCCTGGTGGGGACAACTCTGAGGCTCGTTTTTACAGTGTCTCCCAGAAGTTACCGGGAAGGACTGAAATACCCAGTTGCTTATAGTAGTAGCTAGCTTAAAGTGTACCCCTGACCAACTTTCTTCTGTTCCCTGCCTCAACCCCCTGATTTCTTTAACCAGTGCTTCCTGGGATCACCTTCCAAATAATAAACTACTTGCATTCAAACTCTTGTTGCAGGGCCTGCTTTGGGAGAAACCCAAACTAAAACCCTTCTCTCATAGGTCGTTACATAGTGCTATACCTATTTATTTAAAGGTCCCTGTCATGCTCAGCACTCTCAATTCTGCAGGCCAGGACTTTGTCTCATTCTTCTATGTATCTGCAAATTATAAGATAGTGCCTGGTACACAGTGTGCCCACAAGCCATGCTTATTAACTGAAGGGAGAGATTTGAAAACCAAAGTAGTGCCATTGTAGTGAGTGATGTGTGATGAGCATGAATGATTGGAGGAGGCTAGCAAGGGGCTTTGAGATTATAATCGAGAGTTTTGGAGGTAAGGCTGCTTGGGCAGCTAAAGAAAGGGAGTAGAATTGCTACTTAACCATTCTGTTTCTTCCGCTGAAATTGGAAAGGCAGTAACAGAATTGTAGGCACACATACACACTTCAAAATGTGAGGCATTTTGCTCCTGACACCATGTCCGCTAAGTCTGGCCCCCAGAGAAGCTGTCACTTCTGATTCAAAGAAGAGATCTCCCCTCTCCCTGTTCCAAGAGATTTTATGCCCAAGTCACATCATGGTGGCAGCCCTTTCACTGTGAGAAGCTCAGAAAGCAGGCAGTCCTAACACTGTCTGGCATGGCTGATGTCTCGCTTAAAGGCCATCTGCTCCCTATCTAACCAGTACCAATCATGATGGAAACACTCCTTCCCATTGAATTCTTCCTCTGACTGTGACTGATCATAAATAGGAGCCTTGCCGCGACGCCCAGGAGTGTCCTGATTCTCTTCTGATTGCCAGTGTTAGAAATAAGATCTTCCACATACCAGAGACATCTCAGCTTCCTGCCCAGGGAGGCTCTTGTGCAGCCCCAGGGCTGGGTCCTATCATGTAAGTTAGTCTGGTTTATTATAACTAAACCCAACAGTTTCTTCCCTTGGGCGGGCATGGTGGCCTACCCCTGTAATCCCAGTACTTTGGAAGGCAGAGGCAGGAGGATAACTTGAGCCCAGGAGTTCAATACCAACCTGGGCAACATGTTGAAACCCCCTCTCTACAAAAAAATAAAAAAAAAAAAAATTAGCTGGGTATGGTGGTGCATGTCTGTAGTCCCAGCTACTCAGGAGGCTGAAGTGGGAGGAACACCTGAGCCCAAGGGAGGTCGAGGCTGCAGTGAGCCATGATCACACTACTGCACTCCAGCCTGAGTGACAGAGCAAGACCCTGTCTCAAAAACAAAGAAAAAAAACAAACCAGTTTCCTCCCATATGCCCTCCTCCCTGGAAAGCTTGGAGAGCCTCTAAATCAAGGCATTTCACATCTCCTTCCAAAACTATAGCTACTAGAGAAGACCTCTAAATTACTATTATTTCATTATCTAACATTTTTGAGTACCTATAAGGTGCTAGTACCACTTACAAAGCTCTGTGCTAGATATTTCACATGTAATAGCTCATTCAACCCTCAAAACAACTCCATAAGGAAGGTACTTGGATTCATATCATGTAACAGCAGGGGAAGCAGAGAGGGTGCCTGACTTGCTTAAAGGCAATCTTTCCAACCCCCAAGACTGTGAACTTTATCACAGTACTATACTGACATTATTTCAGACTTCATACAGTAGGGTTTTAGTTCTGGAGGGACCACAGAGATTCACTGGAATCTGACCCCCTTCTGAGGTGCTCTACCTTGGTAATTGAAGGCATGGTCTTAGCAGTCAGACTGACCTGAGTAGGAGTTTCAGACCTTCCACTTGACTAGCTGTGTGATTATAGACAAGACGCTTAATCTCTTTAAACCTCGATCTCCCCATCTGTAAAATGGGATAATAATAGGTACATTGTGAGAACAAGGTTTCTGTGGAGAATAAATGAGGTTCTGTATAAAAAGCTCTTAGCCTGTTGCTTGGCAAGTGTCTGTTAAATATGGCTAGCATTTACATAGCACTGGCTATATTCCAGATACTATTCTAAGTGCTCATCATGTATTGTATTGAGTTTGTTTTAATTTCCACAACTACCTCATTAAGTAGCTGCTATTAAAATCCTCACTTTACAAATGAAGAAACTGAGGCGCATGTTAGACACCAAGCCACAGATCCAGGAAGCTTCAAGAACACCAAGTGGGATAAATACCAAAAAACAACAACTAGGCATTTCATTTTCAAACTTCCAAAAATCAAACATAAAGAAAAAATCTTGAAAGAAGCCAGAGGGGTAGGGGTGTGGGAGGAACCTTACCTATATAGGAGAAAACATAAGAATTACATCTGACTTCTCCTCAGAAACCATGCAACCAATAAGAAAAATGGCATGAAATGTTTAAAGTATTGAGAAAAAAAAGTTCACCAAACTAGAATTCTGTACCCTGTGAAATTATCCTTCACTAATGAAGGAGAAATAGACTTTCTCAGACGCACAGAAATTGAGGGAATTTGTTACCAGTAGGCCTGCCGTGCAAGAAATGTTAAAAGAAGTTCTTCAGAGAAAAGGGAAATAATACAGGTCAGAAACTTGGACCCACATAAAAAAAGGAAGACTATTGGAGAAGAAATAAGTGAAAATACAATAAAAATTTTAATTTTTCTTATCCTTAATTGATCTAACAGATAACAGTTTCCTCAGAATAAGAATATCAACAATGTATTCAATTATATACGTTTATGTGTGTGTGTGTTTATATATGCTATGTATAAGTAAAATGAATAATAGCAAAGATACAAGGGGTAAGAGGGAAGAGTTAAGATTGTTATGTTATTAGAAGGCACCTGCACTATCGGAGTAGTTGTAAATGTATATTGCAAACGCTAGGGCAACCAACTAAAAAAAAATTTTTAAGAAGTATGGCAGGTATGCTAATAAAGGAGAGAAAATTGAGTCACATAAAATGCTCATTAAAAAAACAACAAAATACAGAAGAGTGGGAGACAAAAAAGAACAAAGAACAAGGGCAACATCACAGCACAAAAAAAAATATGTGGGGCAATGCATGTTAATTAGCTCAATTTAGCCATTTCATGATGTATACATATTTCAAAACAATGTGTTATAAATTATATATATACAATTTGTATTTGTCAAGTAAATAAGAACAAGGGCAACAAATAGGAAATAGTAATAAATATGGTAAAACTTAATCTGACTGTATCAATAATCACTCTGAACATTAATGTTGTAAGTGCACCAATTAAAACACAGAGATAGCCAGACCTGATCAAAAAGGAAGACCCAACTCTATGTTGTCCGCAAGAAACACACTTCAAATATAAAGACATAAGTAGATTTAAAATAAAGGGATGGAGAAAGAAACACCATGCTAGCACTAATCAAAAGAAAACAAGAGTAGCTATATTAATTTCAGACAGAGAAAGCTTCAGAGCAAAATAAGTTATCAGGGATAAAGAGAGGCATTCAAAATGATAAAAGGGTTGATACTCCAAAATGACATAACAATTCTTAATGTGTGTGCACCTAACAACAGAGAGTCAAAATATGTGAGGCAAAAACTGATAAGACAGCAAGGAGAAATAGATAAATCCACTATTATAGTTGAAATCTTCAACACCCCTCTATCAGAAATGGACAGATCCAGCAGGCAGAAAATCGGTAAGGACATAGTTGAATGAAACAACACCATCAATCAACTGGATATAATTGATATCTATAGATTACTTTACCTGACAACAGCAGAGTATGTGTTCTTCTCAAGCTCACATGGAACATGGACCAAAATAGACCACTTTCTGAGGTACAAAACACACCTTAACAAATTTAAAAGAATAGAAACCATACAATGTCTGCCCTCAGACCACAATGGAATTAAACTAGAAATCAATAGGAGAAAAATATCTGAAAAATCTCCAAATACTTGGAAATTAGATGACACATTTCTAAATAATACATGGGTCAAAGAAGAAATCTCAAGAGAAATTTTTTTTAATTTGAAGTAAATGAAAATAAAAATACAACTTATCAAAATATGTTCAGTACAGAATTTGGCAAAAGCAATATTTAAAGGGAATTGTGTAGCATTGAATGCATATATTAGAAAAAAAGAACTAAAATTAGTAATCCAAGCTTCCACCTTACAAACCCAGAAGAGCGAATTAAATCCAAAGTAAGCAGATGAAAATAAATAATAAAAATTAGAGTAAAAATCAGTGCAATCAGAAACAGAAAATCAATGAAGAAAATAAACAAAACCAAAAGCTGGATTTTTTAAAAAGATCAATAAAATCAATAAACTTCTAACCTGGCTAACTAAGAAAAAAAATAGTAGATGCAAGTCACTAATATCAGAAGTGAGAGAGGGGACATCTTTATAGACCCCAATGACATTAAAAGAATAATAAGGGAACATTATGAATAACTCTATACCCACAAATTTGATAACCTAGATGAAATGGACCAATTCTTGGAAAAACACAATCTAACAAAATTCACATAAGAAAAATAGACAATCTGAATAGGCCTGTATCTATTACAGAAATCAAATTGATAATTAGTAACCTTCCTAAGCCGAAAGGCCCAGATGGATTCATCTGTGAATTCTACCAACCATTTAAGAAAGAAATTGCACCCATCCTCTACAATTTCTTTCAGAATATAGAAGCAGATGGACTACTTCCTAACTCATTCTATGAAGTCAGCATCACCCTAATACCAAAGCCAGCTAAAGAAATTGAAAAATGTATATATAGACCAATATCTCTCATAAACATAGATGCAAAAATTCTTGACACAATATTAGCAAATCAAGTACAATAACGTATTTAAACAGTATACATCTCAACCAAATGGGATTTATCCCCCATATGCAAGGCTGGTTCAACATTTAAAAATTCATCAATGTAATTCAGTCCCAGTCTGAAGGCCTGAGAACCAGGGGAGCCAATTATGTAACCACCAGTCTCAGTCCAAGGGCCTGAGAACTGGGGTGCCACTGGCATAAGTCCCAGGGTCTGGAGCCCAAAGGCCCAAGAACCAGGACCTCCAATGTCTGAAGGCAGAAAAAGCTGGATATCCCAGCTTAAGAAGAGAGAGCAACTTTGCCCTTCCTCTGCGTTTTTGTTCTATTTCAGTCCTCAACAGATTGCATGATGCTCACCTACACTGGTGAAGGTAGGTCTTCTTTGCTAGACTATTGATTCAAATGCTAATCTCTTCCAGAAACACCCTCACGGACACACCCAGAAATAATGTTTTCCCAGCTATCTGGGCATCCCTTAGTATAATCAAGTCGGCAAAACTGAAGCAAACCACCATGGCACGTGTATACCTATGTAACAAACCTGCACATTCTGCACATGTATCCCAGAACTTAAAGTATATTAAAAAAAAAAAACTAACCACCACAGACTATTATCCAAAATAAACAAAAAACCTTTAAAACTCAATAAGAAAATAAAAAACCCAATTAGAAAATGGACAAAAGACTTGAAAAGACACCTCTTCAAAGAAGATATACAGATGGCAAGTAAAGAATTGAAAAGATGTTCAAGATCATATGTCATTGGGGAATTGCAAATTAAAGCAATGACATATCACCACAAACCTAGCAGAATGGCCCTAATCCAAAACACTCAGAACTCTAAATGTTGGCAAGAATGTGGAGCCACAGGAACTCTCATTCATTGCTGGTAGGAATGCAAAATGGTACAGCCACTTTGGAAGGCAGTTTGGTAGTGTCTTACAAAATTAAACATACTCTTATCATAAAATCCAGCAATCACATTACTTGGTATTTACCCAAATGAACTGAAAACATATCCACATAAAACCCTGCACATGGATGTTTATAGTAGATTTACTTATATTTGCCAAAACTTGAAAACAGCCAAGATGTCCTTCAGTAAGTGAATGGATGAATAAACTATGGTACATCCAGATATTGGACTTTATTCAGTACTGAAAAGAAAGGAGCTATCAAGCCATAAAAAGACATGGAGGAAACTTAAATGCGTATTACTAAGTGAAAGAAGTCAATACAAAAAGCCTACATACTGTATGGTTCCAACTGTATGACATTCTTGAAAAGGTAAAACTATGGAGACAGTAAAAAAAGATCAGTGATTGCCAGGGATTGTGTGGAGTGAGGGATGAATAGATTAAGCACAGATAATTTTTAGGGCAGTGGAACTGCAGGCATACCTCGTTTTATTGCAGTTTGCTTTATGTGATTTGCAGATGTTGCATTTTTCACAAATTGAAGGTTTTGCCAACAACATGTGCTCACTTTGTGTCTCTGTGTCACATTTTGGGAATTCTTGCAATATTTCAAACTTTTCCATTATTATTATATCTGCTTTGGTGATCTGTGATCAATGACCTTTATTGCTACTGTTGTAATGATTTTTGGGTCACCAAACCACACCCATATGAGACAGCAAACTTAATTGATAAATATCATATGTTCGGACTGCTGGCCAGCCATTCCCCTGTCTCTCTCCTTCTCCTCAGGCCTTCCTATTCCCTTAGACAAAACAATATTGAAATTAGGCCAATTAATAACCTTACAATGGCCTCTAAGTGTACAAGTGAAATGAAGAGTTGCACATCTCTCACTTTAAATCAAAAGCTAGAAATGATTAAGCTTAGTGAAGAAAATATATCAAAAGCCAAGACAGGCTAAAAGTTAGGCCTCTTGCACCAACCAGTTGGCCAAGCTGTGAATGCAAAGGAAAAGTTCTTGAAGGAAATTAGTCTACTCCAGTGAACACATGAATGACAAGAAAGCAAAACAGCCTCATCTCTGAAATGGAGAAAGTTGGAGTGGTCTGGATAGAAGATCAAACCAGCCACAACATTCCTTTAAGCCAAAGCCTAATCCAGAGTAAGGCCCTCAACATGCAGGCAAGACCCTCCACCAGCAAAAAGATGATGACTCGCCAAAGGCTCAAATAATGGTTGGCAATGAAGTATTTTTTAATTAAGGTACATACATTGCTCTTTTAGACACAATGCTATTGCACGCATAATTGACTACAGTATAGTGTAAACATAACTTTTATATGCACTGGAACACCAAAAAATGCATGTGACTCACTTTATTGCAATATTCACATTATTGTGGTGGTCTGGAACCAAATCCACAATATCTCTGAGGCATGCCTGTACTCTGTACAACACTGCTCTGGTGGATCCACACCATACATTTGTCCAAACCCATAGAACATACAACACCAAAAGTGAACCCTAATGTGAACTATGGTCTTCGGCTGATAATGTGTCAGTATGGGCTCATCAGTTGTA
Organism: Homo sapiens; assembly: GCF_000001405.40. Taxonomy (NCBI): domain Eukaryota; kingdom Metazoa; phylum Chordata; class Mammalia; order Primates; family Hominidae; genus Homo; species Homo sapiens. Next base: position 18,143,693 of record NC_000023.11, read on the forward strand.
ACAAATGTAGCACCCTGGTGAGGGATGTTGATAGTGCGGGAGGCTATGCATGTGTGGAACCAGGGGAAATATGGAAAATCTCTGTATTTCCCCGCCCAATGTTGCTGTGAACCTGAAACTGTTCTTAAAAAAAAAAAGTTTATTGATTTTTTAAAAGTACAATGAAATATTCTGCAACCAGCAATGTAGTTCAAGCTTATTCAGCTAGATATAAAATCAGAAGAACAAAACAAGTAGGAAACTGAGGGACAGAAGTGTTGCAGGTAATAACAGCACAACCAGCATTGGAACCCTGGCAATGCGTCTCTGGAGTGTGCACACTGTGCACTATGCCACCCTGACTCTCAGTTGTTCATTACCATTATTACTATTATTTTGCAAACAGGAACATTGAGGCTTAGAGTGATCAACAACTTGCCAAGTTCCCAGTTTCAATAAAAGACATCACGAGATCCCAGGTTTGAAGCACTGACCCCCAGTTCTTCCTCCACTCTTCTCACATTGCCTCTACACTCCCTCATGTCTCCCTCCTCACAGAATCTGGAAAGATCCAAATGTATTATCTTGTCAAGGAGTAAATTTTGTTCCAAGTACAACATTTCAATACTCAGATCCTTCCAGAAGCAAAACCGTCTCCTCTTCACTTTCAACCCGGCTTAATTGTCAAAATGAGAAGAGGATATTCACTAATGCAAGCTGTCAGCCAATACGTGGTGGACTCAATCCGCTGGAGGACTCCAGCGTTTTCAGCATGTTTGTCTTTGGCACCCATGTGCCATAAGATACAGAGGGTGAGTAGAACACAGACCGGAATGAAACCCATGTAGAAATGTAGCCGGCAAATGGCTGATAGAAGGAGATTTAAAAAAAAAAAAAAAAAAAAAGGATGTCCACTGAGAGGCACTAGAAGAGATTTTTTAATTCTCTCAAAGCTTGCCCAGCTGAAAGGGATCTGCTTTGGTATAATTCCCTGACCCACTTTTTTTCCTAATAAGAGATAGATAGCCAAGATACCCAGATGTGAGGGATACTGTCTCTGTAGAAGGCTCTTATCTGATTAGACACTGCTTTCATTTTATAGCAATTCATATTTCCAAGGGCATCTCCTTCTTTGCTTCATTTTACATCCCAACTTCTATTTCCTTCCACAAAACCCAAGGCACTATATCTTCCAGTTAATGCCACAGTGCACCAGAATGCACGATTATGTGCAGTCTAATTTCCTTTAGGTCATGTTCACATTCAATTATTTTATGCATATTGAGAGTAACTCAATATGTATAATCTTTCCTTTGAATTTTTAAGCTGAGAGTTCAGTCTGCTCTAAGATAAATTAGACATTATTCCTAAGCCTTATGTGCTCTAGTGAACTACTCTAAGGCCTTGGGGTTTCAAACAAATGTCTTTCTTTTTCTCCTTTCAGAAAACTAAGCTGGGTCTCAAAGTATGTCCCTTGCTATTGTGATTTCTTATTATTTCCTTTCATCCCTAGAAGAAATCTCTCAGTTCAGCATGATCCAGTGCCTCAGTCACAATAGGCTGAGTGATGTTTGCTTAAATAACAGCCCTTCCCAGATGGCTGATGGTAGCTTCAGGTCAAAACATAATGAAACTAAAGAGTGATCAGTGTTCAGAAATCACTGGAGTGTTGCTGGGTATGTAAGCATAATGAAATTCTATCAGATCCTCTGATTAATGGCAAATCTGAGAAGGAGAAGAAGTTGGAAAAGGCAAATTTTTTTGTTTGCTTGCTTTGGGAGCCAGAGGAAACAGTGGCTTCTGGCTGTTAAGGGTTGAAGGGTTTCAGAAAAGTAAAAAGGGGGCTGTGTGTGTGTGTGTGTGTTTGTACATAAATAATTATATGTCATGCACAACGATCATAGTAAGTCTCCCATTTCCAAAAACCATTCCAGGGAAGAATGTCAAAAATAATCGAACTTACCACCTATTATCAAACCTATGGTAGGTTTTATTGTCTGGGAGGTTATAAGCATCTTAAAGAACTTGGCAAGAAATTTAAGCTTGAAGGTAAAATAGTACTTTCTTTTTAAATTTTATCCTGGTATATTTTTATCAAAGCCTTCAAATTACGAAATGTCAAAAATCCATTTACAATCTCTATTTTCACCCCATATGAAAATATTTTATATTATCCCATTAAATATATTTATACTTGGTATATACTAGAGCCAACTATAAGGAGTCCTACCAAAGAAAAGACACATTTATTCAGTTCTAAAATTAACATTTAAAAATAGGTAAGCCATGCAATAATGATTCCCTATCTATATATGTTGTTCTACACTTTTCAAGGCATTTTCAAGTTTATGATCTCCTTTAAGCTTCATAATAACTCTACGGAGAGGAAAGGGCAGATACCATTTGCATCATTTTACAGTTGAGGAAACCAGAACTCAGACAGTATGGTGGAAGCTGGTCAGTTGTCCACCACACCGTGTCCCTTTTCCTTTTGGGTGCAAAGCAAGACTACATTTCCCAGGATCCCCTGCAGTTAGATTTGAACATGTGATGGGTCCTGTCCACTGGAATATGGGTAGAAGTGATGTATACCACTTCATGGCCTGACCCACACAACCCTCCAGTATATAAGCCTCCCATTCCCTTTCCTCAGTGACTACCTGAATGAAGATGATTCTAAGGACTGCAAGGATAGCAAAGCTGCAAGATAAAAGAAGGCTGAGTCACAACTAAGAGGAGAGTTACCCAGAAAATCCACCCTGTCAGAAATATGCACTGAATTGTTACATGCATGGGAAATAAGCTTATGTTGTTTTAAATGATTGGAATATTGGGGTTATTACTGCACCAGTTATCATACATTAATACAGAGAAGTTAAACTATTTACCCAGTGTTATACAGCTACTTAATTTAGAAAAAAAAAGCCAGGATTAGAACTCTGTTTTTCTAGTGCGTAGTTTAATATTCATTTGTTTACTAGCAAAAACCATATGTAATGCACTGTGCTGTACACTATTGATAATCCAGTAACTGAAAGATTTGGAAGGATAGACAAGTCTTTGCATCTCTCAACTCTCTGATGATCTCCTCCTTCTGCTTTCTCCACGTGTTCTTCTAGTAGTTACTTCCTCAAGTATCCCAGCAACAAGAAAATACAATAACAGATAGCAGGCTTTACTGATCTAAAAAGAGGACTTACATTTGAAAATTATCTCCCCTGAGTTCCCTTCCTTCCTGATAGTATAATCAAGAGTTAATAAAATATATATTCTCTTCTACTGAGATGGGCTCAAATCGACTTCCTTTAGAAGGAACCTGATAAATGAAGCTGCCAGTACATGCAGAGAACAGGAAGTGACTGAAGTCTCGTTATATGTCACAGACAGATGCTGTCAAGAAGCCAGAGGCCAGAGGGCAAGAGCCAAGGCAAGCAGGGGTAGCGAATCTGCTAGGTGAGAGACACTAATGAGAGCAAGATTCCACCAGGCCAGAGACAGACAGCAGCAGTTATTCAGGACCCTGGAGAGCTCTTAGCCCACGATTGCTAAGAATGTTTATTCTGAGAACGCCATCAGGTAGTTTGCCCTTTTTTCTGAACTCCCTAGTTCATAAAAGGGGCTTGTCCTTTCTATGAATGCCTCGATTTCTATGAAACAAGAGATTCATTCTCATGCTTTCTGAGAAGTTCAGTGTCTATGTCCAGTAGATAGGTGGAGGCTGTCTTATCTAGCTTTACTGAGGGTCACACCTCAGAAAATCTAGAAAAGTACATAACCAGAGGTCATCATTCTCTTTGATTATCTATGTTCTAGGAGCTTTCTCCTTTCTAGGTTAGAGGCTGGTGCTTAGGTGAGTCTGGTTCCAAACATGTTACCAAGGAAAATTTTATTACTATGTCAACCATTTCATTAGCCCTTTGACCCTAACAGGAAGATTGCCAAAATTATAGATCTTTTTCTTTCTGAAAGTGTGTTCTCAAGCAAGGTAACAGATATTCCATGAAAATGGATTCTATAGTAAAATAAGTTTTGGAAAGCTTTGAATTAAATTGTTAAATATTTACAGTGCTTATATATATGTTTTCTTCCTCTATAAAGTACAATGTGATGAACATTTTCAAGTATATAAGTTTATTTTCCTCTTAGGATCTTGTTTCCTTTGTAGATATGTTCCTCCAAGTAGAATTACTGAGTTAAAGAACTAGAACAATGCTATATCACTATACAGGTATGGCCAAATCCAAGTAGGTTTGTATAATTTCACTTCCATCAGTAGTGCATGAAAACATCAATTTCAATTTTAATTGTACTTGATTAGTAACTTGACTTATATTCTTTGATGACTAGTACCTAGAAAATTAGGTAGTAGTCGTGCTAGCACTACTTCTATAAAGTACCTTGAACTGTGTCTGGCCCCTAATAGATACTCAATAAATATTTGTTTAATGTCAGAATGAAAGGTTTAACACTTTCTCACATATTTGTCTATTTAGCACAGTTCCTCATTGGGAATTGTCTGTCTTTTTTCTTCTTTATTATCAGGGTAGTAATGTTTTTCTTTTTCATTTGGTTAAGACATTAAGCCTCTGTTTCTCATATTTGTTGAAAATATTTCCCCTGTGTTGTTTAATTTCTTAGGTACACAATTTTAATTTTTATGTAATCAGATTTTTCAGTCATAATAATTGTGATGTTTTATCACTTTAAAGATTATGAAACTTATGGCAAACTCCAGAGACCTCATAAAGTTCACTGTTTTTCCTTTTGAATTAATTTCTTATATATAATTTATTCATTTGGTATTGTAGTGTGAGATGTGGGTCTAAATAGATGTTTCTCTAAATTAGTAACAGATATCTCAATACAAGTTTCAAATATCATGAAAAGAAATAATATGAGATGAGATGGAATTATCTAACACTCTCCTGTGTGGTTTGCACCATCCTGCTCTCAAAAGGTTTATAATCTTGTTGTCAAAGGCCAGACTTTTGACTACATCATTTATCTGTTTGAATATAGCAATCTAGTGCCCTTAAAATGTTTTAAAGTAGATGTTGAAATGTCACTTACACAATTCAAATATGCAGTAAAAATATAGTTTCTCTACTTCATAACCTGATATATTATTCTTCACAGACCCCAATAGCATTTATTTCTAAGCCCATGTGTCTTCTCTAGGCTACAGCTTGGATCTTGGGGAAGTGGGATTCATGTGAAATGGTGGTCTTGAATTTTCTGGTGCTGTGTCCCATGCTGGTCTTGAGGTCAGTGACTGCAGCTGGTGAACTTGTGATTTGTTTTTGTTTATTGGCTCAATATACTAGAAGAGTATTGGCCCTCTCCCTCTGGCAACTTCAATCTAATCTCTAGAAATCCCTCTGGGTCTCTTTTACAACCTCCTCCTCAACCCCTGGGAGCAGAGTTTACCCTCACCCTCTGCTCCAGATGACTGCACCCTGTCACAGGCAGCCTCATGGGCAGCTTCCTGGCTCCAACATATGGTCCACGTTGCACGAGAACTAAGGTTGACTCAAGAGTGCTAATCAGGCCCCCACTGCAGAGGACACTATTGGTGCTCCACAGTGATTCCCTTTACCAATCAATCACCCATTCCTCAAGCCGTTGCATGTTGATTACTAAGAGATTACCCTTCTTTGCAGAACTTCCCCCAGCTGAATGAGAACCCCTGCTGCCCAGGAAGCTATACCTACCTCTGCCTTTGGGGCACAACCCATACTAAATGCCACGGAGATATAAAATTCTGGCGTCCTTGCTTCAAGGGGAACCAACTCTGTGGTGCAGTTTATGCTACAGAACTCCTTGTGGAATCAGGCTGAAACTAAGAACACATCCTTACTTAGCACCTTCCCCTGCTCTGTTCCTCTTATCTCCCTCCCCTTCTTCTGGAAGCATTCATCCAATAAACAGCATCCAAGGAATCCCTATCTCCAGCTCTGCTTCTGGAGAGCATGACCTAAGCTGCTCACTGTGTCTGATGATGCCTCTCTTTGCTAGGCTGAGTCATCCCATTGTCTCAGTACTATTTATTTTAATGACTGACATTTCTCCTCTGTTCTACAGTGCAAGGTATGTCAAATATTAACCTTATGTGTAGATAAATTTCTGGGTTCTCCATTCTATTCCATTAGTCTATATTTTCTATCCTTGAAAAATAATATACTGCCTTCATTACTACAGATTTATAACAGTTTTGATATCCAGCGGATCAAGTCTTTCTGCTTTGTGGGTTTTTTTTCTTCTTCAAAAGGGTAATGGCTATCCTTGGCCTTTTGTATTTGCATATAAATTTTAAAATCAATTTTTCAAGTTCCACCAAAGACATTTATTGGAATTGCATTGAATTTAGAAATAAATTTAGGGAGAATTGACATCTTTTTTGCTCAGAGTACTGTGGTATATCTCCCCTTTGTGGCATTTCTTTAATGCTTCAAAATAAGGCTTCATCATTTTATTCTGTAACGATCTTGCACATTCTTTATTAGATTTATTTCTATATATTTTATATTAATTTCATTTTCTGTTTGCTCGTGGTATGGAGAAATATATTGGATTTGGGGATATTGAGGTTTTGTACCCAGAGACTGTGCTAAATTTTCTTAGTAATTTCAGTAGTTTATCAACCAAGTCATTTGTATTTTCTATGAATACAACCATATCATCTGTAAATAATGCAGAAAGTTTTCTGTTTCTTTCTTTCCAATTCTTATGGCTTTATTTCCTTTTCCTTGTCTTATGTACTGGTCAGAACATTGTTCACAGTGTTGAACAGCAGTGGTTATCAGGGTCATCCTTGTTTTGTTCCTGATCTCCAAGATAAATTTTTAAATATTTTGTAATTTAATATGATGTTTGCAGTAAGTCTTTTGGAGATTAAAGATGTTCTTTTCTACTCCTACTTCACTAAGAGGATTTTTAAATCATAAATGGTTGTTTAATACTATCAAATAAATTCTCTACATCGATTAAAACAATCATGTAATTTTTTTTTTTTGAGACAGAGTCTCACTCTGTCACCCAGGCTGGAGTGCAGTGGCACGATCTCAGCTCACTGCAACCTCCGCCTCCCGGGTTCAAGCGATTTTCTTGCCTCAGCCTCTCGAGTAGCTGGGAATACAGGCAGACATCACCATGCCTGGCTAATTTTTGTATTTTTACTAGGGACGGGGTTTCACCATGTTGGCCAGGCTGGTCTCAAACTCCTGACCTCAAGTGATCCACCCACCTTGGCCTCCAAAAGTGCTGGAATTACAGACATGAGCCACCACACCCGGACCATGATGTAATTTTTTTCTGACTCTCGTATGTGATGAATTACACTGTTTGATTTTCTAATTTTAAGTCACCTTTGCATTCCTGGGTCAAACTTAATTTGGTCACAATGTATCATGTTCTGTGAACTTTTCTATACCTGTCTTTTGGTATGCTGTGTGCACATTTCTTTTGGCTGCTATATATGGGAGTGAAATTGCTAGATCACGGGGTATTGAAGTTGGTTTTAAAGAAAAGAGTATGAGTTTAGCTTCAGGTGTATTGAGTCAAAACTTCGGGGGGACATCTAGAAAGAATATTCAGCAGGCAATTAAAAATGTGGGCCTGGAGTCTGTGTAGAAGCCAGAAACATGGACTTGAGAGTCATCAACATAAGGCTTATATCTGAAGCCATCGGAATGGAATGTTCTTTGTTGGGGAGGATCAGGGAAGAGAGAAGAAGACTCCAGATTAACACCTGGAAAACACCTATAGCTAAGAGGCAGGAAGACAGCCACTAGAGAAAGGTTGGGAGAAAGACGGAGAAAATATCGAGCTTCCCTCACTATGAAGAAAACAAGGGTAAGAAGGTGCTTAGATTTGGTGATCAGGAGGCCATTACACTATTTTCTGCCTTGCTGTAGCTGCTGCTACAGCTACTGCAGGGTGCTTGTTTGGTTGTTTTTTGTTTGTTGGTTTGGTTTGGTTTGTGTGTGTGTGTGTGTGTGTGTTTGTTTTTTTTGTTTTGTTTTGTTTTTTGTTTTTTGCTTGCTTATTAATCTTTATAAAGTTATTTGGTTACTTTTGGAGTAATTCCAAGTTGTAGGACTGTTATCAGCCCTGGCAGCTGCTTAAGAACATTCTCTCCCACCCCACAGAAACACTCAGGACAGAGTACTTAATGAGCACTTACTAATTATAGACCCATCAGTCAAAATTATGACCTTTAAAATAGCAGGCTTTCAAAAGTCAGCTGAAGGTGCAAGTGCCACAGGACAAAGCAGTCACACAAATGGATAGGGAAAAAAAGAGGTTCCCTTTAAAAGCTATTAACTTCACGGAATTGGGTAACTTGGGTTTTATGACTTTATATGCTGAACCTCCCTTCATGCTACCTTTTGCAACTCCGGTCAACACTTCTTTAGGCTCCTTTTCAAAGGTTACTGGTGACAGATCATGAGAAAACAGAAAGGGGGAAATGAAGAAGGTCAGCTGAGCTTTGTGGATAAAACATTAAAGTTTGGGAAGATTTCACTAGCTTGCCTCTACTGTCTGTGAGCAGGGATTAAAGCAACATATACACGATATGTCATTAAGTGCACAGACACAGCCCTTGATAAGGTTTGGCTGTGTCCCCACCCAATTCTCATCTTGAATTGTAGCTCCCATAATTCCCACATATTATGAGAGGGAGATAAATGAATCATGGGGCAGTTTCCCCCATACTGTTCTCGTGGTAGTGAATAAGTCTCACAAGATCTGATGGTTTTATAAGGGGAAACCCCTTTCACCTGGTTCTCAATTTTCTCTTGTCTGCCACCATATAAGATGTGCCTTTCACCTTCTGCCATGATTGTGAGACCTCCCCAGCCACGTGGAACTGAGTCCATTAAACCTCTTTTTCTTTGTAAATTACCCAGTCTCGGGTATGTCTTTATCAGCAGGGTGAAAACAGACTAATACAACCCTCAAATATGTAGTGAACATTATTCCACAAGATAAATATTTATCATGCATTTACTATATTCTTGGCAAAGGAAAGACAATTAGCCTTGCAGAAAACATCGTATCAGCAATATAAATGGTCAAAAGGCAAAAGAAAATGAGAACATGAGATGGGTGATAAAGAAAGAAATAAAATGGATAACTTCAAAACTAGAAGAAGAAAACAAAAATGAAATACACAAACAGGAACAACAGCAAAGCAAAAATTGAACCCAAATATATCAGTAACCTTTGTTTCAGTCACTATCTTTAAAAGATAAATAAATTTGTTTATATTGGGTGGATGAAAAACAAAAGCCAAGCATAATCTATTTATAAAAAGGCACACCTAAAACATAATGACATATATAAGCAAAAATAAAAGATGTACTAGACAAATAATAACAAAAATCTACCTAGCAAAATTAAGAGAAGGAAAAATGGAATTTAGAGGAAAAACTTAGTAGGAATAAAGAAAGACCTCACTTGATGACAAAAAGAACAATACACCAAGAAGATATAACAATTTTGAACCTGTAGGCACTTAATAATGTGGTTTCAAACTGGGCATGATGGTTCATGCCTGTAATCCCAGTACTTTGGAAGGCTAAGACAGAAGGATCACTTGAGGTCAGAAGTTCAACACCAGCCTGGGCAACATGGCAAAACCCTGTCTCTACAAAAAATACAAAAAATTAGTCAGGAATGATGGTAGTCCCAGTCTGTAGTCCCAGCTACTCAGGAGGCTGGGGTGGGAGGATCAATTGATCCCAGGAGGTCAAGGCTGCAGTGAGCTGTGATCGTGCCACTGCACTCCAGCCTGGGTGACACAGCAAGATCCTGTCTCAAATAATAATAATAATAATAATAATAATAATTTGGTTTCAAAATATATAAGGCAAAATTTTTATAACAGATATACCATCATAGAAGGAAATTTTACTTAACTTTTCTCAAGAACCTATTGATAAGGTGGCTATATATATATATATATATATAAATAGCAAAGATTTAATCTTCACTGAAAACACAGCTTGATCTAATGTTTATATACAGAATAGTGTACTCAACAAATAAAGAATGCACATTCATTTTGAGATCATATGGAACATTTATAAAAATTGACCACATACTAAGTAGGCTATAAAGAGAATCCCTCCAAGTCCAAATCTGGGGAACCAAGGGCTGGTTACTGAACTTGCATTCATGGTGGAGAGAAATCTACTAATACTATTGGCTTTCTTTAGTTCAGAGACTGGGAAAGTCCCAGCCCCGAGTAGCCAAGTCAGAAGCAGCTGGCCAACTGGTCCAAACTAAGATTATGTCAGATTCCAAGAAAGTTTTCTGATGAATCAGAAAACATGACTTAAACTAAATCACTGGAAGCTCTACATTTGGGGGTTCAGAAGCAAAACCACTTAAAAGACATTAAAATAAGAAATGAGTGTGATTGTATTATTGTCTAGTTTGCTGCTTTTCCTGGGTTCATTTTTCTATCCAATGGCAAACTGCAAAATCATCTCAACTGCCACCTTCCATTTCTGTTGTACCTTCACACGTATTAATTCACTTGATCCTCACAATAAGCCTGTGAAGTAAAGAAAGTAATATTATTCTTATTCATTAAGCCAAAGTAGATGAAACCTACCACTTGTCCATCACCAGAAAATAAAAATTCTTTGATGATAGAAAACTCAGATTGTGCTTAAAAATAGCTGCATGCTATTCTGGATAGCCAATAGCATCTTTGTAACATTTACCCCATCACTAACCTATCAGCAGAAAGTTCATTTTGTCAGCAGGGCAGCAGGATGAAAGTTCTGGGAAATTATCAGTCCCATAACAGTTTTCAACCCAAGAACTGATTGTCTTTGGGATATAAAAGCTTTGGGAAGCAAGGCGGATGGATCGCTTGAGTCCAAGAGTTCGAGACCAGCCTGGCCAACATGGCGAAACCCATGGCGAAACCCATCTCTACTAAAAATACAAAAATTAGCTGGGCATGATGGTGAGCACCTGTAGTCCCAGCTACTTGAAAGGCTGAGGCAGGAGAATCACTTGAACCCGGGAGGCAGAGGTTGCAGTGAGCCAAGATTGCACCACTGCACTCAAGCCTGGGTGACAGAGTGATACTGTGTCTCAAAAAAAATATAAAAAACAACTGGGAAGAGCAATCCAAGTAGAGCTCCCATGAGTTCGACTGAGGCCTTTGTTGTAATTGTGGGGTTCACATCATCCCTGTGCTGAATCCTGCTACCTTGGTATCAACCCGCTGTCACACGTTAGAGTACCAACCTGTATACACAGAGACATACCTCAGGTCTATGAATTGGTTAATATCTCTTAATAATTGACAAGCTGGTGAGTGTGCCAATGTGAACACGTCTGTTCTCAGGCCCACAGTTTGTAAATTGGGTAAAAACTTTTCTTCTTAAGCTGGTATTCTTAGGCAGATCAAAAGGGCATTTAAACAATAATTGTTCTTGGAATCCAGTAAGTGAATATAAGTACAGAATACTACCTTGCTAGGCACCACAAAAATATTTAATGTATCAATGTGATATATCTCCCTTAAACAGACAGGATTAATCAGTTAAGTAAACCAACAATTAGGTTGAAAACACAAGCGCTCATAGAACAAAGTGATATCCACTAAGATGTAAAATTTATTTCAGGAACATCAAGCAAGTGACTTACTTGGAAACTCACTTAAGTGGTGCCATTAAAATTCTGAAATGTCAACATTCTTTGGGAATGGAGTATATTAGAGATGCAAATGTACAATTCCCTCCTGGAGCTGGGCTTGGACAATCTTGTTCAAGTCAGAGTAAAAGGCTCTAATGATTTTGAATGGCTATCTCAGTTAAAGCAGGACTCTTAGCTGGCCATTTAGGGATAAACAAAATATATTGGATCATGAATATGCATATATATGTTCCTCTTTCTCCCTTTCTCTCTCTCTCTCTCTCTCTCTTCTCTCTCTCTCTCACACAAACACACACACACACACACACACACAAACACACACACACACCACTCTTCCTGTTTTTGAAAGGGGAAAAGAAATCTACCCTGCCTATATCTTGAAGGGTGACATTTTCTTTAAACAGACATATGAAATAACTTTGGCTTAAAAAAACAACAATCAGCAGGGCAAAATGGCTCATGCCTGTAATCCCAGCACTTTGGGAGGCTGAGGCAGAAGGATCACTTGAGCCCAGAGGTTCAAGACCCCAGCCTGGGCAACATGATGAAATCTTATCTTTACAAAAAATACAAAAATTAGCCAGGCATAGTAGTGCATGCCTGTAGTCCCAGCTACTCAAGAGGCTGAGGTGGGAGGATCGCTTGGGCATGGGGGGTCGAGGCTTCAGTGAGCCGTGATTGTACCACTGCATTGCAGCCTGGGTAACAGAGTAAGAACCTGCCTCAAAAAAAAATCCTAAAGCTCAAAGTGCTGTTATTGTGATGGGTAGCGGGGTCCTTGAGAGGTGATTAGGTCATGAGAGCAGAGCCCTTATTAGTGGGAGTAGTGCCCTTATGAATAAAAAAGGCCCCAGAGACGTCCCTCGCCTCTTCCACCATGAGGACACAAGAAGATGGCCATTTATGAACAGGTTCTCACCAGATACTAAATCTGCCAGCACCTTCACCTTGGACTTCTGGTCTAAGGTACTTTGTTATAGCAGCTCAAGTGGACTGAGACAACTGGATTCACAGAAAACCTTTGGCTACGGCTTTATTTAGAGCTAAAATTCCATGGTTTAACCAAAGGAATTTTTTTCATAAGATATCCAGTTGAGATCTCAGTGCCAGCCCCAGCCCAACTGTGTAACTGTCCCTTGCAGCACTCTTCTTCTAGATCAAGTGTTGCATTTCCTGTTACTGTTACATGAATTAGAATTGGCCTATTTTAAATTACACATTCATTTGCATTATAAACAATACAAACAAGGATGTGGTTTGGCTCTGTGCCCCCACCCAAATCTCATCTCGAATTATAATCCCCACGTGTTGAGGGAGGGGCATGTAAATCCCCGCATGTCAAGGGAAGGAAGTGATTGCATTATGGGGGTAATTTCCCCCATGCTGTTCTTGTGATAGTGAGTGAATTCTCACGAGATCTGATGGTTTTATAAATGGTAGTTTTTCCTTTGTTCACACACACTTCTCTCTCCTGCTGCCATGTGAAGAAGGTCCTTGTTTCCCATTTGCTTTCCACCATGATTGTGAGTTTTCTGAGGCCTCCCCAGCCATGTGGAACTGTGAGTCAATTAAACCTCTTTCCTTTATAAATTACCCAGTCTCAGTTATGTCTTTATAGCAATGTGAAAATGGACGAATACAAACAATGATGCCTCCCACACCTATTTATTCCTTTCCACTCCCCAGAAGTAACCCCAACTATGCATCCAGCAACTGTCCTCTAATTTGTGTGATGCATTTACAAATTACACATATATACCCATGTGGTCTTTAATAATGCAAATGGAATTGCATTTCATTTACTCTTCTGTGACTTGCTGTTTGAACTTAAGAAATATGTCTCTGAAAGTTAGGACATGATTTTCAAATCATTTTATCTAGATTCATATTGCATTCTTTTTTTTACCAGTCCTTTGTTGAGGTATAATTTATTTACAGTCTACTGCACATAACTGACTTTGAGGACTTTTTACATGTACTTACAGTTGCTCTTTGATTTACAATGGGATTATGTCCCAATGAACCCGTCATAGGTTGAAAAGACAAGTTGAAAATGCAGCCTGAGAGTCTTTGGTCAAAGAGTCTCTGGTGCTTAAAGTCTGAAACCTTGTGGTTGCATATGACTTTCACACCATCATAAAGTTGGAAAATCATTCGTCAAACCACATAAGTCAGGACCATCTGTATTCCTGTGTGACAACTACCCAGATCAAGATGTAAAACATTTCTATTACCCCAGAAAGGCTCCCCCATACTCTTCCAGTCAATATCACCCCACAGATATTGAGATGGCGACTACACTGACTTCCAACACCATGCAGTAGTTTTTCCTGTTAAACATCACATTCGTGGACTCACATGCAGGTATTCTTCTGTGTCTGGATTTTTCTGTGCAACACAATATTCTAGAGCATCATCCATGTTTTTGCATGCATTGGTAGTTTGGGATTTTGTTGTTGTGGCTGCCGAGTGGCATTCCCACCAAAATCCGGGTTGTTTTCACTTTGGGGCATTTGTGAGTAAGGTTATTGTGAATATTCTCATAGAAGTCATTTTGTGGATATATGCACTTACTTATCTTGGGAATATATTTACAATTGTTGAGTCATTGGTACTGTCCATTTAATTTTATTACAAACTACCAAACATTTTCCCGCAGTGGCTGATATGGTTTGAATCTGGGTCCCCACCAAAATCTCATGTTCAATTGTAATACCCACTGCTGGAGCTGGGGCCTGGCGGGAGGTGACTGGATCCTGGGGGTGATTTATGATGGTGTAGCGCCATCCCCCTAGTGCTGTCTTGTGCTAGAGTTCTCACAAGATCTGGCTGTTTAAAAGTGTGTGGCACCTCCCTCTTCTCTCCCTCTTCCTCCTGCTCAGGCCATGTAAGATGTGCCTGCTACCCCTTTGCCTTCTACCATGAGTGAAAGTGTCCTGAGGCCTCCCCGGAAGCTATCATGCTTCCTGTACAGCTTGCAGAACCATGAGCCAATTAAACCTCTTTTCTTTATAAATTAGTCTCAGGTATTTCTTCATAGCACTGTGAGAATGACTAATACAGTGGCTATGCCACCTTACACTCCTACCAACAGCGTATGGCATTCCAGTTGTCCCATGACAGCACTTTGTATTTTCAGTCTTCACAATTTAAGCCATTCTGATGGATGGATACTGGCATCTCATTACAATTTTAATTTACATTAATCTGATGACCGATTATGTTGAGCACTTTTTCATGTGCTTATTGGCCTTTTCTATATCTTCTTTTATGACATGCCCATTCAAGAATCCTGCCCATTTTTAAATTGTATTGTTCAACTTTTTATCATTGATTTATAGGATTTTAAAATATATAATGGATCCAAGTTCTCTATCAGACATACGTATTGTGAATATTTTTAATCTATGTCTTGCCTTTCATGTTAATACTGACCACATTCTTTTTAATGGATGCCTATTTTCCCGTTGGAGTGGGAGTTTCTTCATCTACACTACAAGTTCTCTATTAATGGACATTCACATTCCCAGTGGGGGAAAAATGTGCTTTGGTGGAAAACAGCATTGCACATCCTTCTGGGTTCTCAGATTCTGCTTCTGCACCTTTCATTGTCTTTGGACCATTTTCGGATTCTGTAAATTGTGTATAACTGATAGCAATGCATCTATAGATGGAGATTCAATTGGCTGCCTGCCCTCGCTGTGGAAGAAGCCAATTTTGCCTTCATTTGCACATTCACTTTCATATTCCTGATGTCTTCATGTGTCCATTCTTTGGATTGTCCTTTGAAATGGTTGTAACATCTTACCAGTTCCCTCATTAGTACTAGATTCAATAAAATCTCCAGCATATGTTCATTTTATATCTGTATGAGAGCCATGATTTTACTTAAAAAAAAAAAGCACATCTTTCCAATTTTTTTCCTTTCACAAAGGATATTGCAGCCCTAATTACATATTTATCTTAGTGCACATTTATCTCTCTCAGGACTCAGAAGTCCTCATGCTCTCTTCACACTCGAAATCAAACCAACTTTGAGGAGTAGATTTAACAATGAAGGCATAAGGGATGAGTACAGACAGAACTTACATTTTCACAGGGGAAAAGGTCAAATTAGGCTCAAACTAAAGAAATAAAACTAATCATGGACTCTCAGACATGCTAAGGCAGGGTGACTGAGGAATGCCTTTGTTTATTGGGCATCTACTATTCTGTGTTAGGCACCAAAGACACAGTCTCGCCTGCCGGAAGCTCAGGCTAGTGACGAAGACAAATAATTAAGCAAGTGAGTGATGTTAAGGCTGACTCTGTGCGTTCTAATGCCACAAAGTAGAAGAAAGGGAATTTATCCATCTCTGATCCTCAGGTTTCTGAATGCTTCCAGAGTGCCTGGAAATGCTTTTTTATGCAAACAGCCTTTTATATTTGAAAGATAAAAGAAATTAAATTTTGATCTTCGTTTTTTTCAAATAAAAGCATACATCCTAATAACAAAGATATTCAGTTTTACTGATAAGAAATATCTGAAATATTCATTAAACTGCTCACTAGTGGGTATGGGCACAAGTGATTGTGAGTCCCTGTTTCTAATGGCACTGACTCCTGGGATAGTGAGAGGATCAAATGCATTAACATGTTATACTACATCAGGAGTTAGTTGGAGAAACAGAAGCCATGCTATGTACGCCAGGTATAAAGGGTTTTAACATAGGAATTAGTGGTTTACAGGATTATTAAAAGAGGTAGGAAAGACAAGGTCAAAGAAGGTGTCATCGAAGATAAAGGGAGCAGACACTGGAGACCTCAGCTTAAAGCACCGAGGTGGAAGATTGTCAAAAAGATTATTGGGGAGCTGCTGAGGTTTTAAAGAAGCAATGGAAATCCCCTCCCCTAGTCCCACCCTTGTCTGCTGTGAAGTGTGTGATTCTCATGAGTTCCTTAAGGAAGCTTCTGTAAATCTCATGCCTGCCCACATGTCTGGCCATGGGCAATAATGGCTTCTCGATCTCTTCTGCCTTCAAATTTTATGCAAGTTTCTCTCATTGACAAACTCTCAACTGGAACTGTACTAAGGCAAGAGTTCTGGGAAATGTGCTTCTCCGTGTCTCTTCTGGAAAGCACAGATTCTAGAAGGGGGGCAGTGGTGACACTGAGTTGAGGCGGGACAGTCCCACCCACATAGAAAGCACAGTGCCTGGCACTCAGCCAGAGCTTAATAAGCAGTGACGATCATCATCATCACCATTCATGAAGCAGCAGGGAAGCTGGGCCAGCGCTTAACTTTTGCTTTGTTTGAAATTACTGTTTTTCTTCCAGGATATCTGTCCACCATGCAGCCTCTTCATGCCCCTATTCCATTGTTCTACAGCCAAACAAAGAATTGGCTGTCACAATCCTGGAAGGCAACTGCTGGATAATTCAGTGGTATTGAAAATATATGAAGGGATTTATGGGTTAGTGATAACACCCCTCGCATAAAAGTGAGACTTTAGATCTAGTCCTGGCTTTGTTGCTAGCAGCTCTATGATTTGGGGCAAACTACTGAACTGTTCTTGTAACTATTTTATGGAAAAATCTAGAAGGCTGCAATATTGAGAAGAGCACATCAGCTCTGGGGTTTCTTCCCCGCAATGCATACCCTCAATCTAATCAGGAGAAAACATCAGACAAACCCAAAGGAAGGGACATTCTACAAAACAACTGACCAGTACTCTTCAAAAGTGTCAAGGTCAGGAAAAAAACAGGGAAGGACTTAGGAGCTGTCACAGGTTGAAGGAAAGTAAGATGTGACAACTAAATGCCAGGTGGGACTTTGGATTGAATCCTGGAAGTAAAAAAGAACTTCAGTGGAAAACCTAGTGAAATATGAAGACAGTTTGGAGTTGGCAGTATTGTACCAATGTTCCTTTCTGAGTTCTGATCATTGTAGCACAGTTATGTGGCTGTTAACCATGCTCGGGGGAGGCTATATGGGAACACTCTGTGCTATTTTTGCAACTCTTCTGTAAGTCCAAAATTATCCCCAAATAAAAACTTTAAAAATAAAAGACTGCTAAGTAGCATCAAGAGTGAATTCATCACTTTGCACTGGGCCTGCAAATGATGTAACCAGTCCTGTATGGAAGTATATGGAGAACTGGACGAAATATTTCCTAGGATGCAAAGCAATGAAGCAGCAGCAAAATGACTGCCCTGAGCTTGAGAGGGTCCTGGAAGGGGTGGAGACAGGAGCTGCTCAATCTGAATGGGACTTGGGGACAGGAATAAGAATGGCTGTGGGGCTGAGTGCAGTGGCTCATGCCTGTAATCCCAGCACTCTGGGAGGCCGAGGTGGACAGACCGCTTGAGCTCAAGAGTTTGAGACCACCCTGTGCAACATAGCAAGACCCCCATCTCCACAAAAAGTACAAAAATTAGCCAGGCGTGGGGGTGCACACCTGTAGTCCCAGCTACTTAGGAGGCTGAGGTGGGAGGATCGCTTGTGCCTGGGAGGCGGAGGTTGCAGTAAGCAGAGATCACTCCATTGCACTCCAGCCTGAGTGACAGAGTGAAACCCTGTCTCAAAAAAAAAAAAAAGCTTTATATATTAATAATATTTAAGAATTTTTTTAAATAAAATGGCTGTGGACCACTGACTGAAGACCAACTGGGACAAGGGACACACACCTCAACTGATGATGGCTACAGAAAACAACAAAAATCTGATTCTGATATCCTTTCCCCAGTTTGGAATTGTAGAAGACCCCTAGAACTTAGAAGTAAGTCTGGAGAAAATGACGGAAACACCACTCATTGGTATTCTCCCAAACAACCTCCGTTCGTGGCCCGGGTTGTTTTCTTGTCTTCCAAGGAAAGTCAAAAGCCTTGAATGACTAAGATTAAGTTTGCTCATAATAGAAATTAAGTAGTTATAGAAAAATAAAGTTAGATTTCCTGCCCTCCTGTGTTTGTGGACTGAGATTTGTACCTGTCTCACCCATCAGTTTTCCAAATTGATTTTACTAGCTATTTGAGATTACAAATTATTCTACGTTGAAGTAGATGAACATATTTTTTAGCATAGTGAGAAAGGTCATTGCAAATTTGATGCATTGTGAATTAAAATAAGTTAGGATGAAAGGAAGGGGTGACAAGTGCTTTACTCTTGCAGAAGAGTTAATATTGTCAGAACTCCATGGAGAAATTACTCCACTAGATATGGATATGGGCTATAAGGAAAACTGAAGGCCAGAGCCGAAAATCTTAGCTTTGCTGGCCAAAATGAAAATATTACCATATATTTAAATAAGTATTAAAGCATAAAAATGGCATGTGTTAATAACACTTAGATTTTACCCAGGAAGGACAAAGTACTGCCAAAGTTTTCAATAGCCTTATAATTATATCTACCATGGTAAATTACTGTTACTGGGTTAAACTATTCTGTTTTGCTTATCAAGGAAGAAAGTCAACATTCTAGCTGTGCCACATTTAATAAACTGGCTGAAAAATATGTGTCACATTAATATAAACCACTGTAGGTAACATCAGCAAAAGTTCTGTAAGATGAGTTCATTAAAAGAACAACCTGAGCATCTGTATTAAGGCATTTTAAATGTTTATTTATTGTATCTATTTGGGAAACAAAACATTAAAGATACATTTATTTATCAAAAATGAGTCTTATGAGCAGGCATTTAAAATGTTTAACATTGGACTAATACAGTAATAGTATTAACTTGTGAAATTTTGAAGACACAATTTTGAAGACACAATTCCACTTTAACATAAAATACAAAACACCTTTATAAAATGTATTTTGTCCAGTCAAATGTGATCCTCCCTCTTGAGCCCAGGAGTTCCAGATAAGCCTGGGCAATATAGCAAGATCTCCATCTCAAACAAAATGTGATTTTAAAGAAGTTATGTGTATATTATTCCTCTTCAAGCCATGGGAACCACTTTTAAACACTTTTTTTTATAAATAAGAGGCATTTTGAACTGTGCCATCCAACACAGTAGCCACTATCCACTTGTGGCTATTTCACTTTAAATTCTAATTAGCTAAAATGAGAGAAAATGTTAAATTTACTTCCTCTGTCTAATTAATTACATCTTAAATGCTCAATAGCCATACGAGCCTATTGGACATTGCAAATTTATATTTTTAATGTGGTATATTTATTTACATTTCCATCATGGTGGAAAGTTCTATCAGACAAGACTGCTCTAAATAACTTCTAAAAACCACTAATGTAATAAAGTTAGCAATAGAAGTCTTGAAATTTTTTTCTAAATGTAAAGTTTTGTTTCTGTGGTTTTGCTTCTAGTCCAGGGAATATTTCAGATACCACAAAATATAAACCAAATTCAAAATATGCATATACAATTTGAAATTTCTTCTTGCCTAGGGTCGAACTGTACTTTTCTTTTAAAAAAATTTTATTTTTAATTGACAAATAATAACTGCATGTATTTATGGGGTATGATGTGGTATTTTGATCTATGTTTATAATGTGGATTACTATTCTGTATTAGCTCTGTTACTAGTAGTTGTAAAAAACTTGTGAAACTGAACAGTGAATGAAGCCAAAGACTATCTTAGTTGGATTAAATCTGAATAATGGAAGTTAAAGCCTTTTTGCCCTTTATGGAAGATTTTTTTTTATGCAAGATTTTTTTAATTATCTACTTCTTTTTTTTCTTTTCCCGAGACGGAGTCTCACTCTGTCACCCAGGCTCGAGTGCAGTGGCACAATCTCGGCTCACTGCAGTCTCCACCTCCCAGGTTCAAGTGATTCTCCTGCCTCAGCCACCCGAGTAACTGGGACTACAGGTGCTTGCCACCATGCCTGGCTACTTTTTTTGTATTTTTAGTAGAGATGGGGTTTCGTCATGTTGGCCAGGCTGGTCTCGAACCCCTGACCTCAGGTGATCCACCCGTCTCGGCCTCCCAAAGTGCTGGGATTACAGGTGTGAGCCACTACACCCGGTAAATTATCTACTTTTTAAGACCTTTGTAGGCATAGCCTAACTTATAAAGATGTATGTAGAAGTACTATGGTTTTATTAAGCTGAAGGCAACTACTACAGCAAACTATTCAGAGAATTATTTTAAAAAATAAATCCTTAATATCTTTATAAAGCTATACTTCTATATTATAAACTATACATATATTTTGCTAAAATACTCTAAAAGTTGAATTTTGAAAAGATAACTTTGAAAATATGTATTCATTCTACAAATTGGTCACATAAAAATATCTTAAACTATCTCACAAGTCACAAAAATAAAAAGACTTGTCAAGTTTTATACGAATTATATTATTTGACTGAGTGGCTCCTTACTTTCTATTGAATTTCTTTCTCTACCTTATCAAAAAAACAAAGTATATTAATGTCAATTATCTAAGTCAAAGCCATGGGTCACAAGCCCATGAGGAGTTTACTACCATTCCCTCAATCAGAGGTTGTCATCAAATCCACAGATGAAACATTACGTATCTTCCTAATGTGATTCTACCTCCTTTATGAGCAGAAAAAGAGGTTTGGCGATTACTACAGGTGTCAATGCAAACTACTCTGCCAGTACAGCAGGCTGATTTTGGAATTAGAACTTGAGAAACTTACAAAATAGTCTTAACAGTTAAAAAAAAAAAAAAAGTTTGGCAGCTGCCGTTCAGGTGCTTGGGTCAGTGGCGTCGGGATCTCCTGGCTTTGACTCCTGCTCCAGCTCTGGAGGGGTCACTGCTGGAAGCGACTGAGACCTGGCTTCAGCCCTTCTGACGTCATGTCTAAGGCTACGGATACCGCTGTTGATGGAGGTCACACACGACTTCCAGTCTCTTCCATTTTCCGAGAGATCACAAATTGGGTAGTTTTCTTGGAGGAACTCTGATGGTAAAGACCCAAGACATAACAGTTACTTGCAAATCACTTCTCAGAGAAATCAATTCATTCAACTTTCATTCTACTACTGCGACTGTGAAAGGATCATTAACACTTTAATTAAACACACATAGGCTATAATCATTATTAAATTAGCTGGACAAATCTTTTAATCTAAAAAGAGAACTATATGAAACAGCACCATGCTTAAATCACAATAAAGCAACAATCTCCCATGACCTTGCCACATACCAGAATAGAAATCCTCTGCTGCCTTGAGTACCCAAGGTCAACTTTTGTTACTCTCAAAAGTATCAAAGAAGCGTCTAGCACGTCACTCATCAGCTCAAATAGAGACATGCTAAGCCTCTGCAATGAACAAGAGGCTGCAGTGTCATCCTACTTTGAGAGGGAAGAAGCTGTAACTGCTAACTTTTTTGGTACTGCTGGATTTATCTCTGATAAAAGGAATAAGGGTCTTTAGATCTTGCAATTAGAGGAAGACTTCTGAAAGGGAAGGTGACAGAGTAACATAATTCAAGGAGCACTCTTAGAGAAAGTAAGAAGACAGACAAGGAGAAAGGTAGGGAAGAGAGGTGTTTATTAGAAGAGCAGGGCTGCCCTCGGACACATCATTAGGTAATCAAAGGCCTAAGTGCCTTTCAGCCCTTGGAAAAAGATCTGGTGATCCCTACAGGTTAGCATTAGTTAGCTACATTAATCTCATTTGTTTTTCAATAGGGTTAATAGGCTAATAAATGAGGACAATGCCATAAACATCACATATATCCAAATTTTTTAGCAAAGCATGTGTCAAGGTTAAAAGGCTTCCGTACCCAAAGGACTAATTAATTAATGGATCAGCGGTAGCCTGGAAAAAGGTTTTTGTGGTATGTCACTGGATTCAGTATCCCACTCTATCCTGCTAACATTTTATTAACCAAAAATGAGTTCTGGAAAAAATGTTTGTCCCAACTACTCACAACAGCAAAGCTGGGAGGGATAATTACCACACTGGAAGACAAATACAGCGCTTGCATAGCTTTCAACAGGTGGCAACAAGGAGCCTAAATTGGCTGGTGTTTCCCAAAATGTGTTCTCTGGAACACTAGTCATAAAAGAAGTTTCTTGGGGGAAAAGGTTCTAGTTGCGCAAATGGGAAATGCTACCCTCCGCAGCTAGTCACCACTTGGGGATTTAAGATTGCACACAAGCATATTCAGGGTTCTGAAAAATCCCACAGAAAAGATAAGTGGAGCCTCCTTTTGCTGATTGAAATGTTACAGATGCAGCCGTGTTGGTGGAACGCATAAATGAGGGAGGTGGCAGCGCATAGGACAACAGAGGGTCAGGGGTCAGGACTGGGAGATTTAGGCAGGCTTCATGGGTAAAGGCATTCAGTTTTGAAACTGACAGTCGGCCAGGCGCAGTGGCCAGGACGAACGGATTGCTTGAGCTCAGGAGTTTGTGACCAGCCTGGGCAACAATGGTGAAACCCCGTCTCTACTAAAAATACAAAAAAATTAGCCAGGCATGGTGGTGCATGCCTGCAGTCCTAGCTACTCGGGAGGCTGAGGTGGGAGAATCACCTGAGCCCGGGAAGTCGAGTCTGCAGTGAACCATGATCTAGCCACTGTACTCCAGCCTGGGCAACGGGAATGAGACCCTGTCTCCAAAATAAAAGAAACTGACAGTCAAGTGAAACCCATCTATTGACTGAGGCCCTTGGAGTGCTTGCTTAAGGTCTTTCCTAGCCGTTTGACTTTAAAAGTATTTCATGAGGCTGGGCACAGTGGCTTATGCTTGTAATTCCAGCACTTTGGGAGGCTGAAGCGGGTGAATCGCTTGAACCCAAGAGTTTGAGACCAGCCTGGTCAGCATAGTGAAATCCATCTTTACAAAAAAATACAAAAATTAGCCAGGTGTGGTGGCACATGCCTGTAGTCCCAGCTACTCGAGAGTGTGAGGTGGGAGGATCATTTGAGCTCGGGAGATCAAGGCTGCATTGAGCTGTGATCATGCCACTGCATTCCAGCCTGGGCAAGAGTGAGACCCTGTCTCAAAGAAAAAAAAAGAAAGAAAGAAAAGAAAAGAAAAAAGGTATTTCATGAAACACCTATTAACATTTAGCTGAATTGGAGAAACACAGTTCAGGAAATGCTGACCTACACTGACAAGATATGATGCAGCAAAAAATATATTTATATTTATATTTTTCCTACATTAACATTAAAAGGTACTAGCAGTATAAATGGTAACAGCCTGAATACTAACAATAAGTACTGGATAAATGTCAGTTATAGCAAGAAAGATCTAGAGGTCTTAGTTGACCATAAATTTTATTTTTTTCTATTTTATTTCATTGAGACAGGGTCTCACTCTGTCACCCAGGCTTGAGTGCAGTGGCACAATCACAGCTCACTGCAGCCTCAACCTTCTAGGCTCAAGTGATCCTCCTGCCTCAGCCTCCCAAGTAGCTAGGGAGTAGCTAGTAGCTAGTGTATGCCCAGCTAATTTTTGTATTTTTTGTAGAGACAGGGTTTCGCCATGTTGCCCAGGCTGGTCTGGAACTCCTGAGCTCAAGGCATCCTCCTGCCTCTGACTCCCAAAAGGGCTGGGATTACAGGCATGAGCCACTGTGCCCGACCTGACCGTAAATGTTTAAATGGCATGTGACATTTTCGGCTGCATTAACAGCCTAATAGGTTGTACTATTGTATCCTGGGTGTATTTAAGCACATCTGAAGGTAGTCATTGAATCAAATCATGAAGGATCAGGGCAACACGTATGTGAGGAATTCTGGAGGGAAATGTTAATATTTCACTGAAAAAGCATAAGGCTTAAGAGGGAAAAGGTTGGGTAGAACATTTCCTCCCCAACCCTCATGTTACCATGTGGAGAGACCTCTATGTTGGAAAGTTGGGATGAATGGGACATGTACGATTGAAGAATAAAGCTGCTATTTTTATCTTCACCTGCCTGAATGGAGCAGCCCTCTCTCACTCGGTTCTGAACTTAAAAGGGAGTGTCTTTATGATCTCCTAATGCTCCAGCAGGAAGTGACAGCTGTCATTAACTGCTTGAAGGCCCAACCTCTGAAAAGTGATTGGATTGACCCTGTTTAGGTAGAGAAGGGATAACCAGGACAAAAGTGTATGATTTACAAGGGAAGGTACATTTTGAGTCACTAGAAGGAAGAACTTTCCCATGAATTGGAGCTGAGACAGCGGGTGCCTCATCAATGGAAGTGTTCAAGCCCAGGGGAGGTGACTCTGTCAAAGCTGAGATAGGAGTTCCTGCTGTGGGTGGGATGTTGTATTAGAGGGCCTGTAAAGTATTTCCTATAGCTAAGATTTGACAGTTCTGCAATATAAAGACATGGATGGGGGTTTAAGGAGTGAGGGTTGTTCGCTAATTGCAAATCTGCCTACTAACTTCCTCCCTATCAATTAAGAGCCCTTAAGTGATACTGAACTCTCATCAGACAGCATCAGATAATAGTTATTTATATGAAATCAACACCTTTGGCTCCTGGACAGAGTTACCTTTGACTACTAATTTTCAGAAGCTTTTCCCTCAAATAACAAAATATTAGGGTAAGAAACTATACTAGAATAGAAGAATAAATTGGTTTATTCATTCAATGGGATATGAATCAGTAGTTCAAATGTATGAACAGATCTCAAAAACATAATGTTGAGTGATTTTAAGATGTGCAAAAAGATTACTGTACATCCCCATTTATGTACATTAAAACAACCAGATGCCGAGTGCAGTGGCACACACCTATAATCCCAGCACTTTGGGAGGCCAAGATCGGAGGATTGCTTGAGCCCATGAGTTTGAGGGACTGGAGTGCAGGGTTGCAGTGAGCCACGATCACACTACTGCACTCCAGCCTGGGCAACAGAGCAAGACCCCATCTCAAAAAAAAGAAAAAATAAAATAAAATAAAATAAAATACAGAACAATATTATATATTATTTATGGATCTATTAACATAGGTAGCAAAAGTATAAAACATGCATGGGAATGATATATCCAACTCCAGGACTGTGATTACTTCTGGGGAGCAGGAGAGGGGAAAGGGATGATGAGTTGGAGTGTTAATTATATCAGTGAAGCTTTCATTATTTTTTTAAAACAAAAACCTGGAACACAAAACACGAAATGTCTATTATCGGTGATGGGGGTAGACAGGTATTTATTATATTATTTTCCATACATTTCTGTATGTTTGAACTCATTTCGAATGAAGGAGTACTTTTACAAAAATCATATTAGGGGTCATAAGCCCAGTCCTCCCACAAGTGCAGGTCTCTTCTCTCATATCTGGTCACCCAGCCTTTGCTCTGACTCTTCCTTCTCCAAGCTCATTTTATCTTTATATTAAAGTGAAACAGACTTTCTTGTCAGCTTCTACTCCTTGGGGCTGGCTCTGCCCCTTGGGACAACAATGACTCTACTGTCTTCTCTCTGCTGAAATAACTCAAATGATTGCCCTTCTACAAAGCAATAGAACTTTGAGTCTTAGGAGAAATTTGTTAAAATCTGCCCTATGTGAATAATACGTCAAACTCATGCTGAATATTTGTTTACTGCAAAAGACATCTTCCAGATTTTAATAAAATTCAGTGAGAGATAAAATGATAAAAGGCTTAGGAAAATATTTTTCATCAACTTTTAAAGAAGTAATCTTTTCCAGATATTAAAGAACTATAAAAGTCACCTATTTTCCCCCACATTAAAAAAAGGTAATTGGAAAGACACTATTTCTTCTATAAATACATTCATTTCAGAATTGCCTACAAACTTTTTTTTTAACCATAAAGTAAGGGAAATTGAGTTTAGTTTTTTTGCCTAGTAGGTTAGCTCAGTGATGTTCAAGTTGCAAGTTGTAACCAATTACTAGGTTGTGAAATCAGTGATAGCAGTACTTGAAAGAAATGTAATGGAAGAGAAAACACTGGAATGTAACACTCATAGAGTAAGTACTGTTTGTGAAATTTTTGCTTTGGTTTTTAAAAGTCACACTCACACAGAGGCATGTACTGTGTCACAATGTAAAATGTAGTTCTTATTATGGGTTGCAGTAAAAAAAAAGTTTGAAACAATTGGGTTAGATGATAACAAATGCTTATAAGAGCTGCTAGCTGAAAACCAGGTTTCTTTATTCTGAAACACCAGTGCTGTTCAAATTTGTTGGCTATGAAAATGTATGATATGAAGGTAGGAACCACCTGAGATCAGAGCTACATCTTTGCTGGGTGCCAGTGACACAAGTAAGAAATATTTTGCTTCCGCTTTGTCCAAATTTAAGATTTCACAGGAAATTTTTAGAAGCTTTATTACTTCATTTGCATATGTCAGAGACTATATTAGGCTAACGTGCACAAAAGAAACTTAGCAAATTAACCTTCTGTGCTATTGTTGACACTTCTGCAAATGGATGAAGCCCTTTAGCTTTGACCTTGCTCCTCAGTCAATGAAGGTGTTTTGAGTTTCCATACCCCTGGCAGTCCATAGCAGGGAGCCACAGTCAATAACCCCTTTCCTGTTCTAGTAAAGCCATTCAAGACAGAGCAATTAGCCCTAAGAACCCAAATGCAGAGAGAAATACAATTCATGATCTTGCTCCTTGCTGTACTCTAATGAGGCACTCAGTAATTACTAAGTTCCATTCTCCCCAGAACAAACACAACCTGAATGGATTCTTCTTTCTACCCTTCTCTTAAACACAATTGGCTTTTATTTATTCAGACATACTCTATGTGTAACAAACCTCGGAGAGCACTAATCTTATTGGGGTCAAGGGCACACAGGCCATGCTTCAGATTGCCATAGACGTTACTTTGGACCAGGACATCTTTTGTGAAGAGTTTCTGAATAAGGTATCTAGCCGACAGGCTTGCGCAAGACTTAGTTTTTGCCAAAGTCAGTACTGAACATGGCATCCGTATATTTCTCCATGGTCTTCCAAAATAGCCTAGAAGCAAAAAAGAAAGATGTCAATTTTCATAGCAAATGTTAGATTGCATTATTTTTTAAAAGCTGAAACAGAAACGTTGATTTTTCTCAATTGTTAGGCTCAAGAATTTGAGAGGTTAAAAAATTTAAGGCCTTACATTTTTATTTATTTTAAAGACAGAGTCTTGCTTTGTCTCCTAGGCTGGAATGCAGTAGCACAATCATGGCTCACTGCAGCCCCAGCCTCCCAGGGCTTGAGTAATGCTCTTAGCTTAGCCACTCAAGTAGCTGGGACTATAGGCCCACCCCACCACACCCAGCTAATTTTTTGTATCTTTTGTAGAGACAGGGTCTCACTTTGTTCCCCAGGCTGGTCTCAAACTTCCAGGTTTAAACGACCCTCCTGCCTCGGCCTCCCAAAGTGTTGGGATTACAGGTATAAGCCATCGTGCCCAGCCTAAAGCCTTACGTTTTTAGTGGATTATGAGACAGCATGAGAAATGAGGTAGAAATCACTGTGATTACACATGCTACCATGGTTCAACAGGAAGATTTAATATACTGTTTGTTACCTTTTAGGATACAAGAAGTTTTAAAATTACATTTAGTAACAAATTCTAAGTAATTTAATGCATTGTTTCCCTACTTACAAGAAGGACTTTTTCAAAAATAAGCTCCATGATTCTTCCTGAAATACTTATAATTTTTAAAATGTAGGTTTTCTATTTAGTATTAAATTCATTTTAAATCAACACACTGCTGGTTCACTTTACATATTGTATCTTAGATATCTTATTTGAAATGAAAAATAAGTTTTAAGACTTTTCATTTCTCAACTCTACAGCTTAATCATCATCATCTCTCTTCAGTCCATAGTCTATTCGAATTAACTACATTTGAAAAATATTATATTTTACATATAATAATTATTTGTTAAATATACTAGAAAAATATAATTATTATAAGTCAGTAAGTATATTCTTCAACTTAGAACATCCATCATTTAATGGGTGGCAATAAAAACTGTTGAATCATCCAGATTCAACATTTAGCAGGAGAGATTATTTAGAAACACATTTAATGGGTCCAAAGACTTAACTCTGGGAGATTTACCTAGTAATATTTATCAAGGGTCAGGAAAAAAAGGTTAATACTCTTTAACCTGGTAATTCAATTTCTAAGAACCTAACCTAATAATCCAAAGTATGGAAAAATCTATCTGAATGGGCTGGTGCAGTGGCTCACACCTGTAATCCAGCACTTTGGGAGGCTGAGGCAGGTGGATCACCTGAGGTCAGGAGTTCAAGATCAGCCAGGCCAACATGGTGAAACCCTGTCTCTACTAAAAATACAAAAAAATTAGCCGGGCATGGTGGCACACATCTGTAGTCCCAGCTACTCAGGAGGCTGAGGCAGGAGAATCGCTTGAACTTGGGAGGTGGAGGTTGCAGTGAGCCGAGATTGTGCCATTGCACTCCAGCCTGGGTAACAGAGCGAGACTCCATCTCAAAAAAAAAAAATCTTCTGAATGAAGATGGTTTTTTTGCAGACTGATTTATAATTCCCTTCCAAAAAACCCTCAAACCAAAACGACAACAACAGCAAAAAGAAACAAAGTGGGAGGCAATTAAATAAATTGGGGTGCACTTAATTAATGGAATGCTATAATCCTATTAAGAGCAATGATTATGAAGATTGTAGATTCTTGAGGAAAAATAGATACATATTATAATATTAGAGAAGGAGAGTAATTATATGGGAATCATAATGTTTCAAAATGTTCACAGGAAAAAAAAACTGAAGGAAAATGAAAATGCCCACAATAGTTTTTTAAAGTATTTTGATTGTGGGAGCTTTTTTCCCCCTCTTAAAAATATTTTCCAATTTTTCAAATAAAATGGCATAACAGACTCCACACACACTGCAGTGACTGCTTGGCTCACAGTGGGCTTAGTCGCCCTGTCCCCTCGTTATAGCTGAGTCAGGGTTAGAGATATGTGGCCCAAGTTCTCACAGTCTTGGGGCTGCTCTAGCTCCTGCCTGCCTGACGCTCGCTCAGTTCTTTGCTTCTTTGAATACAGGAGGTATTCAACTGGTGACTTGTGTTGTTTAATTTATCCAGTCTGTGTCTGTAGTGTACAATCTTAACAAATACAGTAGTTAGATTACTTTTACAATGGAAGAAATAAAGCTATATCATGTCAATAATTTCGTTTGAAAAGGATCCCAGGTAGTATTCTACTTAGGGTTAACATGGGAGCAGGGTACAGACAGAATAAAGTCTTGCTACTTCAGATATCACTCATCGGTATGGGTGATGCTAAAGTCCAGCGCCCTGGGAGGATGCATTGGGAAGCACAAGTGGCAGGTGGCACAGTCACTACTGAACCACTGCCACTTGACACCCATCAAAGCAGGAGGTGCCTTCAGCAGTTTAGCAGCGGGAGCACAATGTTCTGAGAGATGAGATTCACGAATTCGTGCCAAAAATCCTACTGCGCACCTGCAATGTGCCAGGCACACAGAGAACAAGAAGTGCATCTCAGCTGCAGCCCCTCCCCTTCACCACAGAGGACAGTGCCTTATCAGAACTCACACAGTCCAGTGAGTCAGCAAAGAGCCACTTTCCGTAGGAAAAATAACAATCAGTCTTAGAACCATGTGTCTATATATTTCATTAACTCATTAATAAAAGACATTAAATTATTTCACTTTCTGATGAAATTTCTCAAACACACATAAAAGTAGAGAGAATAGTACAATGAACCCCATAAATGCATCACTCAGATTCAACATTTATCAGCAAGAGAACTTATTTAAATATAAGTTTTTAAAAAAACTCACTCCATGCTTCACCAGGTTCCTCTGGATTATCAGTGGAAGGTTCTCGCATTCCTTCAGGGATAGCATTACTGTTTGGCTGCAAGTTCCTCTTTTCTCTCATTTTGGAGTTATTCATTGGCTGAAACATCCAAGAACAGCCTTCACCACCATCTCTGCCCCTTTGGTCATTTCTATCTGCAGATGCCGATGCAACACGGTTGGTACGTTTTTTATTTTTGCGAACAGTTTTCTGTTGAAACACAAAATCATATCCGTAAACAAAGTCCCACAGCAAGAAAATATGTCTGTGCTCTACCACCTACCAGGCCCACCAGGTTGCTAGGGAAGCAACTGACTCTTTAAAAGGTGGGCTGAAGCCATAGGAATACTGTGTGTCGCAATACTATCTGGAAAGAAGGAAAGGGGTGGCTTCTTCCGCAAGCTGTCATGACCTGCTGCTCCTTGGAGGATTTTGTAGCTCTGTCTAAGGAACTCAATGAGAACTGCTGGTACAAATTAGGCACATAATAAACATTTCACAAATAAACAAAGCAGTGAGTTTCTTGGGGATGACCACTTTTTGTTTCTCATGTTTTGTTTGTATTCTTTTTCCCTAGTGGAGCTCAAGTCTGGCTGCCCATTTGAATGACCTTCAGGATCTGTAAAAACAAATGGTTGTGCTGGGCCCCACCCTAGGCAAATTCAGCCAGAATCTCTGGTGATGGGAGTGGGGAGCTCAGGCGTTAGTAACTATTTTTAAAAGTGTCTCGTGTGATTCTAATATGCACCCAGGGTTGACAACCACTGCTCTGGGTTAGTGCTTCTTGAACTTTAGTGTGCACACAAATCACATTGGGGACGGGGGTTGGGGAGGGTCTTGCTAAAATGCAAATTTTGCCTCTGAATCAAGACCCTGCATTTTTCACAAGCTTGCCAGTGGTCTGCTGCTGCTGGGCTGTGGACCTACTCTGAGTGGCAAGGACCTGTCCCATTCCTAGTCAAGCACATAGCAGGCACTTGGCAGACACTGCTTCTCTTCTGACACCTAAGCAAATATGCAAATTACCATTTTCCAGGCAGTGTCTTAATTTTACATTCAAATTGTTTAGGGTGCAATTTTTGAAGGCTATAAAACGGAATGTTAAAAATAAGCAGATTTGGTTTCAGGCAGATGGTGCTTGAGCTATCACTGAAATCAACCCGTTCACCAGGGAAACATACGCTCAGCTACAAATATTCTTGGCAAATTGTTTCCATAAACTTACTCTAGAGACACAGGAGCGACTAGACGTGGCCAGAAGAAAAGGGGGTTGGTGGAAATTAGGAATTGTCATTAAGATACATGTTTCATCAGAAGACAACAGATATGACACTCTTCCCTAATGGCCCGGTTGTGGTAAAACAAACAAAAATCTCTAATGTACTTTGAAGATAGACTGGAGGAAAGAGAAACTAGATTTCTGTTACCACATAACTATATGGAGTGTAAAATATCTGTAATCGTTTAACGTCATGACATGAGTTTATTTCACCAAGTTCCATCATCACTAAAAGTGAACAAGTAACGAAGTGCCTGCATTTTCCCCTGCACCTCCTCAGCTACCATTGAAACAGCCAAGGAGCACACAGCTGGCTCCTTTTTGTGTTGCTCGGTGAGATACTGCAAAAGATTTGCCAAATATCTTTGTAGCTGAAACTATTTTCCTAGTATTATCCTTGGCTTCAAATATACTAATTATAGCACTTTATTTTATTTATCTTTAGGATATTTTTATAGAGCATAAATATCAAAAAAGTAAAATAAACATGCAGTGTGCTTTTGAAAGAACATCCCATGCCCCCTAAGTTAATGAGAATTTTAGCACATGGCCTAAAGAGACTGTGCCTCATGCTATCAGTTCTGAAACTGTACACAGTACAAACTCAGGTAACAGTTACCATATTTAGATGAAAAATAACTTACTGGAGTACTCTTGCCTTCAGAACATAAACAGTAGATCATAGAATTGATACCAGAAATACAGTCCTGCCAGTCTTTTCCATGTTCATGCAAATCACAGGTGGGAAAAGTTGTTGCCAGATATTCTGCAAACAGCAGAAAGTATTCACGAAAATTAGAAAAAAAAATTAACAAACTAATGAAAAATTTTTTTCTTTAAACACTGACTTTTAGATGGTTACATTGTGTAATGGTGAGCACTCTGGTGACTTCTTCTCTTTCTACTTCTCATCCTTTTCTCTTATTCTTTCTGAGAGTTTAGAAATTCCACCCAATGAGGATGCTTTGCTGAATTATTTCCCCTACCATGAGATCCCCTAAAACACTGACGTAGGAAGCTAATATTGAGCTCTTGGTGCTCAAAAAAAAAAAAAAAAAAAAAGTGTGTAGGCCAGGCACAGTGGCTCATGTCTGTAACCCCAGTGTTTTGGGAGGTCGAGGCAGGAGGATCGCTTGAGATCAGGAGTTTGAGAACAGCTTGGGCAGCAAAGTGAGACCCCATCTCTATAAAAAATACAAAACTTAGCTGGGTATGGTGGCATGCACCTGTGGGCCTAGCTACTCAGGAGGCTGGGGAGGAAGGGTTGCTTGAGCCCAGGAGTTCGAGGCTGCACCGAGCTATGATCAAACCACTGCACTCCAGCCTGGGTGACAGAGCAAGACCATGCGTCTGAAAAAAAAAATTTTAAGTGTGTAACCCAATGTTGACTATTTCAGGGTGCTCAGACCATTTAATAACCCAATGGATAAATCAGAACTAAAAGGAAACATATCAAGAGAAAATAGTGTTACTGCAAACATGATTACACCAGGGGCTCACTCATCCTGTCTATCTTCCCCAGCTCTTCCCTCTGCCTAGAACATCCTCCTGTTCCTTCTACCTACTGAAGGAGTCCTTCAGAATCCAGCTCAAATGTCCTGTCCTTAGCTAAGCCTTCCCCAACTCCCTCAAAGCAGCTGCTCTGAGCTTCCCCAACACTACCACACTGGACTGGGATGTATCTGTTTCCATCAACATGTCCCTTTCTAGACTATGAGCTCCTCATAGGCAGAAACACTTATTCATTGTGGTATCCTTAGTATCCATGAGTTCTAGGATCTCAATAGACATGTCTGGAAGGCAGGAAGGCAGGAGGCTAAAAAGAACTAATCATAAAATTCTATTTCTGTGTTGCTAGTCACTAGCACTGACAAGTCTTTTATTCCCCCCCGCCCCCCACCCCACCACCTTCTGGCAGAGGGAGCTTTTTCCTTTTTTTTTTTTTTTTTTTGTAGCAAGTTTCAGGGCTAAAGAATTGACTTAGTACTAACCATAAACAACTATAGTAGATGAGGCTTGTCTTATTCAACCATTCAAGTCAATGGACAAGTTTTATTCTTTGGAAATTGTTACCAATTATATATTATTAAGTTGTAAAATCAGGGTCAGACAGGTGAAAAAAATGAATAGTTTTAAGATTTACACAGACTTATTGTTATTCCTTCAACTGCCAATAACATTCATTATATGACCAAATGATGATTAAAAATAAGATTCCATTATCACTTTATGTACACATACCTCTCAATGCAGCCATTTTGTTCGGGTCGAGGGATTGGCTGTCTTTCAAATGGATATCCACTGAGCTGCTAATCAGGATTTCCTTGGAGAACAAAATACGAACCAAGTAGCAGGCTGCTTGCTTAGGTTTGGCCATATTTTGTACGGCCAGCAAATGGATTTTAAGTACTCTGACATTTCTTTTTGGATCACCAAGATAGCCTTTAAAAATAAAGAGAAAAAGGAACATCCTTGGTTTTGTCATGCAAGGGTACCCTCAAAGTACACAAGAGAATTACACTGATTTATTTCTTCTTTTTCTTCAAATAAGGCAAATGCAGATAAATGATTTCTAATTCATGAATTTCTACTTGGGTGAATTTTTTTTCTATGCTTATCTCTTCCTCTTCCTTAAATGGGTCTCTTTGCCACCATCTGCCAAACTGTCAACATTCTTCACTTCTACTGGTCTTGAGCTTGCTGTATTGAACTACTCTGTTCATTAGCTTGAACACATGTCATTGTTAGGCTGCAGGTGCATATGTAAACATGTTGCCCTGAGTTCCCACTGCTCCATTTCACGCTCTAAGAGTACACTCAGAGCCATTCCACTGGGCAAGTGGATGTTCCCTGAAGACAATGTTGAAAGCGTGGGTGGGGATCATTAAGAAAATTTTCAAATAGCTAGCATTTATCAGTAGTTCCTGTATATCAGGCATGTGCTAAATATTTTACATCTGTGCACTAGCTCAGTTTCATCATTCTAACAACTCTATCATTACTCCCACCCCATTATTCCCACCCCATTATTTCCAAATAAGGAGACTGAGGCCCAAAGGAGATAAGTTATTTGAAAAGGTCACACTGCTAGTTACAGAACCAGTTTTAAAATCTGTCTGTTTATGAGTTAACTGCTCTAAACCATGAATCTTCTACTAATATCTTCCATTCTTTTTCCTATTTATTTTTTTAAAAGACAAAATTGAAATCATACTTTAAGTATAGTTTAAATCCTGCTTTTTCAGTTAACATTATATTTTGAGCATTTCTCTGTTTTCATCTTTTTTTTTTAATCTGCATTCCTGTCATCATAATTTTCCTGACAAGTGACATTTATGTTGTACTTACATCCCAGGCATTGTGTTAAGAGCTTTAAATGCATTGTCCAATTTGATCCTCACAATTCTATGAAGTAGACACTATTATTTTTGTCACTTCACAACTGAATAAACTAGTATTTAGGTTAGGAAAGTGGCTGAAGGTCATAAGGTTAGTAAGAGCTGGGATTTGAAATCAAGCAGGCAGACATGAGAGCTCATGCCCTCAACCATTAGGCTTTACTGCCTCACATGCTGTGGATACACCAGAAGTCAAGTGATTAATTCCCTATCATCATTTATTTTTGTTTGTTTGCTTCCAATTTTTCCCAATCATTCTGTAAAGGACATTCTAGACCAAAATTTTTATGTAATTTTTATTATACTTTCAGATAAAGTGAGATTACAGTCAACTGCCATAAATGTTTTTATGGATTTCTCTACAAACTATCTTTCAGAAAGTTTGTACCAATGTATATTTCTAACAATGTATCAGAGTGCCCATTTCAGTACAGAGAATCAACTTTTGTTTCTGTTTTTTTTTTTTTTTTTTTTTTTGGCTGGAGTATAGTGGCATGATCATGGCTCACTATAGCCTCAAACTTCCGGGCTGCTCAAGTGATCCTCCCACCTCAGCCTCCCAAGTAGCTGGGATTACAGGCACATGCCACCACGCCTGGCTAATTTTTTGTATTTTTTGTAGAGATGGGGTTTTGCTATGTTGCCCATGCTGGTCTCAAACTCTTGGGCTCAAGCGATTTTCCCACCTCAGCCTCCCAGATTGCTGGGATTAACAAGCCTGAGCCACCGTGCCCAGCCGAGACCACAATTCTTGAAATTTCTTCTAGTTTGAGTAACAAAATAGTTTAAAGGAATAAGCTCTCCTCTAGGAAGGGAGTCAACAAACTGCAGTCCACTGGCCCATCCCCCCACCAATGTGTGTGAAAGGTGTGCTGGCCATGGCCACGCCTATTCATTCGTCTATGGGCTGAGGCTGCTCTTATCTTACAACAGCAAAGGTGGGTATTTGTGACAGACAATACTATCTAGCCCTTCACAGAAAAGGTTTCCTGATCCTTGTTCTAGGATATTAATAAGAGATAAGCTGCTTAGAAGTTGAGACAAAAATGAACTGACTATAAAATATTTGGAAGGCTTACCCTTAGAAGCCACAGAGCTTGGGGTCCCCTCATCTCTGCCACTGTGGCTTGGCAGGCAGTACAGTGGACTGGTAAGAAACATGAGCTTTAGGCCAGTTACGGTGGCTCATGCCTGTAATCCTAGCACTTTGGGAGGCCGAGGCAGATGGATCACTTGAGGCTAGGAGTTTGATAACAGCCTGGCCAAAATGGCCAAACCCCATCTCTACTAAAAATACAAAAACTAGCTGGGTGTGGTGGTGTGTGCTTGTAATTCCAGCTACTTGGGAGGCTAAGGCAGAAGAATCACTTGAACCTGGGAGGTGGAGGTTGCAGTGAGCCAAGATCATGCCACTGCACTCCAGCCTGGGCAATAGAGCAAGACTCCACTTCAAAAAGAAAAAAGACACATGAGTTTTAAAGTCAGAGAAAGCTGGGGCAGAGCTCAAGTCCTACTCACCAGCTCTGTGACCTTGGGGATGGGGATAATAAAAGTGCCAACACCATGGAGTCATTATGGGTATAAGTGAAGAAGAGGCATGTTAATTGTTTAGCACAGTGCCTTGCACGTAATATGCACTCAATAAATGTTAGTCATGGTTCTGAATATCACCTAAAACCTATCCTCAAAATAGGAAACACAGAGCTTTCACTGTCTTGCATCAAGGAAGTGGAAGAATGTAGCTCAAATAGTGCCACTTATAATGTGTGTTATTTCAAACTCACCATACTTGGGAGGGATACAGACAGATGATGAGGAAGAATCCTGGCCACTGTCACTGTCCAATAAAGTTGAGCGATTCATTGTGTTGACGCTGTTTTCCGTGTTGGTGTCTACTTTTACCAAAATATTCAGAGGTAACAGTGCTGAAAGAAAAGAACTCTCAACTGACAATTCTATATCCAGCAAAACTGTTTTTCAGGTACAGAGGGGAAATACACTCTCAGACAAAAGAAAACTAAAAAGATTTGTTGCCAGCAGACCTACTCTTTTTTTTTTTCTTTCTTTCTTTTTTTTTTAGACTATGTTGCCCAAGCTGGAGTGCAATGGCATGATCTTGGCTTACTACAACCTCTGCCCACTGGGTTCAAGCAATTCTCATGCCTTAGCCTTCCGAGTAGCTGGAATTACACGCACCCACCACCATACCTGGCTAATTTTTCTATTTTTAATAGACATGGGGTTTCGCCATGTTGGCCAGGCTGGTCTTGAATTCCTGACCTCAAGTGATCTGCCTGCCTCAGCCTCCCAAAATGCTGGAGACCTACTCTTAAAGAATGGCTAAAAGAAGATCTTCAAACAGAAAGATTATGATGATAGAAGGAACAGTGGCACATCAGAAAGGAAGAAAGAATAGAAAGATGCATGTGGAGAAATGGAACAGCCACACTGGAAAACAATTACTACATTTGTAATTACAATTACTATCATTGTAATTATTATTATAATTTAAAATGAGGTAATTAATTGCAGGGGTTTTTTTAGGGTTAAGCACCTAAGAGTGAAATTGCTGGAAATTTCACTCTTAGGTATTTATCCCAGAGAAATGAGAGCTCATGTTGACATGAAAACCTTCACATGAGTATCCTTAGCAGCTTTATTTGTGATAGCCAAAACCTGAAAACAATCCAAGTGTCCTTCAAGAGGTGAATGGTTAAAGGAACTGTGGTAAATCCATACCACAGAATACTATTCAGCAATAAAAATGAAGAAGAGAAAGAGCAGAAAGAAAGGCGATACAAAACCATCATGAGTTCTCTAAATCATATGGAATGACTGAAACAAAAATGAAAACACCATCTGATACCTATAACAATGATATTTAAAGGTGGGGAGAAAAACGAAACCTAAGTGGAATTAAAGTTTCAACACTTCATTCCAAATGGTAAAATGCTGATTCCAACAGGCAGTGATAAGTCACATACGTATACAGTAACACTCAGAGCAACCACTAGGAAAACTGCACAAATCAATATACTCAAAAACAAACAAATCAAGATGGAATACTTAAAATGTTCAAGTAACTCACAGGAAGGCAAGAAAAAGAAAAGGAGAATGAGAAACAGAAGATAA
Source organism: Homo sapiens (assembly GCF_000001405.40). NCBI lineage: Eukaryota > Metazoa > Chordata > Mammalia > Primates > Hominidae > Homo > Homo sapiens. The sequence goes on from NC_000023.11 coordinate 18,181,858, forward strand.
ACAGAAAAATAATAAAATGGAAGACTTAAACCCTGTATCAATAATTACGTTAAATGTAAATGATCTAAACATACCAATTAAGTGGCAGCAATTGACCAAGTAGATAAAAAACAAGACCCTCGATTGCCAGGTAGTGTAAATGAAAAGAAAAACAAGACCCAACTATATGCTCTTTATTAGAAACTCTACAAATTCAATAACATAAGTAGATTAAAAGTAAAAGAATGAAAAATATATACCATGTGATATGGTTTGGATTTGTATCCCTGCCTAAACTTCATGTCAAATTGGAGGAGGGGCCTGGTGGGAGGTGACTGGATAATGTGCACAGATTTCCCCCTTGCTGGTCTCATGAGAGTGAGTGACTTCTCATGAGATCTGATGGTTTAAAAGTGTGGCACTTCCCCCTTTGGTCTCTCCTGCCACCATGTGAAGAAGGTGCTTGCTTCCCCTTCACCTTCTGCCATGACTTTAAGTTTCCTGAGATCTCCCAGTCATGCTTCCTGTTAAGGCTGTGGAACTCTGAGTCAATTAAACATCGTTTCTTCATAAATTTCTCAGTCTCAGGTACTTCTTTATAGCAGTATGAAAATGGACTAATGCACCATGCAAATATTAATCCAAAAAAAAGAAAGCAGAGTGGCTATATTGATATCAGATAAAATAAACAGACTTCAGAGCAAAGAAAGTTACCAGAGACAAATAAGAACACTACATAACAATAAAAGGGTTAACCCCCAGGAAAATATAATGATCCTCAATATGTTCACACCAATCAAAAGTGTCTCAAAATACATAAAGCAAAAACTGAAAGAGTAGAAAGGCAAAATAGACAAACCCACAATTATATTGAGGACCTCAGCACCCACCTCTCAGCAACTGACAGGACAACCTTACAGAGGCCGGGCACGGGGGGCTTATGCCTGTAATCCCAGCACTTTGGGAGGCTGAGATGGGCAGATCATCTGGAGATCAGGAGTTAGAGACCAGCCTGGCCAACATGGTGAAACCCCGTCTCTACTAAAAATACAAAAATTAGCCAGGCGTGGTAGTACACGCCTATAGTTCCAGCTACTCAGGAGGCTGAGGTGCGAGAATCACTTGAACCCAGAAGGCAGGGGTTGCAGTGAGGCAAGATCATGCCATTGCACTCCAGCCTGGGTGACAGAGCGAGACTCTGTCTCCAAAAAAAAAAAAAAAAAAAAAAAAGAACAACCAGACAGAACATCAGCAAGGACAGAGAAGACCTGAGTAACACACAACCAACCAACAGGATTTTCATTATAGAACATTCCATCTAATAAAAGCAGAATATACATTTTTTTTCAAATGCCTATGGACCATTCACCAAGACAGACCACAGCCTGAGCCAAAGGAAAAAACCTCAATAAATATAAAAGAATTGAAATCATATAGAGTATATTTTCTGACCACAGTGGAACCAAACTAGAAATCAATAACAGACAAGAGAAAAATCTATAAACACTTGGAAATTAAACAGCAAACTCCTAAATAATCCACACGTCAAAAAGAAGTCTCCAAGGAAATTTTAAAACACACAGGACACAGCTTCGGAGCTAGATGGCTAAATAGAAGCCTCCACTGATTGTTCTCAAGAACACCAAATTTAACAACTATCTACACAAAAAAGCACCTTAATAAGAAATCCAAAATCAGCTTAGGTCCCAGCTTGGCCACAGTGGGGTAGGGTACAAAGTGGGCTCTTGGGGTCCCTGATTCCAGGCCTTGGCTCTTAGATGGCATTTCTGGGCCTGCCCTGGGCCAGAGGGGAGCCCACTGCCCTGAAGAGTGAGTCCCAGGCCTGGCAGCATTCACCGTAAGCTGAGTGAACAGCAGTGGTGGCCTGGAGGTACCCATTGTGGGCCTGCGGCAGTGGTGGCCACAAGGAGAGACTTCTCTGCTTGTAGAAACGGGAGGGAAGAGTGGGAAGGACTTTGTCTTGTGGCTTGGGTGCCAGCTCAGCAGAATAGAGCACCAGGTAGATTCCTGAGGTCTCCAGCTCCAGGCCCTGGTTTCTGATTGGCATCTCTGGACCTGCCCAAGGCTGGGGGGAACTCACCACCCTGAAGGGAAGGACACAAGCCTGGCTGGCTTCACCACCTACTGATTGTAGAGGCTGAGGGCCTTGAGCAAACACACGCTGTAGCCAGGTAGCGGTTACAGCGAGCCTTGGGCAAGACTCAGGGCTCTGCTGGCTTCAGGTCTGACCCAGCACAGTCCCAGTGGTGGTGTCCACAGGGGTGTTTGTGTCACCCCTTCCCCAGCTCCATGCAGCTCACCATAGACAGAGACTCCTTTGTTTGGGGGGACGTAAGGGAAGAGCCCAGGCGCAGTGGCTCATTCCTGTAATCCCAGCACTTTGGGAGGCTGAGGCGGGCAGATCACCTGAGGTCAGGAGTTCGAGACCAGCCTGGCCAACATGATGAAACCCCATCTCTACTAAAAATACAAAAATTAGCCGGGCATGGTGATGCACACCTGTAATCTCAGCTACTTGGGAGGCTGAGGCAGGAGAATCTCTTGAGCCCGGGAGGTGGAGATTGCAGTGAGCAGAGATCACACCACTGCACTCCAGCCTGGGCAACAGAATGAGACTCCGTCTCAAAAAAAGAACAAGAGTCTCTGCCTGGTAATCCAGAGAATTCTTCTGGATCTTAACCTAGATCACCAAGGCGGCACCTCTACAAGTCTTCAAGAGCCACTGCATTACTGGACTTGGGGTGTCCCCTGATGCAGACATGGCTTCAGTGACCAGAAACTTAGATCACAACACCCAAGTCCCTTTGAATACCTGGAAAGCCTTTCCAAGAAGGATGGCACAAGTAAGCCCAGACAGCAAAGACAACAATAAATATCTAACTCTTCAATGCCCAGACAGACGAACATCCACAAGCATCAACTCCATCCAGGAAAACATGACCTCACCAAACGAATGAAATAAGGCACCAGGGACCAATCCCAGAGAAACAGAGATATCTGACCTTTCCAACACAGATTTCAAAATAGATGTTTTGAGGAAACTCAAAGAAATTCAAGATAACACAAAGAAGGAATTCATAATTCTATCAGATAAATTTAACAAAGAGATTGAAATAAAAAGTATCAAGCAGAAATTCTGGAGTTGAAAAATGCGGTTGACATACTGAAGAATGCATCAGGGTCTCTTAATAGCAGAACTGATCAAGCAGAAGAAAGAATTAGTGAGCTTGAAGACAGGCTATTTGAAAATACAAAAAAGACAAAAGAAAAAAGAATGAAGCATGTCTACAAGATCTAGAAAACAGCCTCAAAATGGCAAATCTAAGAGTTATTGGCCTTAAAGAGGACATCGAGAGAAAGATGGGGTAGAAAGTTTATTCAGAAAGATTGGCTGGGTGCAGTGGCTCATGCCTGCAATCCTAACACTTTGGGGGGCCAAGGCAGGCAGACTGCCTGAGCTCAGGAGTTCAAGACCAGCCTGAGCAACGTGACGAACCCCCATTTCTACTAAAAAATACAAAAAATTAGCCAGGCATGGTGGCGCGTGCCTATAATCCCAGCTACTTAGAAGGCTGAGGCACGAGAATCACTTGAACCCGGGAGGTGGAAGTTGCAGTGAGCTGAGATCACGCCACTGCACTCCAGCCTAGGTGACAGAGCGAGACTCAGTCGCAAAAATAATAATAATAATAATAATAATAATAATAATAATAATAATAACAGACAACTTTCCAAACTTAGAGCAAGAATATCCAAGTACAAGGTTATAGAACACCAAGCAGATTTCACCCAAAGAAGACTACCTCAAGACATTTAATAATCAAACTCTCAAAGGGCAAGGATTACAAAAGGATCCTAAAAGCAGTAAGAGAAAAGAAACAAACAACATACAAAGACCTCCAATACGACGGGCAGCAGACTTTTCAGTGGAAATCTTGCAGGCCAGGAGAGAGTTCCATGACATATTTAAAGTGCTGAAGGAAAAAAATTTTATCCTAGAATAGTATATCTGGTGAAAATATCCTTCAAACATGAAGGAGAAATAAAGACTTTCCCAGACAAACAAAAGCTGACAGATTTCATCAACACCAGACCTATGCTATAAGAAATGCTAAAGAGACTTCTTCAATCTGAAAGAAAAAGACATTAATTACCAATAACAGATCATCTGAAGGTATAAAACTTACTGGTAATAACAACACACAGAGTATTATAACACTGTAATTGTGCTGTATAAAATACTCTTAAGTAGAAAGTCTAAATGATGACCCAATCAAAAATAATAACTACAACAACTTTTCAAGACATAGACAGTACAGGCCAGGTGCAGTGGTTGACACCTGTAATCCCAGCATTTTGGGAGGCCGAGGCAGGCAGAGCATCTGAGGTCAGGAGTTTGACACCAGCCTGGCCAACATGGTGAAACCCCGACTCCACTAAAAATACAAAAAGTAGCCAGGCGTGGTGGCGGGTGCCAGTAATCCCTGCTACTCAGGAGGCTGGGGCAGGAGAATTGCTTGAACCCAGGAGGCAGAGGTTGCAGTGAGCCGAGATTGCGCCATTGCACTCCAGCCTGGGTGAAAAGAAGGAAACTCCGTCGGAAAAAAAAAAAAAAAAAAAGACATAGTACAATAAGACATAAAGAGAAACAAAAAGTTAAAAAGGGAAATTAAGTTAAAGTGTAGAGTTTTCATTAGTTTTCTTTTTGCTTGTTGGTTGGTTTGTGCAATCAGTGTTAAGTTGTCATTAGTTTACAATAATGGGTTATAAGACAGTATTTGCAAACCTCATGGTAACCTCAAAGCAAACAACATACAATGGGGCTGGGCATGGTGGTTTATGCCTGTAATTCCAGCACTTTGGGAGGCCGAGGTGGGAGGATCACTTGAGCCTAGGAGTTCAAGAAAAGTTCAGCCTAGGAAACATGGCGAAACCCTATCACTACAAAAAATACAAAAAGTTTTCCGGGTATGGGGACACGTGCCTGTAGTCCAAGCTACTTTGGAGGCTGAGGTGGGAAGATCGCTTGAGCCTGGGAAGTCAAGGGTACAGTGAGCCAAGATCGTACCACTGCACTCCCGCCTGGGCAACAGAGCAAGACCCTGTCTGGAAAAAAAAAAAAAAAGATACGATGGACACACACACACAAAAACAAGAAATTAAATCATGCCACCAGAAAAAATTACCTTCACTAAAAGGAAGACAGGAAGGAAGGAAAGAAGGAAGGAAGAGAAGACCGAAAAACAACCAGAGAACAAATAACAAAATCGCAGGAAAAAGTCCCAACTTACCAATAAAAAAAATTGAATGTAAATGGACTAAACTCTCCAATCAAAAGATAGAGTGGCTGAATGGATAAAAAAGCAAGAAACAATGATCTGTTGTGTACAAGAAGCACACTTCACCTGTAAAGATACGCTGAAAATAAAGGGATGGAAAAAGATATTCCATGCCAATGGAAACCAAAAAAGAGTAGGAGTAGCTGTACTTATATCAAACAAAATAGATTTCAAGACAAAAAACTGCAAGAAGAGACAAAGGAGACCATCACATAATGATTAAGGGGTCAATTCAGCAAAAGGATATAACAATTGTAAATCTCTATGCACCCAACACTGGTGTACCCACATATATAAAGCAAATATTATTAGAGCTAAAGAGAGAGATAGGCCACAATACTAATAGCCAGAGACTTCAACACCTCACTTTCAGCATTGGACAGATCATTCAGACAGAATATTAACAAAGAAAGATCAGATTTAATCTGTACTATAGACCAAATGGGTCTAATAGATATGAACATTTCACGGATATATTAAATGTATATTCTGCAGCTGTTCTGCAAATACCTATTAATATTTCTTCTCAGCACAAGAATCATTCTCAAGGATTGACCATATGTTAAGTCACAAAATAAGTCTGAAAATATTCAAAAGAATTGAAAATTATTCAATTTCAAGCATCTTCTCTGACTACAATGGAATAAAGCCAGAAATCAGTAATGAGGAATTTGGGAAACTATACATGAAAATTAAATAATATGTTCTTAAATGATCAGTGGGCAATGGTAAATGAATGGTCAATGAAGAAATTAAGAGGGAAATTGAAAAAAAAATCTTGAAACAAATGGTAATGGAAACACAACATACCAAAACCTATGGGATAGAGCAAAAGCAGTAGTAAGAGAGAAATTTATAGCTATAAGTGCCTACATCAAAAAAGAAGAAAAACTTCAAATAAATAACCTAATGATGTATCTTAAAGAACTAGGGAAGGAAGAGCAAACCATACCCAGAATTAGTAGAAGAAAATAATAATAAAGATCAGAGCAGAAGCAAAAGAATTTAAAATGAAGAAAACAATACAAAAAATGAAATGAAAGAAAAGGTTGCTTTTCTGAAAAGACAGATAAAATTGGCAAACCTTTAAGCCAGACTAACTAAGAAAAAGAGACAGTGATGACGAGCATTTTTTCATGTGTCTGTTGGTTGTGCACATGTACCCTAGAACTTAAAGTATAATAAAAAAAAAGAAAAAGAAAAAGAGACAAAATCCAAATAAATAAAACCAGAGATTAAAAAGGAGACATTACAACTGATACCGCAGAAATTCAAAGGGATCATTAGTGGCTACCATGAGTAACTGCATGCCAACAAACTGGAAAATCTAGAGGAAATGTATAAATTCCTAGACACATAACACCTACCAAGTTTGAACCGTGAAGGAATCCAAAACCTGAACAGATAAATAACAAGTAATGAGACTGAAGCCATAATAGAATTCTCCCAGTAAAGAAAAGCTCAAGACCCAAAGGCTTCACTGCTGAATTCTACCAAATATTTAAAGAATTAATACCAATCCTACTCAAACTATTCCCAAAAATAGAGGAGGAAGGAATACTTCAAAATTCATTATACGAGGTCAGTATTACCCTGATACCAAAGCTAGACAAAGACACATCAAAAAAAGAAAACCACAGGCCAATATCTCTGATAAATACTGATGCAAAAACCCTCAACAAAATACTAGGAAATAGAATTCAACAATACATTAAAAAGATCAGCCGGGTGCAGTGGCTCACGCCTGTAATCCCAGCACTTTGGGAGGCCGAGGCGGGTGGATTACGAGGTCAGGAGTTCGAGACCAGCCTGGCCAGCACGGTGAAACCCCATCTCTACTAAAAATACAGAAAATTGGCCAGGCATGGTGGCGCATGCCTGTAGTCCCAGCTACTCAGGAGGCTGAGGTAGAAGAATTACCTGAACCTGGCAGGCAGAGGTTGCAGTGGGCCAAGATTGTGCCACTGCACTCCAGCCTGGGCGACAGAAAGAGAATCCATCTCAAAAAAAAAAAAAAAAAATCATTCATGGATGGCCATGGGGTCTCATGCCTGCAATCCTAGTACTTTGGGAGGCCAAGGCGGGAAGACTGCTTGAGCCCAGGAGATTGAGACCAGCCTGAGCAATACAACAAGATTTTGTCTCTACAAAAAAAATTTAAAAATTAGCCAGGCATGGTTGTCCATCCCTGTAGTCCCAGCTACTTGGGAGGCTGAGTTGGGAGGATCTTTTGAGCCTGAGGGGGTCGAGGCAGCAGTGAGCCATGATCATGCCACTGCACTACAGTCTGGGTGACAGAGACTGTCTCAAAACGAGCATTCATCATGACCAAGTGGGATTTATCCCAGGGATTCAAGGATGGTTCAACATACACAAATTAATCAATGTGATATGTCATATGAACAGAATGAAGGACAAAAATTGTATGATCATTTCAATTAAGTAACTCTCAAAATGTAAGCATAAAAAAGCAAACATTACTATAAGACAAGAATAGATATTTCAAAGAGGATATGCAGATAGAAAATTAGCACATGAAGAGCCATACATCATTTCGAAAGGCCAATGCATATTAAACCCTCAATGAAATATTACCATATACCTATCAGAATGGCTAAGTGCTGGGCAGATCATGAGGTCAGGAGATCGAGACCATCCTGGCTAACATGGTGAAACCCAGTCTCTACTAAAAAAATACAAAAAATTAGCCGAGCATGGTGGCACATGCCTGTAGTCCCAGCTACTCGGGAGGCTGAGGCAGGAGAATCGCTTGAACCCAGGAGACAGAGGTTGCAGTGAGCCGAGATTGCACCACTGCACTCCAGCCTGGGTGACAGACCGAGACTCTATCTCAAAAAAAAAAAAAAGCGAACATACAAAATGCTGGTAAGAACGCAGAGAAACTGAATCACTCATACACTGCTGATGGGAATGTAAAATGGCACAGCCACTCTGGAAATAGTTGACGGTTTCTTATAAAACTACACATGCAATTAATATACCACCCAGCAGTTAATTGCACTCTTCGGCATTTATCACAGAAAAATGAAAAACGTTATGTTCACACAAAAACCTGTACTCTGGTTGTCATAGCTGCTTTATTTGTAATAGCCAAAAACAACAATCTAGATGTCCTTCAGTGGGTGACAAACCATGATAAATCCATACCATGAAATAGTACTCAGCAATAAACAGGAAGGAATTTCTGATATACACAAAAACTTGTATAAATCTCCAGGGAATTATGCTATGTGGAAAAAAAGCAATCTCAAAAGGTTAAATGGTATATCAGTCCATTTATCAGTCCAATGGTATATCAGTCCATTCTTACAATGACAAAATTATAAAAAGGGAGAACATACTAGTAGTTGTATGGAATAAAGATGAGGCCAGGCAGGGAATGACATGAAGGAGTAGATATGGTTATAAAAAGTCAGTAAGAGAGTTCCTGGAAGTCATGGGACAGTCTGTATCATGACTAGATACAGTTAGGTTTATTTATGACTGAAAGTAGATGTCATAAAATTCCAGACAACTAAATATACTCTCTCTCTCTCTCTCTCTCTCTCTCACACACACACACACACACACACACTCACACACAAATGAATACATGAAAAGCAGAGGACATCTGAGTAGATCTGGTGATTGCATCAATGTCAAAATCCTAGTTGTGATATTTTACTATATTTTTGTAAAATAGTACTATTGGGGGAAACTGGGTAAAGGTACACAAGATCTCTCTGTATTCTTTCAATCTAGATTAAAGAGTGCTACTTGTAACATATATCATTTCAAACTCACCAAAATCGGGAGTGAGGCAGGCAGATGCTGAAGCATCATCTTGGTCACAGTTATTTTTCATTTCAGTTGAGTAACTCATTGTCCCATAACTCATTTGTGGGCCAGATTCTGTTTTGAACAACATTTCAATATGTAAAACATTTTGCAGTGCTGAAAGACAAGAAATCTCAACCATGTTTTTTAGATCAGGTGAAACTATCCTTCAGGAATAAAAGAAAAATAAAGACATTCTCAGACAAAGAAAAACTTTAAAAAACGGTGACTGGCTGACTTACCCTTAAAGAACAACTAAAGGAGATCTTCAAACTGAAAGGATATGATGAAGGAAGGAATCTTGCACCGTCACGAAGGAAGAAAGAACAACAGAAAGAGCAGAAATATGGGCGTGGAGAAACTAGGTCACTCACATGTTGCTGGTCGGGGTAGAAAATGGTACAGACACTCTGGAAAACAACTTGGCAGTATTTTATAAAACTAAACATACCATTACCATAGGACCCAGCAACAGCACTCTTGGGCAGTATCTCAGAGAAATGAAAGCTTGTGTTCACACAAAGCCTATATGGTATATGAGTGTTCATAGCAGCTTTACTTCTAATAGCCAAAACCAGGAAACAACCTAGATGTCTTTCAATGCCTGAAAAGATAAACAAACCACGGTACATCTACACCATGGAATAGCACTCAGCAATAAAAAAGAAGGAACCATTTGGGGGCTTGCCTGTGGTAGAGGATACATGAACCTAAACATATGATAAAAATTGAACTAAAACACACACATACACATGCACACAAATAAATACAAGTAAAACTGGGGACATCTCAATAATATCTGTAGAAGGTATCACGTCAACACCCTGTTTGTGATAATTTCTTATAGTTTTGCAAGATGTTACTGTTGGGAAAAGTGGTAATGGAAACACATATTTCTCTGTATTATTTATTATAACTGCATGTGTAGCTAAATTTTTCTGAAAATAAAAACTTTAATTGGAAAAAGCTACCAATATCTTGCACTACGGATGCTAATGAATCTAGATTAAATAGTGCTACATATAGCAAGTATCATTTCAATCTCACCAAAATTGCAAGGAACGCTATGAAATAATGAGGAAACATTCTGGTGACTGTTGTTTTCTAATAAAGGTCTGTAATTTGTTTTTGCAGACCTCTTTCCTGGGCTGGTTCATGCTTTTCCCAATGTTTCTATAAATAAAATATTTCAAATATTGAAAGACAATAAATCTCAATCATGAATTCTATTATCAGGCAAAAGTATCCTTCAAATATAGGGAAGATAAAGACATTCTCACATGAGGGAAAACTGAAGTATTTGTCACTAACTGGCAAACACTTAAAGAACGGCTAAAGGAAAATCATCAAACAGAAAAGAATGATGAAAAAGCAAATCTTGGAGCATCAAAAAGGAAGAAAAAACAATGAAAGAAGAAGAAATATGCATATGGAGAAACCGGATCATTCATACATAATTGGCGAGAATGTAAAATGATACAGTCTCTCTGGAATACTATTTGGCAGTTTCTTATAACACTAAACATGCAATTACTATACAACCAAGCCTTTGCACTCTTGGACATTTATCCAAGAGAAATCAAAACTTCTGTTTATACAAAAATCTGTACATCAGTGGTCATCGCAACTTTACTTGTAATAGTCAAAAACTAGAAACAGCCAAGATATCTTCCAATGGGTGAATGAATAAGCCAACTGTGAAACATCCATACCATGGAATAGTGTCCACAATAAAAATTAAGGACCACTCATACATCCAGTCAGTCAGATGACTGTTCAGGGAATTATGTGCTGAGGCAGGTGTGGTTATTAAAGAGCAAGATGGGCCGGGCGTGGTGGCTCATGCCTGTAATCCCAGCACTTTAGGAGGCCAAGGCAGGTGGATCACTTGGTGCCAGGAGTTGGAGGCCAGCCTGGCCAACATGGTGAAACCCCATCTCTACAAAAACTCCAAAATTAAAAACAAAAACAAAAACAAAAAACAAAAAACAAAACAGCCAAAGTTGGGTGCAGTGGCTCATGCCTGTAATCCCAGCACTTTGGGAGGCCGAAGTGGGCAGATCACTTGAGGCCAGGAGTTCAAGACCAGCCTGCCCAACACAGTGAAACCCCATCTCTACCAAAAAATACAAAAATTAGCTCGGCGTGGTGTCACATGCCTGTAATCCCAGCTACTTAGGAGGCTGAGGCACGAGAATCGCTTGAACCCAAGAGGTGGAGGTTGCTGTGAGCCAAGACTGCGCCACTGCACTCCAGCCTGGGCGACAGACAGAGATTTTTGAGACTCTGTCTCACAAAAAGAAAAGAAAAGAAAAGAAAAGAAAAGAAAAAGAGTAAAATGAGACATCTTGGTAATCATGGAAATGTGTATCTTGGTCATGGTGGTGGGAATCAAACCTACTCGTGACAAAACTAGGTAGAACTAAATGCACACAAACAAATTAATACAATTAAGTGGGAGATCTCAATAAGATGTGTGGATAATATCGATGTCAATATTCTGGTTGTGATGTTCTGTTACAGTTTTGCAAGATGCTATTGTTGGGAAGAATAGGTAAAGTGGAAGGGGTATTTCTCTGCATTATTTCTTACAACTACCTATATATCTTAAATGACCACAAAATTAAAAGTTTAGTTTAAAAAAACCTACCACTAGTTTTACATTAAGGACGTTGATGGATGTAGATTAGACAGTGCTACTAATAACATGTATCATTTCAAACTCACCAAACTTGGGAGGAATGGAGAGCGATAAAGAGGCGTTACCTTGGCTACGGCCCCTTCCTGATGAAGGTGGGTAATTCACTGTCTGAGTATTGTTTTTTACGTTAGTTCCTGCTGTTTCTGGCATTTCTGCAACTCTTTCAAGTACTGAAAGAAAAGAACTCTCAACTATGAATTTTATACTGGGTGAAATTGTCCCTCAGGAAAGAAGGGAAAATAAAAACATCCTCACAAAATGGAAAATTAAACGAATTTGTCCCTCGCAGATTTACCCTTAAAAAAATGGCTATACGAAAACCTTCAAACAGAAAAGATACTATAAGAGAAGAAATCTTGGAGTATCAGGAAGGAAGAAAGAATGATGGAAAGATCAGAAATACAGATGTGGAGAAATTGGATCACTCATACATTGCTGTTGGAAATAAACAATAGTACAGCCTCTCTAGGAAACTGTTTGGCAGTTTCTTATAAAACTAAACATGCTAGTACCATAAGACTCAGCAATTGTTCTCTTGGCATTCATGACAGAGAAATGAAAACTTATATTTTCCCAAAAACCAGTACACAGTACATGAATGTTCAAAGTGGCTTTACTTGCATTATCCAAAAATTGAAAGAAAAAACCAGATGTCCTTCAATAGGTGAATGGTTTAAAAAAAAAAAAACTGTTCCTATCTGTACCATGGAAAGGAAGGAACTATTCATCAATAGAAAGAAAGAAACTACTGAGAAATGAAAACTTACATTTATACAAAAATGTGTACATGACAATTCATAGCGGCTTTACACCCAATAGACAAAAAATAAAAATAAAATAAAAACACAAAAAACCCACCAGACGTCCTTCAGCAGGTGAATGGTTGAAGAAAACATAGTATATCCAGACATGCAATACTATTCAGCAATAGGAATAAACTATTAATAGAAAAAACAACCTGGACGAGTCTCTAAGCTGAGTGAAAAAAAATCCAATTCCAAATATGATTCCACTTATACAACAATTGAAAGAGATAAAATTACAGAGATAAAGAAGAGATCAGTGGAAGCCAGGTGTTAGGGATGGGTCATGGAGTGTTAGGGAAGGGTGACCTGAGAGAGTTGGTGTGGTTATCAAAGGTAACACAACAGTGCCTCATGCTGATGGAAATGATCTCTACCTTGACTGTGGTGGTGGGCACACAAACCTACTTGTGGAATAAAGCTGCATAGTACTAAACACACACACACACACACACACACACACACACACAAATAAATACAAGTAAAATGGGACATCTCTATAAGATCTGTGGCTTGTATAAATGTGAATATGCTGGTTGTAATATTTGTTGTTTTTTGCTAAATATAATTATTGGGGGAAATTAGGTAAAGGGTAGTCAGGATTTTTCTGTCTTCTTTCTTATACCTGTGTATGATTTCTGAACTACCTCAATATGAAAAGTTTAATTTGTAAAAAGCTACCACTAAGAATTAATATTAAGAATGTTGATGAATCTAGATGAGAGGCCTGCTTGTGATATCCATTATTTCAAACTCACCAAAATTAGAAGTGATGGGAAGATATGAAGAGGCTGGATATGGGGCACTCGTATTTCCCGATAAAGCTGGGTAATACACTGTCTGAGAGTTATTTTCCACGTTGGTTTCTGTTGTTCCTGGCATTTCAGTAAGTATAATTTTCTCAGCTATTGGGAAAAAAAAAGAATGCTCAATCATAAATTCTACATGAGGTAAAACTATCCTTCTGGAAAAAAGGTAAAGACATTTCTCGAACGAAAGAAAACTAAAAAAATCTGTCCCTAGCCGACTTATCCATATAAAAGGTTAAAGGAAAATCTCCAGGCCTGGTGCAGTGGCTCATGCCTACAATCCCAATACTTTGGGAGGCGGAGACAAGTGGATTGCCTGAGCCCAGAAGTTCGAGACCAGCCTGGACAACATGAGACCCCACCTCTACAAAAAAATTTAAAAACTAGCCAGGAGTGATAGCAAGCACCTGTAGTCCTAGCTGAGTCAGGAGGCTGAGGGAGGGTCACCTGAGCCCGGGAAATGGAGGCTGCAGTGAGCCATGATTGCACCACTGCACTCCAGCCTGGATGACAGAGTGAGACAAAAGAAGAACGAAAGAACGAAAGAGACAGAGGAAGGGAGGGAGGGAGGGAGGGAGGGAGGGAAGGAAATGTTAAAACAGAAAGGGTATGATGAAAGAAATCCTGGAGCATCAGGAAGGAAGAAAGACTGATAGAAAGACCACAATATAGGCCGGGAGCAGTGGCTCCACCTGTAATCCCAACACTTTGGGAGGCCGAGGTGGGCGGATCCCCTGAGGTCAGGAGTTCAAGACCAGCCTAGCCAACATGGCGAAACCCCGTTTCTACTAAAAATACAAAAATTTGCCGGGTGTGGTGGTGGGTGCCTGTAATCCCAGCTACTTGGGAGGCTGAGGCAAGAGAACTGCTTGAACCTGGGAGGTAGAGGTTGCAGTAAGCCCAGATCACACCACTGCACTCCAGCCTGGATGACAGAGCGAGACTGTCTCAATTGAAAAAAAAAAAAGGAAAGAAGAGAAAAAAGAAAGATAAGAAATATAAATATGGAGAAACTGGATCACCCATACATGTAAAGCCTTTCTGGAAAAATGTTTGGCAGTTTCTTATAAAACTAAACATGCTAGTACCATAAGACCCAGCAATTGTGCTCTTGACATTCATGACAGACAAATGAAAACTTATATTTATCCAAAAACCAGTATAGGAATGTTCAGAGCAGTTTAGTCCTAATACCAAAGAGTGGGAGGGGGGAAATAATGGCCTTCAATTGGTAAATGGTTAAAAACAACTATTGTATATCCAAACCATGGAAGATTATCAGAAAAAAAAGAGGAACAACTGATACACACAACAACCTGTATAAGCCTTTAGGGAATCATACTGACTGAAAAAAAAAAAAAAAAACCTACATGCCATAAGATTCCCTTTATATTACACTCTTAAAGTGACAAAATTATAGAGGCCAGCGTTTGTCAGAGGTTAGGGAACAGTCAATGGGGAAGAAAAGGGTGACCTGAGAGAGGTGGGGGTGGTTATCAAAGATGAGGCAGCCTGGTGGTGATGGAAATGTTCTATGTCTTGACTGTGGTGGTGAGAATCAAACCTATTCGTGGAAGAAAACTTGCACAGAAAGAAATACAGATACACCCACAGATTATTATAAGTAAAACTGGGGCTATCTCAGTTATATCTGTGTATTGTATCAATGTCAATATCCTGGTTGTGTTAATTTACTATAGTTTTGTAAGATGATATTGCTGGTAGAAAAGGGTAAAGCATAAAGGGGATCATTTCTATTATTTCTTACAAATACATGTGAATCTAAAATTATTTCAAAATAAAAATGGCTGGGCACGGTGGCTCACGCCTATAATCCCAGCACTTTGGGAGGCCAAGGAGGGTAGATCACCTAAGGTCAGGCGTTTGAGACCAGCCTGGCCAACATGGTGAAACCCCGTCCCTACTAAAAATACAAAAATTAGCCAGGCATGGTGGCATGCCCTATAGTTCCAGCTACTTGGGAGGCTGAGGCAGGAGAATCTCTTGAACCCAGGAGGCAGAGGTTGCAGTGAGCCAAGACCACACCACTGCACTCCAGCCTGGGTGACAGAGTGAGACTCCGCCTCAAAAAAATAAAAATAAAAGTTTAATTTCAAAAACGAGCTACTACTAGCTTGCATTAAGGATGTTGATCGATCCGGATTCAATAGTGTCACTTGTAATACAGCATCTGAAATTCACCAAAATTAGGTGTGAGGCCGGCAGATGAAGAGGAAGAACATGGGCCGCTGCCATTTCCCGAAGAAATTGGGTAATTCATTGTCTGAGGGTTGTTTTCCAGCCTGGTTTCTGCAATTCTCGGCATACGTACAGAAAGAACATTTTTCAAGTGCTTAAGAACTCTCAACCGTGAATTTATACATAGTGAAATTCTCCTTGAGTAATGATATGGTTTGGCTGTGTCCCCACCCAAATCTCAACTTGAATTGTATCTCCCAGAATTCCCGCATGTTGTGGGAGGGACCTAGGGGGAGGTAACTGAATCATGGGGGCCAGTCTTTCCCATGCTATTCTTGTGATAGTGAATAACTCTCATGAGATAGAAGCAAAAGCAGAAACCCCTGACAAAAACAAGAAATGGGGAAAGGATTCCCTATTTAACAAATGGTGCTGGGAAAACTGGCTAGCCATATGTAGAAAGCTGAAACTGGATCCCTTCCTTACACCTTATACAAAAATTAATTCAAGATGGCGTAAAGACTTAAACGTTAGACCTAAAACCATAAA